>NC_000016.10:65471591-65774621 GCF_000001405.40 Homo sapiens
TAAGGACACGCAGACTGCCCATATCAGATACATGATGTCAACCTAGTTTTAAGAATTGCAAGATCATGATCTCTATTCTAATAGCTCCTGGACCAGAGAAATCAAGTGAAGATATTTCCAAAAGACTTGTGTGTGACTTCCTGAGGCCAAAACAGGGTAAGCTGCAGGCGGAGGATGACTGGCAGGGTTCCACTGTGTGCTCCTCTGCCTTGTTGGCTCATAAAACTGAGGGTGCTCGGAAGCCATGGTCACTGGGACTAGAGCTTGCCTTGACAACTTCATTTGAAAAATATGATACTGATTAGAATCCTGAGAAGAGAGAAATAAATTTATCCACTCTCTCACCTGTGGCCTCCTTTGATTTAACAAGTGTTCTTTATCATTATCTGTACTTTAAAGCTGTGGTTCTCAAAGTCTGTTCTGAGGATCAGCAGCATCAGCATCACCTGGGAACCTGTTAGAACTGCAAATTCACGGTCCACACCAGCCCCACTGAATCAGAAACTCTGGGGGTGGAGCCCTACAATTCATTTTAACATGCCTTCCAGGGGATTCAAATGCACATCTGAGTCTGAGAACCACTGACCTCAGAATGTGCAAAGCCCTCACAAATCTATTTTCTCAGTGTTTCTTTTGGAAACCTTGAATCTGTCTTGTTTTTTCCCCACTGCATCTTTGAGGATACTGAGGCTTAAAGGGGATGTGATTATCTGACATAAATTCGGATGGACTAGCTTTATAGCCAACCCACTTTCTTTGAGTATGGAGACTCTCCTACCCTATTCTCACCCTATGTCCCTGTGAGAGCCTCAACCAGGAGGATCAAAAGAGCTTTTCACCTCCACAGTGAGACAAGGCAACAGACATGTACTGATGCCATGTACGAACTAACTGATGGGGGAAGATACATTCAGACCAATCCACTTGACTTCGGCTAGGAAAATAATTTGGGTGTCCAAGTAGACTTTTGATCCATTAGAGATACATGTTGCCCCCATCAAAAAAAAGAAAAAAATCTTCAAGCCAGGCGCGGTGGCTCACGCCTGTAATCCCAGCACTTTGGGAGGCCGAGGCCGGTGAATCACGAGGTCAGAAGATCGAGACCATCCTGGCTAACACGGTGAAACCCCGTCTCTACTAAAAAATACAAAAAAAAAAAAAAAAAAAAAAAAAAAAAAAAAAAAAAAAAAGGCCAGGCGTGGTGGCGGGAGCCTGTAGTCCCAGCTACTCCGGAAGCTGAGGCGTGAACCGGGAGGCGGAGCTTGCAGTGAGGTGAGATGGCGCCACTGCACTCCAGCCTGGGGGACAGAGTGAGACTCCGCCTCAGGGGGGAAAAAAAAAATTCAAACTGGTGAAATAGCCAAGTGTTGTTTTTGTTGTTGCTGTTGTTGTTGTTTTTGAGATGGAGTCGCGCTTTGTCACCCAGGCTGGAGTGCAGTGGCACCATCTCTGCTCACTGCAACCTATGTCTCCCGATTCAAGCGATTCTCCTGCCTCAGCCTCCCGAGTAGCTGGGACTACAGGCACCTGCCACCACGTCCAGCTAATTTTTTGTATTTTTAGTAGAGACGGGGTTTCACCCTCTTGGCCAGGATGGTCTGGATCTCCTGACCTCGTGATCCACATGCCTCGTCCTCCCAAAGTGCTGGGATTACAGGCTGAGCCACGAAGTGTTTTTAAAATTGTAAAGTGCCATAAAATTTTTTCAGAATTGATGAGCATCTACTCATCAATGAGCATCTACTCATCTTTTGATGAGCATCTACTATGCACGATTATAAAAGGAGGAAAATTCAATGATGTTTCTGATGTGAATATGACCACAGTAACTCTCCTGCTTCAAACTTTCAGTTAATTTCTATGTGTCTAAAACACTGATTCTTAACCTTGGTTGCACATTAGAACACATTAAAATTCTAATGCTTACACTCTAACCCAGATCAATTAAATCCGAATCCCTGAAGAAATAATGTGGTATTTTGCAAAGATCCTGGATTGTTCCATACACAGCCATGTTTGAGAATCACTGATCCAGACACTTCAGTCTGCTTAGCATGGTCTATAAATGCCTACATGCTCCAGCCCCTGCATACTTGCTCAAAACTCCCAGAGCTCAAGATCCTGGCCTATTTCTGTTTCTCAACTGCACCTCAGCAGCCTCCTCATCCCCAAGGCCTTTGCCTCTGCTGTTTCTCTTACCAGGATGCTAGAGAGCCAGCAGCTTTTCCTGTGGCTGACTCTTTAGCATCCTTCACGTCTCAGTCCAAATGCCTCCTATTCTAAAAGCACTATGTTGGCCGCTTCATCTAAAGTCATGCTCAATGTCATTCTCACTTACCATCTGGTTTATCTCTTTGGAAGCATGTTTGACAGCCTTGATTTTGTATTTATTGACTTGTGTGTTTCTGATCTTGCTCCACTTTAATGGAGGATCCAGAGAACAGATGCCTCGCTCTTTCTATTCTATGTCCCCAGGATCTAGAAAAAGAGTCTGGTTCAATAAATATGGCTTGAATAAATGAATGAAGGAAAATGAATGAACTCCAAAAGTCCAGTGATTAATCTTCAGTCCTGTAAATCGTATTCAGGACTTGAACTCCAGTGTTCTGAGTCCAGGGTCATTGATTTTTTCCAGCTCAATCTAACTGACCATATCTGCTTTCACTCTATTCACACCTGTTTAAACCCACAAGGTTAGAAGAGACATGCTGTTCCTAATAAAGGACCTGGGACTTGGTGACTTGGAGTTTACCTTACGCGATGTGGCAAGGAGTAGGCAAGTAGGCACAGCACAAAAAAACAGCTGTGCAAATAGCATCACCTCCAGTCCAATTTAAATGAAGTCAGTAAATTATGCCTCCAGACCCTAAACTATTTAGTTCACCATGTTGGAGAAGGAAAAAGGACTGTACAGAGAAGCAATTTCTCAACCCAAGTATTTCATTAAAAAACAAATGGAAGGGGCCCCCATGGGAAAATGTGGCACTTGATCTGATTGTGGGAGACACTTTCTTAAAAAATGGAATAATCAAATGGTGGCTCACCTACTCCAGTCAGTTCTCACCATTAGTAATAATGGAAGGCCATGAGCTGGGATGAAATTCAGCCCATAGCATGCCCTGGAGGAGACACAGAGGGACAGGAAAGCCCTCTGCCAGCAGAAGCAATAACACCATTGTTAACAGTAAGTCCCTTTGTCAACTCTTTGGGGAGAGTTATTATGGGGGGGTGCTGTTAACATATTTCTTCCTCTCCATTGTTTCTGACAATGGCAATAAGCCCGTGGATAATATTTTGTTAGCATAACATGCACAGCCGAACCGGCCCTTGCTCTTTTGCAACCCACAATAAAACAATCTCATCCAATATCAGTATCAGAGAAGGCTGAGTCTGCACAGTCATCGCTGAGAGTTAAATACCAGTATTTACCTAGCTAGCATTTGTTTTAAAAGAATGTTTGGAGGAGCAGGGGGTAATTTAATAACAACAGTTTTTTTATAATTATAATTCTAAGAACAAAGCCAGAGAGTTCTTGTTTCCATTTGTGAGAAGAGGGGCCACGCAACTTGCCTATAATCCCTTAGTTATTGAGTGGCAGAGCTGGGATTAACACCAAGTAGAACACAATTCATAACATACAATATACTTAAGAAGCCTCTATGGGCACTAATAATAATGATAATAATAATAGTAATAGCTTACTATTATTATTATTTACACTTAACAAATGTTAGGTAAATGACAACACTGTCAGTGCATTACACACACGATGTTATTTATTTTTCTATTTTTTATTTGTTTTTTGTTTTTCTGAGACAGGGTCTCACTCTATCACACAAGATGGAGTGCAGTGGCATGATCTCAGCTCACTGCAACCTCTGCCTTCCAGGCTCAAGCAATCCTCTCACCTCAGCCTCCTGAGTAGCTGGGACCACAAGCATGTGCCACCACTTCCAGCTAACTTTCATATTTTTAGTAGAGATGGGGTTTTACTATGTTTCCCAGACTGGTCTTAAACCCCTGGGCTCAAGCAATCTGCTCACCTCAGCCTCCCAAAGTGCTGGGATTATGGTGTGAGTCACTGCGCCCAGCCCATAGTCTTATTTAAATATCACAATAAGTCATTTAATTCTCATTACAACTCTACCAAGTAGGAACTATTACTTTCTCTTTATAGATAAAAATACCCAGGGTCAGAAAGTTTAATGGCTTGATTAAGTTAAGAGTCAAGAATGGACAGAGCTGTCATTGGAACACACATCTTTCCAGCTCTTTTTGTTCTTCCTTGGTATTTTGTATGAACTAGACTAGAAATCACCAAGCTTCTCACAGTACCAAGAATATTGAACTAAGAGGTTTGAAACCTGATTTGGCTACTAAGTCATCCTGTGACCTTTGAATGGATCCTCTCTCCTTTCTGACAGGTCGTTGGGCTGGTCTGTCTCCATCGCATCTTAATTCCTGGTCTAGCACTCTTCTCCACTGCATGCAAACTTGGAGGATGCACACAAAACCACCATCTGGCATGCTGTCCAACTGGGTTCTTTCAAATGTGAGATAACCTGGTTTAAAAAATTAATGACGAAAGCAAACCTTACTGGACACAAGTCTCAAAAAGACAAAAGAGCTTGAGCTGCTATTGGAAATAAACAGGAGATACTCCTATGTCCTTGTTACTATTATTTGCAGGAAAAGAGGAGCAAGTGATTCATTCTTTCACTCCATGTACTCTTCACAAGGGGCTTTGGGGAATAAAAAGAAAAAAACAATTCTGGAGCTGAGAACATAATTACAAAGAACTTGAAAATGAGGTAAAGACCAAATTAAAGCAGTAAGCCTTAGGCATAAATACAAATGGATGACTATCAGCAAATCTCTCGTGGCAGCAAATAAAAAGAAATACATAGAGAACTTCTTGGTATTAAAATAAAAGTTGGAAAAAAACATGGGAGGTACCACAGAGGCAGAATCCAAGGGTGTTGAATTCCTCATAGGGCTCTGAATAGACACCATCGTAATAGCAATAGTGACTAACAGTTCTTGCAGGGTGAATGCAAACTGGGTGTGTGGTATGCATTTTATATGCAACATCTCATTGAGTTCCCACCCAGCCCTGCGCAGTAGGTGTCATCACTACCCTCATTTTACAGACGAGATGAGCAAATGGACTCAGATGCCAAAAAACTTGTCTAGATCATTCAGCTACTCAGCAAGGCAACCAGGATTCAGAATCAGACTGTCCTCATCCTGAGCTCTTTCTTCCACCCACTGTGATGGGCTGTTCACTGGGGAATAATTTAAGAGCCCTTGGCATTGGCTCTATTCCAGAACGGGGAAAATCTTCAGTCAAGTGATAAGATGATGAACTCAACTTCCAGTGGCCAAGTTTGCAATATTGGCTCTCTCTGCCTCCTTTCTTATTCTCTGCCCAATTTCTTAACCACCTCTGCTCCGTCATTGCCCTCCCTCCCCATTATATATGACGTTTCTTTCTTCCTTCCTCTTTACATTTATACTACTTTATTTGGTTATTGATCACTTATCAACTGGTTGATTCATTCATTATTCTTCAAATGTCTCTCAAGTTCATACTGCAATGCCAAGCTTGGGCTGAGATGCTGAGCACAAAGAAGAATGCAGGGCAGGGATGTAATGGGAGGCAAAGGAAATTTCCCCAGGGAGCTCACTTGGAATAATTGGAGTAATTATTCCAAGTCTTTGCTATTGTAAATTGTGCTCCAATGCCTGGGGCCAAAGAGAAGGAGAGCATTAGGACAAATACCTAATGCATGGAAGGCTTAAAACCTTGATGATGGGTTGATAGGTGCAGTAAACCACCATGGCACATGTATACCTATGTAACAAACCTGCACTTTCTGCACATGTATCCCAGAAGGAAATGTATAGACAAATGTACTCTCAGCCCATAGTCGAAGGGGTGCAGCAGACAGGGAGTACACAGAGAGAACACCAAAACCTACTCTGCAGAGAACAACAGGTTCTCTAGAAGAAGTGTCTGATGTTGGAGAGCAGAGGCTGTTCCCCCTTGCCTAGGATCATGCACACAGGAGGGCTGTGATGCTCAAACTCTGCCATGCATGAAAACCACCAGGGGACTGGTGGAAAACACAGAGCACAGGCCTCATACCCATATAGGCCATAGATTCTCATATGGGGGCCTTGGTCATGTCAGGAACTAAAATGGTTAAAAAGTTGCCAAAGTGATTTCATTTCATGTGATCTGAGCTGCAGCAGGAAGGCAAGGCATACTTGCTAAGAAATGCATGCAAACATACACACAGATGTCATAGAAATAAAGCAAATAAATGTTAGCCCCTCCACATGGACAATATTTTATAACCACCCTATACACTTGCATGAGCATCACTGGCTGAGAAAATTCACTTTATTGAGACCCCAGGAACTGAAATGAAGGATAAACATGCTTGGCTCAAAATTATAATAAGAGGTTTAATGAACAACAAAAAACACTCACCATCCACAAACGTGACTTGAAACATCACGTTCAAGATGTTTCTGAGATTCTGAGGCCAGAGCTGGTAAAACCTGGGCCCTTCCTCCTACCCCATAGTGCTTCATTTATCTTCCTGAGTGGTCACCCAACGCCGGTGCCCAATTTGATGTTCATACCCCTGATGCATCTTTAGAATCCACAGCCATGCTGAGTCTTAAAAGTGCCACAATTTTCAAAAATATTTTTCTCCACTGAACTATCATTGCTCCTCCACTTAGACACTGATCCTGCCTCTCTAGCAAATTAACCAGACTCAACCTCTTGATTTTTAACCTCCTGATTTCCACATATTGCATAGAAGCTATTGCCTGACTAATCCACCATCTGCCAAAAACTAATCAAAAGTACTTATTCCAAGTCTTTGCTATTGTAAATTGTGCTCCAATGCCTGGGGCCAAAGGGAAGGAGAGCATT
Source organism: Homo sapiens (assembly GCF_000001405.40). Classification (NCBI taxonomy): domain Eukaryota; kingdom Metazoa; phylum Chordata; class Mammalia; order Primates; family Hominidae; genus Homo; species Homo sapiens. The sequence continues at coordinate 65,478,541 of NC_000016.10, forward strand.
AGGACAAATACCTAATGCATGGAGGGCTTAAAACCTTGATGATGGGTTGATAGGTGCAGTAAACCACCATGGCACATGTATACCTATGTAACAAACCTGCACTTTCTGCACATGTATCCCAGAACTTAAAGTAAAATAAAATACAAATAAGAAATAAATTAACCTTAGAATATTTAAAAAGTAATTATTCATGCATGCGACAAGTATTTATTGAGCAACTACTAAGTACCCAGCTCGGCTCCAGGCACTGTGTCTTCTGTAATGGAAACACAGACATAGTTTTCCATTCACAGAGAGCTTGGGAAAACAGGCATTGAAAAATTGAAAAAATAAACAAGTGATTAACAATATGAAGTGTTTTGAAGGGACATTCACAGGGCATGGAAATAGAAAAATAACAGAGGTGATAGTTTAGATACATGTGAGTAATACGAAAACTGAGGACACACCATCGCCAAAGACCCTGAGTCAGGACAGGGTTTGAAAGTTTTAAGAAATTGAGTATCAAGGCGAGAGGATAATGAGAAAAGGGAGGAATAGTGTGAGATCACGTTGGAAAGGTTGAGTGGGCTGCCTGACCTGAGACCTTGTAGCCATGGATGGTCCAATCCTATTTAACATAAAATGGAAGGGAAAGCCACTGAAGAGTTTGAGCAGGAAAGTGATATGATTTGTTCAAAGGAATCCCTGGATATGCTACATTTTTTTCATCCATTCATCAATTGATAGATATGTGGGTTGTTTCCACCTTTTAGCTATGATGAATAGTGCTGCCATGAACATTGGTGTACACTTGTTTTGCTATCTGATTTCAATTCTTTTGAGTACATAACTAATAGTAGAATTGCGGGGTCATGTGGTAATTAGATGTTTGACTTATTAAGGAATTTCCAAACATTCCCACAGTGACTGAACCATTTTACATTCCTATCATCAATGTATGGGGGTTCTAATTTCTCCATATCCTTTACATGCTACACTATGGATGAACACTAAACACATTATGCTAAGTGAAAAAGTCAGACTCAAAAGACCACATACTGTATAATTCCATTTATATGAAATGTCTGGAACAGGCAAATCTACAGAGACAGAAAGCAGATTAGTGGTTTTCAGGAACAGGGAAGGGGAAGTATGGGGAGTAACTGCTTAATGGGTGCGAGGCTTCCTTTTGGGGTGATGAATTAGAGTTCTAAGTTATGAAATTAGTAGTGATGGCCACAAAATGTTTAGAATATATTTAATGTCACTGAACGGTACACTTTAAAATGGTTGAAATGGTACATTTTATAGTACATGTATTTTACTACAATTTTTTAAAAGGATGCCTGGCAATTGCCTGAAGAAATAGAGGTAGGAGGGGAAATACAGGGCCATAGGGAGGGATGCATGAAGATGACTTCAGTCCTCTAGGTGGGAGCTGATGAAATAGCAGGGAGGCAGTGGTGTCCTGCAGAGGAGAAGGGAGTTTCATCTGGTTGATGCCTTGTTCCTTCTTGGTGCAACCTATTCTTTTGTTTCCTATAAATTGAATCCCATGTTGTTCCTTCTTAATGCAACTTCTTTGTGTGTTTTCCGTAAATTTAACCCTCATATCCACAGATTCACCCTGAGGTCTCTCCTCCCACTGAGTCCTCTGTCAAACCAGAGGCCATGTCTTATTACATTTGTTAAATAAATAAAATAAATCAGTAGCATCAGATAGCTTACGGCTGTGTGTGCAAACCTGCTGAGCAACTCTCCCCATTATACCTTTCCTCCCCACTTTCCTATCCCAGCCAACTACGGGTCCTGAGCTGCATGGAAGTAAGAAAGTCCTAAAATCAATACGGTATTTAACGGGAAGGCACTGAAGCGTGGCCAGCCCAGAAGCAATCTGCTGACTTGAAAGCATCAGGAGGGCTTCTCAGGTCCAGCTGCTGCCTGTCCAAGCGGCAGTGGAAGCCCCAGAAAGACAAATTGCAGTCATCAATCCCAGAGAAGAAAGACTTTCATGCTACCTCCTGTATCAGCAGGAGGGATAAAGAGTTGCAACCTGGTAGCTCTGTTTCTGAGATGGTAATGAGTATCATTCCCGACATCGGATGACAGTGGACTTAAAAGCAAGTCAGAAATTGCCCTGTGTTTCCTGTTAGCAGCCTGACTTTTTATGTTGCAGGGTCAGCACAGGCCAGGCCTGTTGGTGTGACTCTGCAGAGAAAGTGCTCTGATCCCATTAATATGAACTCTACCTCTTTCAACCCTAACACGAATAAGCATCCTGTCATCCACCTTGCAGCAAAGATCAGGGACAAGAGGCAAAGCTCAGAACCACCAAAAATAAACACAGCAGGCTTGTACAAGCATCATTCACTGCATTGTCTTCTCAAATAAACACAGCAGACGTGCAAGCATCATTCACTGCGTTGTCTTCTCATATAATATGGCCTTGCGTGCCTCTGCCAGTTATAGTGACATCTGGTGCTGGGCATTATCACATTTTTTTCTTTTTTTTTTTTTTTGAGAAGAGTTTCACTCTGTGGCACAGGTTGGAGTGCAGTGGCATGATCTCGGCTCACTGCAACCTCCACCTCCCAGGGTCAAGTGATTTTCCGGTCTCAGCCTCTGGAGTAGCTGGGATTATAGGTGTCCACCACCACACCCAGCTAATTTTTGTATTTTTAGTAGAGATGGGGTTTCACCATGTTGGCCAGGCTGGTCTCAAACTCCTGATCTCAAGTGATCCACCTGCCTCGGCCTCCCAAAGTCCTGGGATTACAGGCAAGAGCCACCGTGACTGGCCCTTCACATTTCATTACAGGAAAAAAATTATTTTATTAGGCATCCCTCCGTAGAAAGCAATGTAGCAAGGAGGATAAGACTATTGTCTCTTAGGTCACACAAATCCATATGTAACAATTGACTCCACCACTTTCTAGTAGAGCGACCTCAGGAAGGTTACTTAGACTCTTAAAGCCCCAGGTTCCTTATCTGAATAATGGACATCACAGTATCTACTTCATGAAGCTACCAGGGAGTATATGATGTATGGATGTTAAATACATAGCTCAGTGCCTGCAAATATAAATGTTCGATAACTTTTAACTGTTATTGTTGGAATCATTGTCTTATGCAAAAGCAGGGAATTCCACTGCTCTTCTGATCTTATCCAGGATGAGAGAAATGCATGTCAAAAACCAGAAGTGAGTAATTTATTTCATTCTCAAATTTCCCTCACCAGAACCCACATTCATTATTGACCAGGAGTCCTGGCTTGAGTTATTTATTCTTTGTCTAACAGGTAGAGGACCTCCTTGAGTTCCTGAGAAGGGGTACCACCCACAGGAGAGAGAAATGGGGCCCACCCATAGGTCACCATGGAAGAAGAGGAGGGGGATCTGGAAAGAAACTCAGCACCCACTATTCAGGGCTCCCTCCCAGCCTGACTCCCTTGAGTTTTGACCCACTGTCTGTGCCTCTGCACAGCGAGTGGGGTGCTTGCCCAGGAGACTCTCCCAAAGGACGAGCCTGCCAAGGCATCCTCCCACATTTGAGACTCATTGCACTGTAAAGCTGTGATTACAACAGTTCGAGTGATGACTTACAGGTTCATGTTGGGTACGAGAGGTGAGGCTGGAGGAAGGTTGGAAACCACTTCACTAAGGTGAGTAAAAACTTACTTCAAGAAAACTTACTGCAAGTGAAAGAATGTTTATACCAACTTGACTCATCATGGGCCCAAACTGGAAATACCTACCTGTCCATCAGCAGAGTGATTAGTATGGTATACAATTTCATTTACACAAAGTCCAAAAATAAACCAAACTAACTGATGGGGATCAATGTAAAAATAGTGGTTACCTTGTCAGGCAAGTGACAAAACGGTGTTGGAAGGTTCTACTTCTTGATACGGTATTTACACAGGTGTTTTATTTTATGAAACTTATTTGGGCTCTAAACTTATGATTCCTGCACTTTCCTGTGCATATGCTTCATTTGTTTTTCAAAAGAGGTTTACTTGGCTGGGCTCAATGACTTACCCCTGTAATCCCAGCACTTTGGAAGGCTGAGGCGGGCAGATCACGAGGTCAGGAGTTCGAGACCAGCCTGGCCAACATGGCAAAACCTCGTCTCTACAAAAAATAAAAAATCAGCCAGGTGTGGTGGCGGGCGCCTGTAATCCCAGCTACTCGGGAGGCTGAGGCAGGAGAATCGCTTGAACCTGGGAGGCAGAGGTTACAGTGAGGCAAGATCATGCCATTGCACTTCAGCCTAGGCAATAAGAGCAAGACTCCATCAAAAAAAAAAAAAAAAAAAAAAAAAGAGGTTTACCTAAGTCTAAAGCACGGGCTTCCTAAAGTCTCCCTGAGGCACTGAGAAGATTCAAAACCTGTGGCTTCAGCAGACAAGGATAATGGCACCCAGTGCTAGGGACCAGCACCCTCTGTACCACGCATCAGGGGTTTTGCAGTGGTCAGCAGCAGGACGAGCAGCACTGTGGGCCACAGAAGCCAGGGCACCAGGAGATGCTACAGGAGCTGAATGTGTCACACGGTGGAGCCCACATGTGTAGACACCCCTCAGTTAGACATTCCCTGGAAATATTTAGGGAGAGCTTGGAACACCCTGACCTTCCTACACAGTGAGTTAGTGTGCATAGAGAAAACATGCCATTTTTTAAAAGTTACTGTGACCCTGTTTTGATCCTCAGGCTGGTGACAACTAAAACATACTATTTTAATATGTTTCGTGAAAAGTTCCTTGCAAAATGGATGTAACAAACTGTGGGTTAACAAGCACTTAAAAAATGTTCATTTCTCTTTTTCTCACACCAAATGGGGTTCATTGGGACATAATAAAATAATTTCCTCAAATTTAATAGAATTAAAGAAGAATCTGAATTTCTGAGCTATAGACACATCTGAATTTTGATTCTGGATGAACACTATTTAAATCAAAATGTCCTTCTCTGTTCAAACAACATTAATATTATATTAATGACTATCAAACTGAATATAAAATTGCTCACTCATGACACCCCCTGTCCTATTAAATAAAATTGTTATCTTTAAGCATCAGTCAATGGGCATATGCTAAATTTGGTAACCACTACTAGTCACTGAATATGGAGATTTTTCCAAAACTTTGATGTTATAAATATCACTACAATAAAATGTTTCGGTATAGTCGGTTTGTTTTTCCCTAACTTTTGGAATATTGACAATAATTAATTGGAATTTATCTCTACTTATTAGGAGTTGGGCATGTTTACATTCTGTGAAATATGCTTCCTGAGTTCTTCCTTTTAAAAATTATAAATTTCACTGCCAGAGTTTATTTTTAGCTTGCAATTCTTTTTTTTTTTTTTTTTTTTTTTTTACTTTATTCATTCATTTTTTAAAATTTCCCTTGCAGGCTTACTTGGGAAAAGGTCAGAAGGATTTCAGCTCTCATGTTCAACTCTGGCCTAAGTGGGCACTGCAGATTCATAGAGAGAGGTAATTCTGTAAAAGGCAAATTTTATGGCTGTGAGTCTATCCAGGCTTTTGAAATAGGAACAGCCATGTGCAGCCCCCTCTCGATATGTCTCAACCAACCGAAATCAGACTTCATATTCAAATCGTATCTGGCTGAATTACTTCCAATCTAAAATGGCTTTGAAATTTTTCATATTAATGGATTTGAATATATAAAGTAATAAGAGAAATCTATAGACCTATATAGTTTTAAAGTTTTATGTATGTGAACCTGGAAATATTAGAAATGTAGCTCATCCTGATGAACAATATTCACAATGTAAGAAGATCTATGATGTGACCCGGCTGCTGGGGAAGGACTTGCCCAATAGCGTGATCAGTTTCTTAAAGGTCATGAGCAGGAATCTAAGGCAGGGAAGATACTATAGCAGACAAAAGAAAGAAAGAAAGAATGAAACCATCTAAAATATTCTTATTTGCCTCTAGCGGGATGCTGGAAGGCCTGTACGCCTCTTCCCACGAATGTCATGCTGCACTCACCAAGTCGTCAGATTTAAATTTTTTTCCCAAAATGTTTCCAAATGTTTTACTAAAGTGATATTGAGTAGGAATTTTAAAGGGGAAATAATTGATAGTAAAAAAAAAAAAAAGAAAGAAAGAAAAAATGGATATGGCAAGTGTAAGGGTTAAAATGTTTCTGCTATTAAGAATAAAGTAGGGCTCTGAGCTCCCTGGCATCCAAGATAAAGAAGGAAACATGGTTTATTTCACATGAGATGAGAAATCCTACCAATTCTATAACTGAGTCAAAGAAGAAGCTTGATTTTTGAGTGAAACTTCTTTTCTGGTCCATTATGAAAGGGTCACAGGGAAATATGAAGGTATTACCTGCCAAAATTTACTGCAAATGCAGAAGTTGAATTCATTCTTTGAGGTTTTAGAGTGACCTTCAATTAAAGTAGAGATGTTGGCTGCCATCCAATTCAGCAATGGCAATTGGAGGAGGACTAGGATGATATATTTCAGGTTTGTAATAAGAGTCCTGCAAAGGCCTCTATTGCATTTAGGTTTCCAGGGAATGATCCTTTGGTTAGCTCAGGGGTCTAACTGGACAAAGATTGAGTGTCTAGAGGCAAGGTCAGCATGATGTTTAGAAATCAGTGTTTTACAAAACTTATGGATCATCAGAATCACTTTTTTTTGTCACACTGAATCAAAAACACTGAGGGTAGTGCCTAGAAATGTGTATTTAAAAAAAAGAATTCACTCCCCAGATGAATCAAAAGTGGACAGTTTGGGTCAGCATTTGGAAACAAATGATTGAGAAAGCTCTTCCAGAAGGCTTTCTCTGTGTTCTGGCCTTTGGCAGGACCAAGAGGAAAATAAAAGGCAACAGGGAACCCTAAAGATTATATACAATGCAGGTCATCTCATGTGGAAGATCGAGGGTAAAAACTTCTTAAGAGCTGCTTAGAGGACTTAACAGTTTGTAGAAGAAAGCACAGAGTCCAGGCCATGAGCCCACCACCCTAGCATGTCCACCTTTTCCATTCATGGAGACCAGATACTCCCTGCAAGGCTCAGGGGCCCATTACAGTCATTCTTTTCACATGGAGATGCCTGTCTGCTCTGGCAAATTTTGATAAATGCAATGCCAAGTTGAGCAGTGTACAACCACCGCAAGCAGTATTAATCAAAGAAGGGGCTGGTAGATCTCTCAGATACTTTTGTAGTGAAGGAAAAATAATCACATGTCTGATTTCTTCAAATGACCACATTTGTTCATTCGTTTTTTTTTTTTTCTTAACCTAAAAATAAGGCTGCCTGTACTCCAATAGTTAGACTAGCATCATTGGCTCATGTCTAAAAAGATGTCCCCTGGAGGCCTATTCTTGATTTGTACTCTCTCCAGGTCCCCAAAACACTAAATAAATGAAAGTCGATGGCTTTTAATGAAAGCTTTAGCCTTCTCAGTTAAGCTTTTAATTGTGTGACAGCCAAACACACACACACACACACATATCACATCACATCCTGAGCTGTTTATTGGCATTACAAACTCTCGGCCTAAATGTCAAGCTATGCCACAGAAACATGAACAGTTCAGTTTATTTTTTATTTTTTTTTTTTTTTGAGACGGAGTCTCGCTCTGTCGCCCAGGCCGGACTGCGGACTGCAGTGGCGCAATCTCGGCTCACTGCAAGCTCCGCTTCCCGGGTTCACGCCATTCTCCTGCCTCAGCCTCCCCAGTAGCTGGGACTACAGGCGCCCGCCACCGCGCCCGGCTAATTTTTTGTATTTTTAGTAGAGACGGGGTTTCACCTTGTTAGCCAGGATGGTCTCGATCTCCTGACCTCATGATCCACCCGCCTCGGCCTCCCAAAGTGCTGGGATTACAGGCGTGAGCCACCGCGCCCGGCCAGTTCAGTTTATTAATGGCAAGTTCGAAGGTTGTTCCCATCATTTACTGCAATGGGGACTCCAGCTTGCTCAAGCTCTTAGCTTCTAACACAGATCAACACAATCCTAGTGTTGACTTAGAGCATATTAGAAACCCAAAGCACAGGAGAGACTGATGAAACTCTTTGGCAGGCTCCGAGTAATCTGTATGCAGAAACCTGAAGCATAAAGACGAGAGGTGCTGCATTGACTTAGATTAAAGTGCATTCCACGGTTGCCTCTTTTGGATCTATTTACTGTTGATTTGCTGTAGAGCAATGCCTGGACCTTCTTTCTTTCATCAGATAGTAGCCATCATGTCATCTTCTTCTATAGGGTTGCTGTGATGTTTTGATATAACATGTTTTAGCATGTCTAAAACAGTATCTGACACATAGGAGGTTTTCAAAACAATAGCGACAAGTCTAATTAAGGGAGAAAATGTTTGTTAAAAATGTATATGCGGCTGGACGCGGTGGCTCACGCTTGTAATCCCAGCACTTTGGGAGGCCAAGGCAGGCGGATCACGAGGTCAGGAGATCGAGACCACGGTGAAACCCCATCTCTACTAAAAATATAAAAGATTAGCCGGGCGTGGTGGCGGGCGCCTGTAATCCCAGCTACTGGGAGAGGCTGAGGCAGGAGAACGGCGTGAACCCGGGAGGCGGAGCTTGCAGTGAGCTGAGATCGCGCCACCGCACTCCAGCACTTCAGCCTGGGTGACAGAGTGAGACTCCGTCTCAAAAAAGAAAAAAAAAAAATGTATATGCTACGGTTTACTCTTGAATTGAGAAGTTCATTCTTTCAGTTGGGGAATTCAAAGACAAACACTTACAGTAAAGATCGCATCCAGATGAAGGCCTATGAGGCACAGGAAAATAACAATTGAAAGTTCAACAACGAATCAGGCAAGACATTCTGATGCTGACTCCCACATTCCTAGTGGTACCTCCAGATCAAAACATGTCTACCTGGATCAAACGCAAGAGTCACTTTTCCACTTCCTTTTGTCATGTCATTAACGTGACAAAATGCTGAAGGGACAGGAAGCGATGGAGAAAGAACAATGCCAGCTGACAGTAAGGAGAATGGAAGCATCCTACCCTAATGCTTAATGTGAATATACTGGATATTATGAGTTCATGACACCTTCTTCCCATATGAAAAGAGTAGAAAATTGACCCAAGGAAATAACCTTGGGCCAATAAACATCTATCACCCCATAGGCATCTCAATGCATATAAATCCCTTAGTATTTCATCAAGGGAAATGGAATCATCACCACTGGAAAAACAAGCAGCCAAGTAAAGATGGGTATCTTCATGTTTTCTTAAGAAATTGCTCCAGGAGAATTCAGCCTCATCAACCTGCAATTTACAGACCCAGAAGCTTTGCTTTATATGGTTCTACCCACATCCCCTGTAGACATCATCTCCCCTTCAGCCACAAAGTGTAGGTATCAGTTTATCAGAAGGTAGAAGAGACACTTGGTTATTGCTGGTAAATTTAACAGCAGTTACTGAAAATGACTCAGTTAAATTCTTGTCCAGTAAATGTTATCAGTTTTCAAGTGGTAGAAAACAAAGGTTTTGTGGATGTCAGGGGCCCCAAATAAACCTCTGTGGCCTGGAGTTTGACTTCCCTGTAACTACGGCAGGTGAGGAATGGAAAAGTCTTAATGACTAGCACTGCATGCTAAAGTGCTACCAAAGAATGATCATGCTAAGGTCATTAGCTCTGAACCATAGTGTTTACCCAAGACCTGAGGCTCACCCACACTGGGCAACATGGCCCCAGGAGCCCAAAGACTTATCCATAAGCTGTCATGTTCTGTGAGCCTAGCATCTACCAGTACCGTGTACTCAGCATGCATAGTTTATGCCTCACATAGTTCTTCTCCTAGTGTATGTGTGAGAAAGCAGATTCAAAGAGATTAAGTAACTTGCTCAAAGGCACGTGACCAGTGAGTGGCAAAACAAGGCTTGAACCTAGTTCTGCCACTCCGAGTCTAGTGCACTAAACCCCAACTTTATCCTGTCTCTTTATGTACTGTTGTTGGAACATAAATGTCACTCGGGAGGTGAGAAGTCATTTCTATTCTTGCTATAACCTCCTCATCCAGCACATGACTTAGTTCAAAACATGTGTTCAGTAAGTATCGGATGAGGGGATGATGTCAGGACAACTGATGTTGAGACTATGGGCACTCTTAGTCCCTTTAACGCCTTGCCTCTGTTTATACCTGACACTGGATTGGACATTCTTCATATATGTTTTCTATCTGGAATTTGTGTCTTGACTTTACTATGCAATATTGCCTTTGCCCTCTGCCTCCAGAGTCTCCCATTTCCCAGGGGACCATTCCTAGTTTCATTCTAGCATTATTCACTGGACGACCCCTCCCACCTGTCCTTTCCTCTGCACCACCACAGCTGCCCCTTGACTGGCCCTCGAGCAAAGGCTCCATCTCCCACCCCTAAGCAAAAGAGGAAGGTCATTTAGAATAGAAGGATTCGATGCCCTTGGCACTAGAGAAAACGCAGACATTCAGGAAAAGTCTGTGCTGGGAAAAATCTTATGATTTATGCATTTACACCTGGCTTTAGAGTTAGTAAGTCATGTTTAAAACAAACCATCAGAAAACTGCTTTATTTTCATAAAGGTATAAATCTCCCAAATTAAGTAGGACGGCTCACATTCTCCTTTCTAGGTTCCTTCTTTAGTGACCGCACAGAAAAGAGAGGAAGGTGTGATCCCAGAAACATGTAACAACATATTTAAGGAATAGGGAAATATGAATGCTTCATTTAATGCTTAGTTATGACTGAGGAGCTCTTTATATATAATCAAATGTCTCAACATCATAAATATGTATCACCACAAAATATGATGGAATTAAATTTAAAGTAAAGATATGCAGAGTAGATGAGAGTTTCTAGTTATATCACATCTAGGCTGTTTAGGTGCCGAGATTTCCTTTTGCAACAGGAAGGATCTTTATAGAATGTTTCCAATGCCTTCTTCATGAAGAATGTCCTACGTCTGCTGGGTTTGGAGACATATAATGTCCACCACTCTCATCTTCTTAAATTCTGTGTGGAAAGCATGTGAGGCAGGAGCAGTCAATCTCTGAGTCATACCCAGGCCAGACATGTGTTCCTGGCTGCTTTGGGCCCCCTGCAGCCTTCCTCTGATTACTCTATCACTATTGATTGCTTTTCCTGGGCACCTGGCTAATGATTGCAATAAAATGTGACTACAGAAGAGCTTCCTGTTCCGTAAAGATCAGCCTTGATGGTGACCAACCTTGACCTGACAGTGACCTAGGCAGCGTGAGCCTAGAAGATAAGATAGGTAGGGGTGTGTTTGTGTGTGTGCTTGTGTGTGTCTGTGTTGTGTCACTGATGTAAGACAAGGCAAGTAAGCAAAATAATTCAGGCCATATGGTCTTGGTTGGCACATACTACCCAGGAAAGATGGGTCCAGACAAGCAAACCCATAATAATAAGTTTCCTGTGAAACAGCACGAGATGACACTCCCCGCTCCTCCACACCCTAGCTTCAGGCCTAACCATTCACCAGCAAGCTGGTCCCAAAGTCTCCGCTCCAGACCTCCGCTTCATTTCCTGCTTTTAACCCCTGCAGGCTTGGTCCCCCATGTATTCTCCACACCTGGCTATGTGAAATTTGAATGGACATTTCAATGGAGAAATCCACTGCTGTCCCCAAAGTGCCCAAAAGTGCCAATTAACCCATAGTGGCTTTTAAACCCACAGCCACTAAAATCTCGCTGGGGCAAGGACTGTGCCAATGAATTTGCAGCTAGCTGTAGGTACGGAGGTACCAGCGAATTTCACTGGCACCAGTGCCCTTCTCTGCCTTATATTTCAACAGCAGCTCAGTCTGGAAGCTTTTATTCACTCAACTGTGGTGCTATTTTTATATCTCTGTCAAATCTCTTCCTGATCCCTCTCTTTTGAAAAGGGTCCTTATAAATTCTATCGTAATGGCAGGAATGCAAGAAACTGCAAGGGTGGGCAGAGACTAGGGGACACGTGGTCCTACAGCTGTTACCATCTTGGCATAAGAAAGCAGGTGAAGTTTTAAAAAAAGACGGCCACACTGCCATGCCTCTGTCACCAAAGACAGACCTCACATGTCTGTCTCATGTGTGTTTAAGTGTCTTAACAAGACTGCTCATGTCTTTCACCCTAATCAATACGCAAGTAATTTTTAAAAATAAAACTAAGTCTATTTTTAACCATATTCTGTGACTCTTGGAACATTAGCCAACTAGAATGTCCCATTTATTTATTCACGGGGTCAATGTGCTTAGGAGTTTGCAGCCAACTTATTTGTGTATATGATGGAAAAGACTGCAGATACTAAACAAGCAATGCCACGGAGTGTGACACATGTCCTCACTGGAGAAACACCAAGGGCTGGAGGAGCCCGAAAAAGGGATCTTAACTCAGATTTGCTGAATAAAATAACACTGTGTGGAAGAAAGTTCGTCTCAACTGAAACCTGAAGGATAAATGAAGAGCCAGATATAGAGGCAAAAGTGTGTCCCAGGCACGTGTTCCAGAATACACAAAGATCCAGGGAGCAACGACAGTGCAGTGAAGAAAATCTGGTGTCATTTTTATCTGGTAGCAAGGGACATAATAGTGAGGAATTGGGCTATCAAGGCAACCAGGACCAAGTTATGAAGATTTTTGATAACAACTTCTAATCACCTTTACAGTTCACTCCAATTCTGAATCTGGAACCTGAAGAGTCACCCCATGTCCTTTATTTCTGATAAATGGGGGGCTTGGCTACGTATGAACATTTGGGAGCCCCATCACCTAGAATATAAAGTTCATACTCCTAAGTTTTTAATTAAATGGCTCCAACTCACCCTGTTTGTGAGCCAAGGCAGGGTCATCTCACCCCATCGCAATGCTCCAGCACCCCTTGATACTGACACCATCAGACCAAATTTCTCTGGGTTTCCTAATATTTCACTCTCCTTTCCTAACACTACATTTCTGCCCATGCCACCCACTCTACCAAGAATTGCCTCTAGTCATATTTGCACTCACATTTGGCTAGCACCTGCCAATCTTTCAAGATTCAATCCAATGCCACCTCCTCCAGAAAGTGCCTTAAATTCTGTCCGCAAGAATTGAACATTCCTTCATCTGCATTTGCACAGCACTATCAACTTTCTTCCCTAGACTTTTGTTCATAGGGTTGTATTTCAAGCTCTCAATTTCATCACACAGGGTCTTCTCACACATATTAATACTTAGGTAAATGCAAAGTACTTCTTTAATATCAAGAAATGACAGTTTGTGCCAGTATGGTGACCTGTAATCCCAGCTACTTGGGAGGCTGAGACAGGAGAATCATGAGATCTCATCAAAAAAAAAAAAAAAAAAAAAGACAATTCATTGACTACTCATTTCATATACTGTATAGGACAAGTCATAATTGCAATGTATAATCATGTTATGTACATTCATGGTGACTTGTATGTATGGTCTATATCCTCAAAGAGATTCTAACTTCCTTCAAAAAGAAAACATACTTGTCTTATTCATTTTTATATTCTTAGGGTTTAATTCCAGGGCATGGGACACACTTCCAGGGCAAGTGTGCTCATGAATATTGTTGAAAAAATAAATGAGAAAAACAATGTAAATAGACCCTTCCACCCCTCCCTCCCATGCAGGCAGGCAGAAAACCTTTAATCCTCTTTAATTTCCTGTTAAGGATTAAACAATACAAACCAATGGAGCCCCTCCTGCCACACCACACACACACACACACACACACACACACACACACACACACACACAAAACAACAACCCTTTCTTAATTCCTTAATCTTCTTTAATTTCCTGCTAGGAATTCCTAGGTCAATGAGGACAGCAGTCAAATGTACAAAATGCCTTTTTGGGATGTTCAAGAAAAATGCAAACTTTTGTGGTGGATTATCAGACTGGAGAAATTCAACAAGACAGAGAGTCACCGGGGTTTTACTCCCAACTTTACCACTGACTGTTGAAAGGCACTCAACATACCAATTAGAAACTGCACATTTGCACAACTCAGTAAATTCATCAATGATTTAAAAAAAAAAAACCTTTTTTCCAATTCACTTTCAACTTTCCAATCTAATGTCCAAATTGCTGCACACACATTCACTAAAAAAACAATGAAAGTTGGGCTGGGTGCGATGGCTCACGCCTGTAATCCCAGCACTCTGGGAGGCCGAGGCGGGTGGATCATGAGGTCAGGAGATCGAAACCATCCTGGCTAACAAGGTGAAACCCCACCTCTACTAAAAATACAAAAAATTAGCCAGGCGCGGTGGGGGGCACCTGTAGTCCCAGCTACTTGGGAGGCTGAGTCAGGAGAATGGCGTGAACCCGGGAGGTGGAGCTTGCAGTGAGCTGAGATGGCGCCACTGCACTCCAGCCTGGGCGACAGAGAGAGACTCCATCTCAATAAATAAATAAATAAATAAATAAATAAATAAATAAATAAAGTTCATTTTCATCATCAACTGCCTTCTACTTTCTTTGTTCTTTTTCTTTTTCTTTTTTTTTTTTTTAACACCCTCCTCACTCTCCATTGGTATGGTATATGCAAAATTAACTGGCCTTGAAGAAAGAAAATGGTTTGGGGGTAAGTTAACAGTCTCCTGCTTGAACAATGTCATACGTGTGGGACCATGTTCACTCCTGCGTGGCTAAACTTGGGACAAAGGAAGGGTGCATCTGTTTCTAATCTGGCTACAGGCCTCAGGAGTTTTAACCTGAAGTTTGTTGGAGAGTAATTCCTGGAATCATCACCGGAGTAGACTTCTAAGAATAGAGACCCTTCTGAAAGCAGCAGCTTAAAGGATCAGTCTGGTGGGGGCCCTGTTCTTTGGCATGATGGAGGAGACCAACTGGAGCTTAATAAACTTTCTCCTAGTTCTGGGAAATTGAAAATCAACTTATGGATTTTGTTTAGCATCTGGTCTAGGTGCCTTTTTTCTTAATTACTTACAGAGACATTAGCAATATACCTACTAGAGGCTTCCTTTTTCTGAGGTCTATTTGTAAACATAAAATGTTAAAGATTTATGGTAATTGTAACATTAAAATCAACCCCCGTGTTTTAAACAGATCTTGTAGCTGCTACAACTTACTCAATTCCAATTGCATTGTGTAAATTGGCCTAATAATGAAGAGCCATACATTTTCATTAGTGCACTTGTCCTGTCTGCTGATGGCTGACATTCTAACTTTTGATAAACAGCAGGATTCTCTAAACTGCTGATTTTGCAGCTCTGACTCTCCATTCAGAAGAAAGAAAATTTGACTTCTGAATCTTGCTGGTAAAAACTCCTCTTCAAAGATGTTTTAAAATTATAGGCATGTTTTTTAAGACCAATCTAAATGGTCACCTCTTGTTATAAGCCATTCTTCTCATTTGCAAAATGTACATAATAATGCATTTAGGTCATTCATTCATTCCTTTATTTTTGTGACAGATATTCGATGATTGTTTCCTATGTACACCTGGTCCTAGATTAGGTATATGAAGATGAAATAACACAAATATTCAGTGCCTGGTATGTAGAATAGTATATTCAGTAAGTGGTAGAGCCTTCTTCCCTTTCTACAGGAGTCTAGATAATGTAGATAAGGATAAATTTTTATGATGGTCAACATTACGAAAAAGGAATTGACATCTCTCATGAGAAAGACTTAGCTTTTGAGAGTAAGAAACATCTTTTGATACCATTCAGCTCTCTCTCTAACTCCTGCTGGGACCCCCCACTGCACTGCTTATGTTTATCTATCTTCAGCAAAAGTAAGCTCAGTCTACAAGGCAGCCTGTTCTGTGAGTAGACTGAGTAGTTAGCTCTTAACATATGCCTTCAAATAATGGCTCACCCTTTACTGGGCTTGTCAGAAGTAAAAAAAAGCAAATGACCTCAATTTTCTATATGGAAGATGGTTGTGTTTACTCCTTTCCTAAGCCCTCTTCTCTCAAAACTCATCACCCACTTTTCTTTAACTGTTTGTTATAAGACGCTGATATAAGTTTTAGCCTCTTCACCCTGTTGTTTACCTGCCTGTGGATGTCAGTCAGCCAATGACCCTCTTAAAAGAAAATGTGATCTGACTCAAAGTGAAGGAGAAGTGATAACAGCAGAGTTTCCTATGGGCACATTGCTCAAGAATCACTATGTGTTCAACTACTCTTGGGTCTTCACAAGCAGCCCTGCATGGTTCCTGTTTTACAGTTAAGGAAACTGAAATACAGAAAGGTAATGATTGGCCTACAGCCACACAAATACTAAATGACAGCTAAATACTAACAGTCAGC
The DNA here is from genome assembly GCF_000001405.40 of Homo sapiens. Classification (NCBI taxonomy): domain Eukaryota; kingdom Metazoa; phylum Chordata; class Mammalia; order Primates; family Hominidae; genus Homo; species Homo sapiens. The sequence continues at coordinate 65,494,809 of NC_000016.10, forward strand.
AAATACTAAAGACTAAATAAGCAAATACTAAAAGTCAGCTCTCAAACCCTGGGCTCACTCCCCCAAAGTCATTGGATTATTCTTCCACTCCACGCAGCCCTTGTAGCTGAGGTGTTTATGAGTCCATTCCCCATCTGCCCTGTTTATAGAAAATGTTTCATTTGCAAACACTGGCCCCAAGGAGAGAATATAGAGGAAAGACTTGTTTGGAGCTTTAGTTCTATATTATCCCCCGAGTAAAACTGTAAAGTCAAAGACCGGGAACCAAACAAAAGAGAATTATGTAGAAGTAAGAGGGCTTTAGATGATATATGAAGGCATTTATAGAAAAGTGGCTATTCACAGGGTTATGATTGATTATATATTTAAAATAAACACAGTTACTTTTCTTTACTTTGGCTTTAAGAGGGGCTGAACTTTAGCATCATAATGGCCCACTGTTGTCTACATGCAGGTGGCTGGCACATAAATCCCAGAGAGTGGTGGATTGAGCAGCCAATGGATGGCTCCCATCTATGAACAATGCATATCCTGCATTTTTGCCAAGACACAAGCTAGCAGTGTCTGTGCTCCCACGTCTGTGCTTCGACTTCATGGGAGAAGCAGTAAGATCTACCTCTCCTTTGGCTTAAAAACGGAGATGATTAAGTGCAATTAAAAGCTAATTGTTGCAATTACTCATGCAGCACTTCTTTCCAGAATAAGAAAGGTGCATTTTCATGAACTCTGAGGTTGCAAAGGTATCCTTTAGGGTTATCAAGTCCAGTCTCTAATAGGATACATTAGGCATCTGTACAATAACTCAAAGGCAACATAATGCCCAGTGGAATATTTTGAAGAAATGTAAGCACATTATTTCCCAAAGTGGTCCGCCCTTTCCTATTTAACTACACATTTTTTCAATATGGTAACTCAGCAGAACATTAAATACTTTCATAATGGCAGTACTCTCTAATAATTTATATTCACTGGGGTATAGAAGTTAGGAGGGTCAACTAAAAGAAAAAACAAATTGTCATTGAAAATCTATCCATGTGTCAATGGCAGATTTTGGGAAAAAGAAAAATAGTCTTAAAGTTGTAATTGGCTCTGAAGATAGGCTGGTCTGTCATAGTGATGTTTAGACGAGAAAACCAAAGCTCAGATGGGGCTATGATCTGCCCACCATCAGAGAGCAAACCATATTTAGAAATTTTTTTCTATTCGACTAGAACAGCAATAGTCTCTGAATTCATGTCACCACTGCTCCTTAGCCTTCATCATCAGACATATATTTAGGCAATGTCATGCAGTGGTTAAAAAATTAGTGTAAATTTTTCTCAGATTCCACCCACACATCGACCTCTAATTGAATGACCAGGCATTTGTTCAACTTCTTCAGAAACATAGGCACTACACTATGTCATCTTTTAATCTCCCTGAAGACAAAAATAACAACTCAAAATCACATTAAATAGGCGTTAACCCTATTTTAGAGATGATAAATATGAGATTCTGTTTTAAATTGCCATTTTTTCTAATGATAACAGTAGTAATAAGATAATTAAGACTCATTAATTAGTATGTTCTGAGCATCATGTTTAGACTGTTTCTCAATTTTTTTAATTTTAATAATGATAATATTTGGTAAATATTACTATTATGTTCATTTTACAGAACAGAAAACTGAGGTTTCAAGAGGTTAAGCAACTTCTCCAATGGCACTGACCTGGAAAGATGGAGCTGGGATTTTAACACAGGTAGTTGGACACCAAAAACCTACATTTGTACAGGAAGACAAGTGTGAAAATATATAGTAAACATGGACACTTAATTGTACAATGGAAAAGAGAATGCAAATATTTGCTTTAAACACTTTGAAAAACTAAATGTAAAAAAAAAAAAAACAAATGATTTAAAAAATGAGAAGAGCAAAATGTCTGATTATATGTGACTTGTGACCGCATACATGCAAAAATATGTGTACATATGGACACCCATTGGAAAGATAAAACCATTGATTTCTAAGTAATGAGACTTGGAACTCTTTACTTTTAGATTTAAAATATTCTTCATGGCTGGGTGCAGTGGTTCATGCCTGTAATCCCAGCACCCTGGGAGGCCAAGGCCGGTGGATCACTTGAAGTCAGGAGTTCGAGACCAGCCTGGCCAACATGACAAAACCCTGTCCCTAATAAAAATACAAAAACTTTATCCAGTCTATCATTGATATACAGCCATAAAAAGGAATGAAATCATGTCCTTTGCAGAGTCATGGATGAAGCTGGAAACCATCATTCTCAGCAAACTAACACAGGAATAGAAAACCAAATACCACATGTTCTCACTCATAAGTGGGAGTTGAACAATGAGAACACATGGACACAGGGAAGAGAACATTACACACTGGAGCCTGACAGGTAGTGGAGGGCATTAAGACAAATATCTAATGCATGCTGGGCTTAAAACCTAGATGATGGGTTGATAGGTGCAGCAAACCACTATGGCACATATATACCTATGTAAAAAACCTGCACATTCTGCACACATATCCCAGAACAAAAAAAAAACAAAAAACAAAAAACCTAGCCGGGCGTGGTGCCTTGCACCTATAATCCCAGCTACTTGGGAGGCTGAGGCAGGAAAATCGCTTGAACCTGGGAGGCGGAGGTTGCAGTGAGCTGAGATCAGAGATCGTGCCACTGCACTCCAGCCTGGGTGAAAGAGCAAGACCCTGTCTCAAAATAAAATAAAATAAAATATTCTTTAGATGATTAGCATTTTTACCAATATCATTTTTGAAAACTCAGAAGGTAATAAAATGAACTTTCCCATGTTGTCCCTTGGTCACATTGTCTACTGAACTCTGCAGGCTGGATGAGAATAATAATGAAACCACTCACAGAATTCCTTGTTCCTGCGCCAGCATCTCTTTTGCTTATGCAGTGACGGCACTCTCCCCACAGTTGGGTGCACCGGTCCGTCTTGTTTGTTTATAGTTCATTCAGCAGAGATTGTTGGGCACCTACGACATGGCAGATGTCTGAGCTGAGATTTGCTCTGCTCTCAAGATATTCTAGTGAAGTGAAAAGTTCCCACACAGAGACTATAATAGATGTAGCGAGAAACCATCAGAGGACTACAGGCAACCAGGGAGGGGGCAAATCCTCTTAGCTGGGGACTTCACAGAGTAGGAACTTGCCAGAAGAGGAAAAAGAGAATTCAACATAGGGGAACCTTTGTGCAGAGGAGTCACGAAACCAACACAGGCAGACGAGTGTGGCTGGGTGTGACTGGCGGGAGAGAGTGGCTAAAAATGAAGCTAGGAAGGTGCTGGGGGCCATTTTCTTGGAGGGCTTTAGACTCCATGCTGAGGAGTTGGAGGAACCCTGGATGCATTTTGAGTAGGGCAGTGCAAGGACCATGCATAGAGTTCCAACAAGGGTCCCCATCCCTCACACTGCCGTTCATGGATGTGGAGGGAAAATTTCAACATAAGGAGCCATTGTGGGAACGGGCTGGCTAGCTGAGGGCTCAAAGATCTGGTTTGGAGCACTTTGGGGATGAGGAGCCATACCGACATCAACAAACCACCTCACAGACAGATTGACCAACTTGCAGACTGTGGCCAAATCCCTGTGCTTTCCTGGTGGATCTCAAAAGCCTCTCAGGGCACAACCTTGTGTTACCAACATCTGGTCGTTAAACAGTAAAACACACACAAGCACCTATTTCCAGGAAGTTTGTTCTCCAGTTTGTGTATTGTTTTGTTTTGTTTTGAGACAGAGTCTGGCTCTGTCGTCCAGACTGGAGTGCAATGGCACAATCTCAGCTCATTGCAACCTCCGCCTCCCGGGTTCAAGTGATTCTCCTGCCTTCCGAGTAGCTGGGATTACAAATGTGTGCCACCATGCTAGGCTATATTTTCTTTTTCTTTTCTTTTTTTTTTTTTTTTTTTTTTTTTTAGCATTTTTACTAGAGAGGGAGCTTCCCCATGTTTGCCAGACTGGTCTCCAACCCTTGACCTCAGGTGATCTGCCCGCCTTGGCCTCCCAAAGTGCTGGGATTACAGGCGTGAGCCACCGCTTCCAGCCTAGTTTGCGGTTTTGTTTTGGTTTGGTTTTGAGCATAGAATAAGCAGCAAGGACTGTTCAAAAATAATCAGTGAAATGGCATTCCAGTGTCCTGCTCTGTTCTGCTTTCGTGTTGTTAATGAGCTTAACTGTGAACACAATTCAATGTTATTAAAAAAGAAACAGCCTATGACTGTTGCTTCCCAGTCATCCTGTAAATGTGCTTCAGTCCGTTATTTCACAAGTATTAAAAGCTAATTGTTTTAGTTTTCAATTAAGGCCTGCATGCGTGAGAGTTTGTGTCCGTATGCATCCCCAATAAAATTGCGTTTTCACCACCCATGGCTCTTGCTTGAGTGGCTGCCTTCTATTTGGTGGTGAATAATGGCAATTCCTGCCCAGCTCTGGTGAGCTGTTGGTAGAGTCTGAGCTAAAAGTCACCCAAGGATTGCACTGCCTGGGCTTTTGTCTGCCTAGGAGTATAAATAATTGAAAGCAAGAAGAAGCATAGATGCCATTTCTTGGAGTCTGGTTAGACTGAAGGAGATAAAATGGCTTTGATTTAAGGGGAGAGAAAACGACGCCATAATGAACTCCGAGATTTCATCGGCGAATTTTGCCATTTTATCAAGGGAGCAGGCAAAACCAATGTAACTCAAAGTGCTGATTATCTCCCTTCCTGGATTATGCAAGGTAGTAACTTCTGGGAGCAGGGAGACAAATTGGAGCAAGTTTTAGGAGAAAATGATTGGGCTGTTCTCATTTAGAAACATCTCCCTTTCCCCAGTCCTACCCAGGCAAAATGCAAATGGAAATTGCCTGGCAGTTCTTACTAATCAATCTGCCTCTGGAGGTAGTAAATTCTCCCTGGCCTCCTCTTTCCTTAATGCTGCTCCAGCTAGAACAAGACAGATGCTCTGCCTTTTGCAGGCTCCATTTGTGACACCTCTGGGAATTAGAATCTTGAAGATTTGCCACTAAGAAAGGGCGGGGTGCCCAAATACAATCCCACCAACCTTAAATTGAATGGTTTCTCAGTGAAGAAGCATCTTATTAAGAGCCATGATATTTCATTTAATTTCAACTCATCAGAAATAATTCAATAAGGGTGTCTCCTTCTCCGACCAACTGCAGGAACTCACTGGCATATGAAGACAAAGATATCTTAGCTTGGGAAGCTTAGGGTACTTCTTCCAAGTCAACATTCATTATGCTTTCTTCCATTTACATGTTTGATGTCAGTCTTATCTGCAGGATTGTATCACCACACTGGTAGAGAGCACATCTGACCTGTTCACCTCCCTTTTCCACATACCAGGTTAATGACTGGCATAGGAGAGCTTCTTAATCAGCATTTCATTCCTTTATTTATTCAACAAATCGACTGAGGGCCAACTATGAGGCAGGCCCTGTGCTAAACCCATGGACTACAATAATAAACAAAACAGACATGGCTGTTGGCTTTACAGAGCTTACGGTTTTGGGAGGAGTCTTAAATTAGCAGATAATTATGGAGAGCATAAGAAAGAAAAGGAAGAGGCACAGAGAAGGCTAATCAGAAGAGGGAATACCATTCACGTTTGAGTCAGCGAAGGCATTTCTGAAAAGGTGAGATCCCCAACAGGACTGGAGGAGTAAGAAGAACCCAGACACACAAAGCATGAAGGGAGAGCACTCCCAGCACCCTGCCGTGTCAGAACTTCACATATTTTGGGAAGCTTAATGTGTTAGTTTGCTGGGGCTGTCATAACATAGTACCACAGACTGGGTGGCTCAAACAACAGAAGTTTATATTTTCTCACCATTGTGGATGTTAGGAGGCCCAGATCAAGGTGTCAGCAAGATTGTTTGTTTGTTTTTCCTGAGGCCTCTCTTCTTGACTTGCAGATGTCTATATTCCTTCTGTGCCTTCACAGGACCTTTCCTTGGTACCCATGTCAAAGTTTCCTCTTTTTGTATGACATCAGTCATATGGGATTATGGTGAACCCAAATAAATGACCTCATCTTAACTTAATTACCTCTTCAAAGACCCTATATCCAAATACAGTCACATTCTGAAGCTGTTGGGATAAGAACTGCAACCTATGGGTTTTGAGGGCACACAACTGAGTCCATAAGACTCAGTGAAGGCTGATGGGGTTAAATCCTTCAGTCTAAGTGTAAAAGAGTCATTGATGGATCATAAACTACTCACAGGGCCAAGTTTGTTTAAAGCCACTGCTTTGAGAGAAGCATGAGGAAGAGATTAGGGTGGAGCAAAAATAGATCTGGGAGAGAGACCAGTTAGGAGCTGTCACAGTTGTCTGGCCAAGAGAGAATGGTGGAAGTGAGGTGAAGGAGGAGCAAGTGTCAAGATGGAGTCTGGAGATGGAATCCCATTTCCTGAATAAGAAAAAGAGTGAATGAATGGATGCATGCACGCATAGGTTAATGAAATCCACTGAATGAATAAACCATTCCTGGTACTCACTGTGAGAAGCTCTGCCTATAGTCTATTAAGTGAGCCTCTCATCTCTCTCCCGTGTAGAAGAGACTTCCCTATGTAACATGTGGGTGTATTTCTGTCAGGGAGCCTCTTATTCTGCATATAAGGAGATCAGTACTCTGTTCCCCTCTCACAGTCACAGAGTAGGCATTCTGAGTGCACGCTTTGAATGATAAGGAGGCAAGAAAAGGGCCTGTGTTTACCTTGCTGTGTCTTCCTGGGGACACTGGTGTTTCTAACTCATCAGTCCCTCTACATCTTAGACAAACTCCTGTCTTTGAGCATATTTCAACATGCAAAATGCAAAGTCACTTTTTAAAACAAAAGTAGTTTTACTTTTTGGTTGGGTTTGTGACATTAGCCAAGCACCATTCTCCACAGTATTTGTAATGTAAATTTTCTTCATTCACCTCACACGTTCACACACACAACCAGGACAAGGGGGCCATTTCTTGCCAGAGAGGTCCACAAGATTGATTAATTAGTGCAATCAGGAATTCACGGAGCCGTTCGATTGCAGTGCTGATGGAGCCTTCGTGGCATTTGAGTCCACCAACCACCTTCAACCATGACACGAATATTTGTTAGAAAAGTGCCTCAACTTCCTCCCGTACCTTCTGTGGAACAAGTTGCTCACCACTTCACAGCATTCTCCTCTGTCTCACTGCTAATCCATTTAAATGATCAGGTTAGATACAAAGAAAAAAAGTAAGTTGGTCTTCCCATACTCACAAGGCTCTCCTCTTCTTTCTGTGTGGCTGCCATTCACAGGCTGGTAGCTTCCTGTTAAAGAGCTCCACAGCCTTGAGTAGATGCACATGGGAGATGATTTCAGCACATTACCAGCCTGGATGTGTCTCTCCCTGAGGGTCCAAGTTGGCCATTGTCTTTCTTAAAATGAAGTGTGAATATTGAATAGAGGGCATCAGGCATGGAGTGACCAAGAACCTGTCCACCCACACAGACACCCAAAACCAGAATCTGGTCCGATGTTCTTTTTCCTTCTCCTTCTACATCCAAGTCACACAACATTGTGGGATTTATCCCTTAGTTTTCTCTTGCCTTTTTTCTTCTTCTTTACTCCCATTTACAACAATCTATTAGCTGCCCTTTCTCTCGACTAAAGAGTACAAAAATCTCCAAGTAAAATATAACCTTTGTATCCAGCCCTTTTACATTTGCCCTGACAGTTACCTCTAACACTGTCCCAAAAACTGCCAATTGTGGAATATGAATTTGCCCTGACTTCCCTTCCCTAAAGCCTTTCAATGTATAGTGTGCTGGGGGAGAAAGGGGAAAGGTTTTCAGTAGCTCTGAAACACCTAAAGCCCAATGTCAAACTTCACATTTTTCTTCTGCCCTTCAGGAGCGATAGCATGATTCTATCTCTCTTCATGATTCTATATCTCTTCATGATTCTCTCTCTCATCCCATCTCCTGTCCCTCCCCAGGGACTGCATTTTTTGGAATCTCGTATTCATCCTCAACCTCATCATATTCTTCCTTTCATCTGACTTGTTCATGCTGATGCTTCAGCCAGTCACAACCTTCCCTACTTCTTTGCTGGGGTGACACCTACTTGTCTGTTAAGGTTTACAGTCACATCTCATGGGGCTCAGGGGTGCCCAAGTCAGCCTAACACACCACTCTTCTCCACCAGGCTCTCATGAGGCTGTGTCCCTGCCTTGACAGACAAATACATCATGACATAGGGTACCTGTCTGGTGACCCATGTCTCTCCCTGCTGAAACCATAAACCCAGGTTAATCCTCATTGTCCAGGACTTTATGTAGAATGCAGGAGACCATCAGTGCATGTTTGTTGAGCTAAACTTTTATCTCACCGACGAGGCTGCACTGGTATATTTGGGGAGGCCAAATCATGTTTCATGTATTCCTTTCCCGAGTGATGTTGTGCACAGTGAAGATACAACCCTTTCTCCAGAGTCAACCTGAAACCTAAAAGTCATCAAGGCTTGGTAAAAACCCTGCATCTATGCCATTATGATTTACTATGTGGTTAAAATACCAGATGCAAGATAGTTCCACAATAACTCAAGAGACCTGGAAATTTTTTATGGACCAAACACAACCTCAGTCATAGTCTCTGGTAAACTTTTATTGTCTCAGCCCAACATTAACCATACATTAAGTTGATTACTAACTGTCCCACTCAAGTATTAAGAAAAATGCACCCACATTCTAATTAGTTATTTTTAAAAGTGATTTTATACATAGTTTTATGATCAAACAATGCAATATAAAACAAATATTTAAAACTCATCTTAAAACATAGCTACCCTGATAAGCATAATTTAGAAATCTTTAATGAATTCACCTCAATTAGCCTTTAATTAAATAGCTCATTAAAAGCTGATTTGAATACTGCTCATGGAGAAATTCTTGTCCAACTGTTGTGACAGAGCAGGAAGTTAATGAAGTTAAAATTAAGCACAATTTTGAGGGAATAGTCTGAAAGTCATAAAGCTACGAGAGGAAATAAAGTCTCTGAACTTTGCCTGACACCTGAGACTTTATTCATCACCAAATGCTCAGGTATACGGTAGACTTGAGGCCCAGGGCAGGGCCAGCAAGCTGCCTTTCCACTTCTTGTTCTCAGCGTGAGGGTTCAGTATCTTGGAGCTATAAAATGATGTTTGATGAATGAATGAAGGAACCGTCAAAACAGATCTGCACACATTCTAAATTCAAGCAAAAGGTAAAAGAATAGGAAGGAAGTTTACATTTTATGGAGTGACTAATCATGCATCAAATATTTTGAACAAGTTGTTTTTATTTATTTCTCCTTCATGCTAGGAGCTAAAATATCATTCCTATTTTACAGTTGAAGAAACAGAAGACCAAAGTGATTAACACTAACACAGGTATTAATAGTTTCATCTAAGCTGAAATTTTAATTCAAATGCAAGAAAACACCCCAAATATTTTAACATTTCCAACGCCCCCCTCTTTTAAAAAATGTTATTTCATTGACATTTTTATATTTTCCAAATTTTTTCTTTTTTTTTTGTTTTTGTTTTTGAGACGGAGTGTCACTCTGTCGCCCAGGCTGGAGTGGAGTGCATTGGCACAATCTCGGCTCACTGCAACCTCTGCCTCCCTGGTTCAAGCGATTCTCCTGCCTCAGCCTCCCGACTAGCTGGGATTACAGGAGCCCGCCACCACGCCCTGCTAATTTTTTGTATTTTTAGTAGAGATGGGGTTTCACTGTGTTAGCCAGGATGGTCTCAATCTCCTGATCTCATGATCCACCTGTCTCAGCCTCCCAAAGTGCTGGGATTACGAGCGTGAGCCACTGCGCCCGGCCTATATTTTCCAAATTTTCTACAAGGAGTATGTATTGCTCTCAGAATAAAGAAAAAAAAATAAAAGGTATTTTTATTTTTTATTTTAATTTTTCTTCTTTTTTGTATTTTTATGTCAATAGTTGTGTGGGTACAAGTGGGTTTTAGTTACATGGACAAGTTCTAGAGTGATGATTTCTGAGATTTTGGTGCACCTGTCACCAGAGCAGTGTACACTGTACACAATATGTAGTCTTCTATCCCTCACCCCCCGAGCCTCCAAAGTCCATTGTATCATTCTTATGCCTTTGCATCCTCATAGCTTAGCTCCCACTTATAAGTGAGAACCTAAGATATTTGGTTTTCCACTCTTGAGTTACCTGAGAAAATGCATACAGTAACAGCCTTCACCTTCTCACATCTGCTACTGCCAACTACTCCTAAAGAAAATGTCCCCAAACCAGTGGCTTTTGTTGCCACAGCTCTGTCATTTCTGGGGGGCGACATCTATCAGATGAACATTCAAAGACGTAAATGCTGCTAAGATGCCTCCCTCTGAGAAACCTGGCAAGAGGTTAGCAAGGCAGGCATGGGGGCAGCAGCCACTCCTGAGAGTGCTTTGGGCTCTCTGCCCTGCCAGGGGAGCTCCACACCCTCTTAGAAGAGAGGAAAGACAGACACAGACACCATTTTCATCAACTCCATCATGCCTGGATAAACCTGAAAGATTTTAAAGCAGAAAAATACCCAGGGAAACAGTCTAACCTGAAATTCCCTGCAGAATGCAAAATGTTCTGAGATCTACATGGCTGCCATCCAGGAAACCTCACTATGGGAGAAAGGGCCCCGCTTCCAGGTCCTCCGCTGGGCTGAGATACCTGATGGTCAGAGGCATCAGAGTTTGTGCTCCACAGCATTGGAAGCAGAGCCTGGGGATAAAGAGGGTGTGAGGAAAATGGACCTGTGTCCTCAGCACAGCAGGAAGCAGGAAGGTCTGCTTCACAGGAGCTAGATCCCTGCCTGAGGCTGCAGCTGGAACCACTGCAGGGAACCACCCATGCCCGAACCACCACAGCTGGTACAGGCTACTTGTGGCCTAGACTTAGGTGAGTAGGAGGGGGGTATTTGAAGATCCAAGAATTCCAGGTCTTGGAATCTGAAGTGAAAACTTCAGATCGCGGATCCAGAGGTTTTCTAGAATGTCCATTATGGCTGAAGTGAGGAGATACGAAGGCTGCAGAGGTAGCGGTGGTAGGGGAAATGTTGAGGGACACACGGGGGTCTGGCACCCTTCCCCATTGACGAGAAGCACTGTGTTTTTCTCTTTTTGTATATTAGGATATTGCAAGCCAAGTCCTTAGGACAAAAGTTTTCTTGACTTACATATAAAGAACATTTGTAAAATGCTGATAAGCCTCCTATCCTTCCAAGCCCACTGAGTGGCTTGGAATTCAATTTCTGCTTGAATATTTGCAGGTCTAGAAGTCTCCATAGTCTTAAAAGCAGCCAATACCACTCTCACACAAGTGTGACTCTTGAGAACAGTCTTCTTGTGTCATATCAAGAGACTTTTCTGTAGCTTGTAGAGTCCAGTCCTTTTTATGTGCTCTGCAGTCTCACAGAAAAACCCATTTTCTATAGTTACACTAATTAACACTTACCAAGCACCTGCGATTGGGCCACTGCCCTCCTCAACCCACTCTCCCACATATAGATTTTATTAGGTGGAGATTAGCGAGGCTCAGTGGTTTAGGACAGAGGCCACACTGATGGTGTGTAATGGGGCGACAGTCAAGGTGGGTCTCACTCAAAATTCCATGCTGGCTCCTATGCAGACCAAAGGGTTATGAGGAGGAGTGTGATGGCTGCTCTGATCTTCAGGGCCCTGTGAATGCTCAGGCTGAGATGCAGGAGCTTCTGTGCCCTGCCTCTGGACCCTAGCATTCATCTACCCATCCCTCCTCTTCTCACCCCAGTGCCCACCCATGACCGAGCACATTCCTAGATACTCCATGACTATGTGCTGCCAAAGTAACTAAATGCAGAGGCTAGGAAATTCCTCAAGGTGCCTTCTACTGCCATGCAAGAGTTCTCAGGTATTTAATTTATAAAATCTACCTAATCAACTGCCCATAAGTATGTTTTGAAAAATGAAAAACACCACGTAGAGGAAACACTAGGTATCTGTCCCCTACTCATTTCTCCAGCCTGGCCTCCTTCCCTGTTCTCACTTCCTTCCTGTGCGCCTTCCTCCCCAGGATCTTGCCTCATCTTGGAACAGAACTTAGTCTTTCACCTCTTTCATGGTGGTCTTGGCATGGACCTTTCCCCCTGGTTAGACACTTCTCGTCTGACTTCATTTTTACTTGCTACTCGGTGGTCATCCACCCCTTCTTCAGTGAGGCTTTATCTTTCTTTCCAGTGTCAAGTAAGCACCCATATGTGTCATCTTATGGCATTCTGTACTATTCCCTTCTTTGTGTATAATAATTCTATGTATATACTGAACATCTATAGCCTCCACTAGGAAAATCTCAGAAGGAATGATGGTGTCTCTTCTTATCACGGGGTTCCCAGCATCTAGTACATAATATGTGCTCAATAAATATGTATTAAGTGGGCAAATACATGAGTGAATAAAAATAAATGCATGGTTGTTTAATATATGAGCAATTCCAGAGTATAAAGTAAATATTTAAATGTTCACATCCGTGTCAACAGCTCATTCTTCTGCTCTATCCAGACAGCCCCATGAGGTTGACTGTGTTCCTTTCTTCACTTGCCAATATGCCTCTATCTACAGACCATGTTTGCACCTCTAGGATGAATAAAGGACTTCTAGGAAAGTTGTGTTACAACCACAGATCCCATTTCCAGACCATTGCAGGTATATGGGACACAGCACCATTAAACTGAATGCAGTTGGTTTTGAAAAAACTTGAAATTTCTTCAAAGGTCCATCTGCATACATAAGAAAGCTCAGCCAAAGTCTACACATCCCTCTATATGCAATTAATACATTTATATTCCCATGCAGTTCCCAATGTAGTCACATTGCCTGGGCAACAATAAAACATCACTTGCTGAGGCCACTGAATTCTGTCATGCATCCATCAATGATTCATTCTTCCTTCAATCTTTATTTTCTTATTCATTGCCTTCTTCAGTCCTTCAGTTAGACCCTGGCATTCAGGATCCATCCATCCATCCATCCATCATCCATTCACCCATCCATCCATCCACCAATTTGCATTTCTAGGCATCTGACCTTTTCTTAAGACCCAACTTAGCTACCCCGGGATCTACAGGGATGGGGAATCTGAGAATTCATAGCCTAGCACTGAGGGTCCATATCAAATTAGAAGTAAAGCAGACAGCCAAGAAGAATGGAAAAGGTTCCTCCTTGTCTACTCACTCACTGTATGTCAGGATTCCACATGCCTGGCTAGGCCTCCTTATCACATCAGCTGACACCTGGATGCAATGATCTCACATACATATTTCTCCAGGCCAGACCTGTTTGGTGCACTCCACACAGATCATCGAAACTGCCTACCTTGACATATTTCCTACTTGCTAATTCAAAATTGGATTTCTCAGAATGGCTAAGATGAACCCTTGATCGTCAGTCCAATTCATTCTCTTCCAGGATTTGTTCACTTACCAATGACTCTGTTTCTACACCAAAAACATAGGGATCAGTCTTGCCTTCCACCTTCCTTCACAACCACCAATCCATCATATTTTACAACTTCGATATTTTTCCCATCCTAGCATCATCACCGTAGTCCAACTCCCATCATCTTTCACTTGGACAATGTTTATTAAATTGCATGTGCTTGGGCTGCTCCAAATCTGTCTTAACAACGTTGTTTTCAAACACAGATCTCACCAGGTGACCCACCTTCTGCTTGAGAACTTTTTGTGGCTTCCCTCCCATCGCTCTTAAGGGTGAGGTAAAGGCTACAAGGCTGACATGAGCTGGCCCAGAGTATCTCCCTCATCTCTTTTTGTCCCTACCCTCCCTGCCTAGCCCTGCATGTTCCCATCACACCAACCATACTCATGCTAACAAATATATTTCCTCTTGCTAAAAAAAAGCTCTGCCATGCCACCCCCCATAGACCAAGTACATTCATCTTTTCTCCCCCACCCCCTTTTTTTTTTTAGAGACAGGGTCTCACTCTGTCACCAGGCTGGAGTGAAGTGGCAAGATTTTGGCTCAATGCAGCCTCAACTTCCCAGGCTCAAGTGATCCTCCCACCTCAGCCTCCCAAGCAGCTGGGACCAAAGATATGTACCACCACACCTAACTATTTTTTATTATTTGTAGAGACAAAGCCTTGCCTTGCTGTGTTGCCCAGGCTGGTCCTGAACTCCTGGGCTCCCACCTTGGCCTCCCAAAGTGCTGGGATTACAGGTGTGAGCCACCATTCCTGGCCCTTTTCTCCTTCATTAGCTCTCAGCATGTCTTTCATCAGGACACTCTTCCCTGATTTCCTCATCTGGGGACCAGGGAGTGCGTTTGTTTTGTCCACCCAGAAGATGCTGTCAATAGTCCATATCCCTATAAACTAGCCCAGAGGCACCTCATAGCCAGCCCCCACTACATCTCTCTCCCTGATGTCTCTCTGGCTGTGGGGAAATGCTTGACTCACATAGGACAGGCTGGGAGTGTTAGGGAGTCAATAAACCGAAGCACTTCTCAACCAATGAGCCATGAGGGCTGGGCCTTGCCCACAGTGAGGCAATTCTCAGGCGTGTCCCATATAGTCTTAGGAACCCAGCAGGGCTGAGTCTCTGTTGCCCACAGCATTAATTATCTCTATGACATAACTTTCACTGGCTTTCTTCAATTACTTGTCTCACTTCTCCACTCCCTCATTGTGCTCCCTGAAATCACCTCCCAAATAAACGTTTGTACTCACACCCTTGTCTAAGGGCCTATTAGGGGAAAGAAAAAGTAAGACATTTTCACAGGAAAGGCTCACTTCTTCCAGATCACTAAATCCATCCGTGATTATGTGTTTATTACTGCAAATCTTCGATAACTGTCTGCCTTTCTCTTTAGGCTATTAGTTTCATGAGAACAAGGTTCCCGGCTATTTTTTGTTCTTCATCGATTTCCTGGTGCCCACCTCAATACCCAGCACATAGCAGGTGCTCAATGAATCTTTCTCCAATACAAATAAAATGATACATCAAGCTGTGTCTCCAGCACTGGAAATAAAACTATTATGATTTAATCACCACCCTTAAGAGGCTCGTATTGTAGGAGAAGCAAATTGAAATATTCATAGTATACTCTCATTGAAATTAATGTCACTCATTAGCATTGGATTTTATGAGATCTGAGGAAAAAGTACTTCGCCCACCTAAAAGGAGATCAGTAAGGGAAGAGATCCCAAAGCCTCATCCCAAAAGGCACACACCCCAAGAGAAGAAGGCTTCCACACAAAGATTCCGTAGAACTGTTGAGAGAAAGTAGAATAAATGCATTTGCTGTATGGGCTTGATACTTGAGAAAGTTATAAAAACCTCTAACTCAGAGGCTCAGAACCAGACTAATCATATTGTAGTAAATATTAATAATGGAAATTAAATAGCAGATGCATCAGTAACAGTGTACACATGGAGTGTGAGCACTCAGATGTGGTTTGTTCTAAAAATTAGGCTGATCTAAAAATACTCTTTGCGGAGGTGCTCTCATTTTCCAGAAGCAGTGATTAGGGCAGCAGGGGGCTTGGCCCAGGAAGTTTCCTGTCTGCCAAGGTTTTGGCAGCCCCCAGGGGGGCCGAGGAGTCTTGTTCAGGAGTGGCTGCCTCACAGAGCCTGTGAGTTCTGAACTCTGCTTCTGTCTTTCAAGACCTGTACCTACAATTCTCAGTGAACTGTTTTCATTTGTAAATGTACTCAACGCTGGAAGGAATTTGCCAAATTGTCTATCACCTGTCATCATTTAGTGGAATCCAAGTTTGTCTTTTGTCTTATGGTGGAGCTGAGTGCTGTAACCAATAACCCCAGAACCTCAGTGGCTTAACATACTAAAAGTATATTATTTCTGGCTCATGTAAAGTGGAATTGGATGTTTGACATGGGGCCTTCCACAGCTCTGATTCAGAGACAAAGACCTTTTCAGTCTGGTGGCTCCTCAGTCCTCTTGGGTCTCAGAGTCCTTGTTGGATGCTGTGCCTCTTTCCAGCAGATGGGAAGAGGCTCTTAGGTGGCAAAGGAGGTCGTTCAGGCTGGGTCTGGGAGGTTTGCTGGTTTCGCTCACATGCATTAGTCATAACTCAGCTCCAAGCCCCATTTACATGCAGAAGAGCCTGAGAAACAAGGTCCGGCTGTGTTCCCAGGCAGAAAAGGAAACAGGGTCTTCTTGTAAAGACTGAGAGGTCTCTCCCATACTTTTCAAGACATGTTTAGAAAGGACGGGGCCATGGGAAGGTAACCGCAGATGGCATTCCCTATCTGGTGCATGGAATGCAGCCCGCCCTTATCTGTCTCGATGAGATCATCTTTTCCACTTTTCAACTGACACAAAGGAGCTGGGTCTGTTGGACCTAGTGACCTGGAATTCCACAAGTGTTGATATTTGGACTTCCTGGATAATATGTATCCAGATCACCTTTTTACTTCAGGAAATATAAGGTCCAAAAATCAGTGATGTTCAAGAAATGGGCTTCCTACTAGGCAAATAAGTAACTTTAGTTCTTGGAAAAATTACTTAATTTCAGGTATACTGTGTGTGTGTGTGTGTGTGTGTGTGTGTGTGTGTGTGTGTGTGTGTGTATCCAAAAGGCTTTGGAAGAGGTGATGTCGAGGCATAGCAAATGAGAACTCATCCCCATTATCTATGTCCTAGAATAGCCCTAGATTAGAGTTACAGGAGCTGAATTTATTTTCTCTTTATTAAGAACAGAGTTGAAATTCTGAGCTCAGCAACCATATTGGGTTGTTATTATAATCATCTCCATTTTAAAGGTGAGTAAACCAACACTGAGAGGCATTAGGGATTTTCCCCTAAGTTATATAGTGACTAAGTGGTGGAGATAGGACTGAAACCCCAAAAATCCAATATGGGAGCCAGACTTAACAGTACACTTTCCCAAGCATCTTCGAGGAATTTGTATTGCAGGAAAAATATTGCTTTCTAAAATGCATGTAACTCATTTGTAAACATTATATATTACTGCCTGAAAATTTAGAATAAAGCAGAATAAATGAAAATCAATAGTCCTTTACCCAACCACAACCATGGTTGAAATCTTAGCAAAAATTGGAACAAATAATATTTATTACTTTTTAACCATTCCATTCCCCATACCTCATCTTCAGAAAGTTTTCTTACAAAATTACTAATTCTGGCCAGTCCTTTCTGCTTCTGAATAACCCTCAATATCTTCTCTAACCTTGGACTTACAGAAGCCAAACCAACCTCAGGGTAAGTCCAGACTTTGTTTTTATTGGAAAGTCTATTTTTCACTCCAAAATAACAATTTTGGCAACTACAAAATCAGAGCTGCTGCTGCTTATGATAGACCAACTTCAGAACCAGTAGTGTGGCCAATAAGAATGTGCTAGTGATGTGGCAGTTCTCTGGAAGAGACCAATGTCACAGCAAACTGGATGCTCTGAGCACTGTCTCCAAACATTGTGACACCTCTTCTTCCTGACTTGCCACAGAGATCATTGAGAAGCACTTTAGATAGAGTTCAATACATACGTCCATGAATGCCTCCAATCTTAACGGATGTGTTTTTTGCACAAAGTACCATGACAGGCATGAAGGATAAGACACAGATAAAATTGTATCTCATGATGTACCTTCCATCTGGAATCTGGGAAATGAGCAATGGGAACACAGTCCTTGGTTGTTAATGTGGTATTTGTTCCTCTTAGGCATGGGAGGTAAAAGGGGCACATCAATATCACCATTTTACCAAGAAGGAAACTGAGGCTGTAAGGCATTTAGTGTCTTACTGAGGGCAAAGCAAAGGTAGAAACTAGTTGTTATGGTTTGAGTGTGTCTCCTCCAAAATCAAGGTGCTGAAACTTAATGGCCAATGTGATCGCATTAAGAGGAAGGGGGACCTTTAAGAGGTGATTAGGCCATGAAGGATCCACCATCATGAATGGAATGTAGGCCCTTATAAAAGATGCTTCATACAGCCTTCAGCTGTCTCCCCTTTTCACCTTCTGCACCCAGAGGATGCAGATACAGGCACCATCTTGGAAGCAGACAGCAACTCTCAGCAGACAACCAAACCACTGGTGTCCTAATCTTGGACTTTCCAGACTCCAGAATGATGAGAAAGAAGTTTCTGTTCTTTATAAATTACCTGTCTCAGGTACTTTGTTACAGCAGTGTTCTGTGTGGGAAACACGCGAGGGGAGAAGAAAAGACACACACAATACCTCTAAGGGTAAACAATCTTTATCCCATATAAATAGCAATGCTGATATAATAAGCAAATGATATAGTAAGTAGATTGATATAATAAGCAGACTGATATAATAAGCAGATTGATATAATAAGCAAATTGTGATGGGAAGGGGAGAAGGAAAAAGATATTTACACTCACCAGAGTGTGGAGGATTCACCACCAGACTGGGAAGCAACAGCCTGGGCACCATAGTCGGCCACTCGTCTGTGCACAGACGAGGAGAGGTCTCATGAAGCTTCAGTGCAGTCTAGGACCCTAGCTCTTTTTGTAACAAGTTGTTTGACATGAGGCCCAGTCATGAGGGTCCCTCACGACTGGGCTCAAGGAACACAAAAAGGTCAACTTGTTTTTGTAATTGTCTGTTGTTTTCAATAACTAATATATAGGAATAGATTGAAATAGAGATTACTCCGACACAGCAATGGATGAACACCTCAAAGGGCCCACACTACTTGTTCTGAGACTTGGTGACCATTGTTTGTGTCCATGTTCAATTGAGTTCACATTTAATATTTAACTTTTCCTCCACAAGCAGCACAAAATAGATGAAGACAGTAGTAAATCCAGGACTCAAACATAAGTTTGTGATTTATAATGTAGACAAAGGCATTGTAAGGAGTTACAAGTGGTCATTTAGACATATCCTAGAGTACTCTAAGATCATCCTAACCAATATTACTTTCCTATCATAAGGGTTATACCACTTGCATGGAGGATCATGATGACAGTCACCTGTCAGGATTTTCTTCCATTTATAAGTCCACGAAAAGCCTATGTTTTCTCTGCCTCTGAAATTGTGCATTAAAGTCTCAATCTGTGCTTGGCACTTGACAGGTACTCAGTATAAATCATATATCCTTGCAATTATCGACCCCATGATTACCAAATTACCTATGTGTCAAGTAGAAAGGAGGAAAGAGAAAGAAGAAAGAAAAAGAAAGAAAGAAAGAAAGAAAGAAAGAAAGAAAGAAAGAAAGAAAGAAAAAGAAAGAAAGAAAGAAAGAAAGAAAAAGAAAGGAGGGATGGAGGGGAGAGAGAAATAAATTATTTTATTTTTCTGGTTCCTGAGACATTTCCATAAGTTATTAGAAAAAAAAGATCAATTTACTAGTAAAATAAAATGTAAATCTTTGCAAAAATTTTCTGTAACCTCCGCAGGTTTAAAAAGGAACCTTTGTTCTTTGTTTCGCTCCTAATGATGATTGCCCTTAAGTCTTGGGCTGATGTTTTTAAACCAGGAATTGATTTGAATTGGATAGGAGATAACCAACATTGAACACAAGGTAAGCATTAAGATGAGTTTTTTTTTCTTGGTCATATCGTGTGTGTATAAATTACCTTCAGCACAGAGAGTTTTATTATCAATCATTTGAGCCAATAAATGTCTCATTAAATCTAATTTTCACTTATGGAGTACGCAATTGTCATTATATAAATATTATTTAATTACATAATGGCTCAACTATTAAGAAATCTGTATTTAACTGATATTTGAACCATATTCATAAAATGCTCTATTCTAGGAACTATTTGAGAATTCCATAATATTTTGATTAAAGACGGTAGTACTTTACTGATTGTATTTGGATAAGCCATGTTGTCTTTATAATAAGGTGTGTTGATATTAAAAAATGATTAAACATTTTCAAGGGAAGAGCTGCTTCAACTTCACCCACCTTTCATCTTCATATTATGAATTATACATTATTCTTTCACTTCTATATCCTCAATCCTTTTTTCTTTGTAGGCAATTATACAGTGACCCATCCATATAGCTCATGAGATTTCTCAATTTTTTATGAATGTTCGTAAATATGGAGGAAATGAGTGCCAAATTTATAACCGGTTGGACCATATTAATCTTTTTTTGTTGTTGTTGGAGGGATGGCTATAGTTATCACATTGCACTGTTTGAATTTAAGAGAAAATTATTTTAGGGCAGTATGGGGAGTGAAAGATGTTTAAATCTAGAAAGTCCCTTTAGCCAAGTATGTGACAAGCACCATGTAAGTGGAAGAATTTGGAAGCCTAACTTGAATACTTCTTTGTTTTATTTCCTGAGAGATGATAGGAGACTCGGGGTCCAGAACATGATGAATGTTGGCTGTCAGATGAAGGCGAAGGGAGATGGAACTGGGCTGGGTCAAGTTTAGGGAACTTACCTTTGGAAGATGTCTGTGTTATGGGGGCATGCGACACTCAAATTTAGTCTTATCCTAATGTAAATATCCAAGGGCTATTCTCATGACAGTGGAATTCAGGGAATGGTTACACTTGAGATGCAGCTCGTGCCAGAGTGGCCTGAAGCCTGTCTCAGGCAGGAGGCAGGGATAAGAGCATACGGTCTTCCCAACTATGGCAGGACATAACCCATAATAGAGTGTGAGCTCAACCAGGACAAAGCCCTTTTTCATTCTTGGTTATCTCCATAGTGCCCAGGACAGACTCTATAACACTAGATCTGTAGAAACATTTGCCAAACTGTGGATGGAGAGAAGATGCAGTCAATGTCAGGGCACAAAGAGTGTATCAGTTTTGTGGGCTTGGATATGGCACATGGTTGGGGACCTGAGGCAGACTCCTAAGGATAAGCCAGTTGTGTGGATGGTTCTAGAGTTAAAAGGAAGTGTCTTAGAATAGGGGAAGGTGCATGATGATCAGAGCTCACTCAAGGGGCAACGGGTACCAATCTTCAGTGGGTTGTGTGTCTACCATTCTCATTGACTCATTCAACAAACATCTATGGGGCACTGGCTTTCAGCCAAATACTATGTGAAATGTTGGGACACACAAATAAAATGTCATGATTCCTGGTTTGGAAGAACTTTTGCCTTAGTGGAGAGAAAGACCTCCTAACACCACACACTGTAAGTCAGCAAAGGCTTAATGGTTGTGTATGGCAGGGTATTGGCAAGACTGCCTCCAGGATGGTGGTCCAGATATCTTGTATTTGAGAAAGCCATATGCTCTCTGATGCTTCCAGAGAGCCCCAGATCCTCCTCAGCAGCAGGGCTTGAACATTCTAGAAACTCCAAATTATACTGAAGGTGTTGGTATTTTATTTCTTTTTGGTAAACATTTGAATTGGCTCAGGCACTATGCCAAGGGCTTTGCAAATATTTATTCATATAATCAATCCTCACAATAATATGGAGGAATAAATTCTAGCATTTCCATTTGACAAATGAGGAGGCAAGATTTCAGCATTTAAGTCATTTGCCCAAGATCCCACAAGTAGTGTTTGGGGGGATCCTACACTTGAACTCAGAAAGTTTCACTCTAAAATCCATAATCTTGAACTCTACACTGTGGAGTGCACAGTTATGACTTCAGAGAAGGGGGAGCTCAGCATGAGGTAGAGCTAGTAAAGGCTGTACATGAACGGAGTGAGCATCTTGTGGAAAATGTAGACTTGAGTTAAGCTCACATGTGAAGAAAAGCCAGTGTAGTCTGAATCCTCAGCGGGGTGAAGGTGTGAATTCAGGACTCTACTGGTTCAGTTGAGAGCTATTTATTCAGCATCTGCAAAGCATGGCAAGCCAGTCTTACACAAATGCTGATTATAAGGTAATGAGCAAGGGGAGACGTGGCTTTCCCCTGCCCAGAGCTCCCAAGCTAGTGAGAGCTTCAAACAAGTCAATAAATGATTCCTACAGGAGCCATTAGGGCAAGTTCAGAACACTGTGGGGACGCCTAAGAAGAAGGGCTCCTAACCTCTGAGACAAGGCTGGTCAAAGGAGGCTTTCTAGAAAGAGTACAATATGAAGATAATGGCATTGGAAGAGTCTAAAACGAGTTGGGGAGAATGCTCTAGAAAGTTAGCAAAGCCAATAGAGGCTGGCATTGAGATGCTCTCATTTAAAGAATCCTAAAAAAGGCAGCAATTGAACAGGATAGAGGGTTCAGAGAGACCCACACTTCTCCCCTATTCCTGTTCCTGGTGCTCAGAGTAGAAGCATAAGGTACCCTAGGGAACAAAGTCTTAGTAATTGCCTCTAGGAATAATATTATTGGTCACACTGGGTTCCTTAAACCCAATTCAACTTTGCCCCTATATCAGCAATTTAGTAGGTTTAACTACATTGCTTTTCTGTTCCAATCTGCTTTGTGAAGTGCTTAAGAAAAGGCCCTTTATAACTCTCTATAATAATAAATTATGAACAACAAAAAAAGGGGCAGCAGCGTCGCCCTCCTGTTCCTCCAAGGGGAAAGCTGAGCCTAATTCATATATTCTGCTCTGTCTGGCTATCTGGTGGAAATAAAAGATTGATGCGAACTTTACTGTGTAAAATTTGGGGTCTTTTCATCCAGACGAGAAGACAATTGAATATTATAAAAACATGCAGCACACTTGAAGAGAACTTATTTTATTCAAGCACTAAGAACCTTCACCCTGAGAGAAACTGCTTTCTGTAAAAATAAATAAATTAATATATGCCTGCATGAGAAATAGATTTCTCTGATAGTTTTTTAATCTGAGAATCTTGCAGCTGAGAAGTCCAACTGCTTCATTTTAAAAGTGCAGAAACAAATAACCCTTGGGTTGGTAAGTAGCTCACCTAAGATCACGCAAACATAGATGGACAAACTCAACCCAGACAATTTGACTCTGGAATCTCCTTTGGAAACCACAATGCCAGGTTATCTCTCACCTTTGAGGCCATGCTGAAAAGTCTGCCCTGAGATGTCCCAGAGCACATAGAAAAGAGGGAGCACTAACACCCCAGCCTAGCTGGCTGAGTCCACCGCAGAGAAGGGGCCAGAAGAAATTGAAAATAGCTCTGATGGGAAGTTGTCCTGAGACTGTCCCATTGAGGTTCATCCCTAATTGCTGCGCATATGATAAATGAACACTGGTGTGTCTGGTTAATGTGACATGGGAAGGGATGAGGCTGCCAACCTCCGAGGGTCAATGTTCATTATGGTGCCCAACCCAATCCATTCAGTCTGGACCACTAGCACGTGGTGTCCAGTCCTGACGCTGTTTGCAAGTTCACTGAGAAAGCAGAAAGTAGAGCTGGCTCAAAAGAAGTCTACGTGATAAAAACCTATCTTGACTCTACCCCAGGAATAAATCATGACATCACCCATTAGAAAAATATATATATATTTAGATTATGACAATAATTTTTAAAACTTTAGAAGATGAATCAAAAAAACAAGCTAAACCCTAACATAATCTCAAAGTTACATTAAGAAAAGCAGATTCTCTAAAGCATGGATATGGGAGGTAATGACCGCACTCTACTCTTCTTAGGATAAGCAACAATCATCAGTAGTATTACTTTTAATATTAACCAACTTATTATCATCATTTACCATTCTTTTTAGAATCAGGCACTCTGCCAAGCATTTCAGATGTATTGATTCCTAATCTGATCAATCTGCACAACCTCAGTATGAGATGAATGTTTTTATCCTCATTTTCCAAATAAAGAAAACAGAGCTTGGTTGGTATTTCCAAAGCCACATGACTGCTAAATACAGAAGTACGGGGTTCAGAGTTGGTTAACTTTGAGGCTCACTTACATCGTCAATGACCTAAGCTCTTTCCACCTTTCCACTTCACCATCCCCAGTGGGTTAGCCTGTCCCATAATGGCTGCTGCAATCCCAGGCATTAAAAGCAGAGGGTGATGTCTTGAGGCAGAAATCAGTCATTTTTCCTTTCCTCCATGGGTCTCTTATTAAAAATAAGAAAGGCCTTTTAGTACAACTACCTTCATATCTCATTGAACAGAAGTGAATCCCGAAAAAGTCATCCCAGTGGGGATATATTTTAAAGCCCTCTGGATGATTCTTCTGTGCAATCTGGACAGACAAGCACTGGCCAAGACTAATTTAGATTCACCTGCTGGGCCTAAGATGAGTACAGCCACTCCTGGGGCACAGGGTGCCAGACAATGACCAACACTTGGGTCATGCTGGCAAGGAAGAAGGGTGTGGCTCCCCAGTCTGGCATAGTTAGGCATGGGCAAAACGAAGTGTGGGATAACCAGGCATGGGGAAACGACTATTCCATGGGGAGCTTACATGTCAGGTAGAGTCTCCTTTTGGCCACACTGCTTTTTGAGAAAATCCTCTTTCTATGCACAAGCCTCCAAGGTTCTGGGTTTTGTGCTAGCAAGGGAGTGATTACAAAAGCATTCTCAAATCATAGGAATTCCTGTTGTATTTTGGGAACTGTTGCTACATGGCAGGAGGAGGATGGCTTTTTCATCTCAGAGGAGTTCACTGGGCAGAAAGAAGAATAAATCGCCAAGTTATTCTATTTCAAAACCTTTTCTAAGGCATTTATCTAAGGCAAGTGTAAAACACTTAGATACAGATTGTTTTTAGGGATCAAAATTTAACCAGATAATTTCTCTCCTTTTCTTCCTTTCTACCTCCTTTTCTTTCTTCCTTCTTCCTCTCTTCTCCACTCCCTCCTCCCTTTGTTCCTTCCTTCCTTTCTTCCTTTCCTTCTTTCCTTCCTCCCTCCTTTCTACCTCCTTTTCTTTCTTCCTTCTTCCTCCCTTCCTCACTCCCTCCTTCCTTTTTCTTTCCTTCCTTTCTTCCCTTTCTTCTTTCCTTCCTTTCTCCCTCCCTCTCTCTCACCCTTTCTTCTCCTCTCCCCTTCTCTTTATAATGGTGAACTGAGTCAGGTGGGTCTTTCTGCTATGGACTGACAGTTCTCCCTCTCCGTCTCTACTGGGGTACCAACATCACACATCACAGTTTAATGTATATTATTTTTGCCAGCCTCTCAGTTCCACAAAGACAGACACTGTTATTCTTGTTTTACTCAATGTCTCTAGAGGTTAACACAATGCATGGCCCACACAAGGCACTCACTGTCCAGTTGACAAGGACCTGTTCAGTCTTCTACAGCACAGCTTTGATGGGAGAGGCCACCAGCCTAGGGTGAGGATGTTGAAGCTGCTATAGAAGCTGAGACTGCAGCACATCAGCGATTAGATGAACCTCTTAAAATAGCACTGTGGAAGGGGATGTGGGTCACTGCCTACTTGGTATTGCCTTTGGAAGTAGAAATGGAATATAATGTGGACTCCTACTGGGAGTGCCTCCTGCCCTGTTCATGTCTGTCCATAACAGTGGTTCTCAAAATTGCATCAGAATCAGCTGCAAGGTTTGTCGAAACACAGATTGTACCCCTCTTCCCATTTCTGACTCACCAGGTCCAGGATGGGGACTGAGAATTTGCATATATAACAAGTTCTCAGGTGAAGCTCATGCTGGTAGCCTGACATTTTCAAAACCACTGCTCTATAACATGCCCTGGAGTTTATCTCAAGAATTCACAAAGACTCCTTAGGGATTACTGGGAACCGCTAAGTCCAAATCTGTCTCTGAAAGGAGACCAACAACAATTTGCTGGATCTCTGAATGGACATCAAGTCTAGGGGCTGTTGCAGCTCTCAGGGACAGCCCTTCCTCATGAGTGGGTCTGGGGAGAACTATGACCAAAGAGGTTAGCAGAAGAGTCTGGAAGCACGGGCTCCTCCTCTGTGGGGTCAGGGTTGTAATTTACACAAATGGTCACCCAGCGGAGACTCAGCATTGGAAATGGTCACAGTCACTCCACAATCTTCACCATCAAAGCATTTTCAACATAGGTCCAGCTCCCTCCTGAAAACTAAGACACACTCCCTGTGGAGCCTCTTTCTCTCTCCTGGGTCGTGCATGTCAATGTTTGAGTCCTCCTTGGCCTGATCAGGTTTTTCCTCTGTGCTTAACAATAGGGTATGCATTTGAAGAAAAAAAAAAAAAAGGCAGGAATTATCACACCCTGCTGGATTTCTGAGCTAAAAATACATTCTCCCCATTGTGGAGAAACTTGAAGCCAAAAACATCCAGGGCAACAACATTGACTGTCTCTCTCCAGCACTAGTGACTCCCTAAAATTGTGCTTAATTATTTCAGAGAAATAGCATGGCATGAAATTTAGGGGTTTCTGCAATGTGAGAGAAATTCCAGTGTGGTTTTGGCAGCTGCCAATCACAAAGGTATCCAGTCCAGGAGTCAAGGGCGCATCAGCTCCAACACCTATGAGGTCTGTGACATTGAGCAGGTTCTCTCTCCTCTCTGAACCCTGGGTTTCTCATCAGCAAGCTGGGTGAACTTGCAGTCAGTCTTTAGGGCCAATGTGACAACTCCATGAGAAAGCATTTGTGAAAAGAGCCCTTCCTTTAGAGTAGAGGAACCACCTGGAGCTGAGGAGGACATTGTGGAGGAGAAGAGATAAGAGCTCTGCCATGAAGGATGGATGGGGCACTGGGATGCCGAGAGGAGAGGTGAGTGATTACTGACCAAAGCAAGAGGCTGGAGAAAGGTTTGCAAACTCAGTAAGATGAGTGAGATTTCAGGGAGAGAGAAAAATATGCAGCTTGAGATGTAATATGGACAGTTATCTGTAGCTGATGGAGCCTCACCAGAAGCTTTTGAACAGGGAGGGACATTAGAGTTGTATTTTAGAAAACGTGAAAAAGATAGAAATAGCCTAGAAGCCAGAAGTCCAGGGAGGAGAATTTGGCAAAATAGTAAGAAACACATCAGGGCAGTGGGGATGCAAGATATTTTAGAGGGACAGGAAAACAGGCCTATTCCTGATTAGAAATGATTTGCAATTAGCATATGCAAGTGAAGTCTTCTTTTCCCTGTGGCTGTCTCTTCCTGGAGCCGGCCTGCCCCTCGTCAAACACGGGGCTTTAAATCAGCGTCGGCCCCACCTCAGTCTTGTCCCTTCCATCCCCCTTGTCACCCCTCACTGTTTTGGCCTATTGTTTCCATCCAGGCCTGAGCCCAGAGCCCAGGCTCACCCTGCCAACCACAGCCAAGGAAAAAGGAAATCCAAAAGGGAGAAAACCGCAGAGTTTTCTGTTTTCTTCTGCAGGAGAAAGCAAGGTTATTTTTGGCCCCTTTCAGTACAAATCAGATTTTTTTTCTTTCTCGAAGCCCAGTGTCTGGTAGGCTTCAGGCAGGGGAGTGGAAATGAGAGCCCACACTTTGAATACCTTTGCATTTTTGCTCTGTGTCAGTTCTGTTTGTCTTCCTCCGCCTGGCTGTCTCCCGTGTCTCCGGATTGTTGACTTCTCTCAAATGCTGCTCTTAAGCCAAAGAAAGTAAAACCAGGACCTCATGTTCAAGGATGGGGTGCTTTGGTCAGAGGAAAAGAAAGGATAGAAAAGAAACCATCCCCCACTCTGGATCTGGCTGTGTAGCTCAAAGTACAGCCCCACTTTCAGTTCTTATTATTACCCTGGGGATAGAACTGGCCCCTGGGTCAGGTAAGACCCTGGACTCCCTGGGAGTCACACAGCTGGTAGGGCACTGCCAGAATGGAAGCCACGCTCTTCAACCCTAGGGTCATCTTTTCCTCAGAGTTCTCTTCTGCCTCCTTGGTGGGTTATAAAGTTTGTCAGCGTCCACTGAGCCAGTGGAATCAGGAGCTATGAATCCAAGCTTAATTGTCAGACTGCTCGGGTGGGTTAGAATCCCGACTGCACAAGTTATTGAAATTTCATAAACCTCAGTTTTCCTGATCTGTAAAATGGGCATATTAACAGTAAATTATTGCGTTGATTTGAGTGTTAAATGAGATGATCCACATGGAGACTTTGGGAACTGCCTGCAGCATGTTTAGTGAGCAGGTGTGAGTGTGTGAGCGCTTGTGTGCACGTGTGAAAGCCACAATGACATTTTCACCCAGTGGTCACCCAGTTTTGTGACCCACACATTGTATTTTGAGGGAGTTGAAAATTAGTTTCCATCCTTTTCTTAGAAGATTCTTTCATTTCTTTTTCTCCTTCTTTCCCAATGGAATATTTCACTTAAGGCAGTTCAAGATAATGTAACCTGAAAGAATGTAGCATACAGCAATTGGGAAGATTTTTCTATTTAATTCCACACATCATGTTGCCTATTTTTAGTCAGAGTCACTTGTAGGTGCTATTTGCAACTCTTTTTTTCTTTAATTATCTTTAAAGCTTTACGCTTTAAAACATAACACAGGCATGTGCACTCACAAACATATATACACACCACCTTGATGACACTGTCTAACATTATCTTTTCTGATATCTAGTTCATCATTTTAAAAGAAAATGTTGCTGTTTGCTATATAGGAGGTCTTTCAGAAGTTCCCAATCCTGCTAACGCTAAATAACAATTGATATTCTAATGATAAATACACACTCTTGAATAAGTGCCTGCTACGGTTTGGGAACCTGCTTACATTATCACCAGTATTTACAAAACCCTGAAATCTATCCTCATTTTTTAAGAAAAGCAAGGCATGGGGAGTAAAGGATGGAAGTCACTCAGCTGAGATAAATAAGCAGGGCTGACAATGGAAGCCATGCCTATCTGGTTTCAAAAGCAGTGCTCTTACTGTTATGCTAAGATGCTTCTCCTTCAAGACAAGAGGGCTGTCCGAATTGTGCCCTCTGTATCCCCAGTGCTTGACACATATTTGTTCAATATTTGCAAATATTTGTTGAACACCTGCATAAACAGACTAGTGTGCATGCACACACACACACACACGCACACACACACATAAGCACACAAGCACACACACAGATTGTTGTGGCTGTTTTTATGACACATATGGCTCCACACTCAGGCTTTTGTGATCATGGAGAGAGGAACAGAGGGAGGCATTGTGCTCAGGAGTCCCTGATCCTGAAGCTTTGCAAGGAGAAAGGTCTCAAAGAGCACAGGAGGCAACAGCTTTCTGAGGCACCTGGCCCCACAGAGACGTTCCAATCCTGCCTGGTTTTCATGTTGCAGAGACCACAGGGCATCCTGGAACTCATCTCCTTCTTTGAATATGAACGAATTAATTACCGCTGAAATAAACAAATAGCTGGTACCTATTCACTGGTGTCCTAAATCAAATATTCCCAATTTTCCTGGACTGCAGAATAGCATGCACGAAGCACCAACTTTCTCATGATGGCTCACACTTGTCACGTTGATCCCATTAGCACTGACTGCACTGTCAGGAGAAACATGTGGGTCTGACTCTTCCGGCTTCCTTGGGACCTCTTGCCCTGATTAATGGTGGTCTGGTAAATGCATTTGACACCAGTCATAGGAAAACTTGTTTTTTTCTGGTCAGTTTAGGCTTTCTGAAGGGGTACACACTGTACAGAAATTAAGAACACTTATACCTAAGAATGTATTTGTGTGCGTGTTTGTGTGTGTATTGAAATGGGCCTTTCTATGAGCCCACTGTTTCATTCATTCATTGAATGAAGAGATTACTTCTCCCAGGAAAGTGTTTCCCAAACTTATCTCTGGGAAACATTGTTTCTGTGGTCTGCTAATAAATTAGATTAGAACAAAATAAAAGAAAAGAACATTCCTTAGTTAAATAATTTGGGGAATTTCTGGAATAAACAAAGTTAAGCAAGTTTTTTAACATAGAATTTCTGAGTATTTTAGAGGCTAATGTACGTCGTGACTGTGAAAAAGATAAATATGATATATTATAATTAACATACTCTTTGGCAACAGGGTGTTTTCTTCCCCAAGAACCTCCCAGAGAATGAATGTACTGTACCACAATTAGAGGAAAAGAACTTCCATAGAGGAAAAGTAAGTGTACCCTAGTCCTTTATCAAAGCTTTTACACAGATGCAAGAATTTCCAGGTGACACAACACAGGTCAGTATAAAAGGACTCAATGTGCAGATACTCTTTCTTTTCAACAGCAGCTCTCTGTATGAATTCCTCCACAACAAGCTCATATTATCCCCATGGGCTCCACGTAGGTCTCTGCTGTGCCTTCAGATCAGCTACCTTGAGAGAGGCCTGGGACTGTCTAACCTCATGGATGGGTGGGCATTCCAGGCTTTAAGGAGCAGACGGACATTTGGGCATCCTGACTCGAATGAGTTGGCATTTTCTGCAGCCACAAAGCTCATCAAATATAGTCCCTTCACATGCTAGTTGTAAAAAGTAGGAAGTTACAACTAATGCTATGAGCCGAGTGACTTGAGCCACACAGCTATCGGGCCCACCCAGGAATCAAGACAGGAGAGATCTGGGCCAAGTTTATTTTTCTTTTCCCTTGGAGTGTGATAGCTGGAGAAGCAGACTGCACAGGAAGTAATGCAGACACATGTGGGCCCCGAGAGTGTGGGGTTCACAGTCCATCAAGAAACCAGCCAGGCTTGACGCGTCATCCCTCCGCACTTACTCAGACATAAGGAGGTTTACATTCCCACTGGTCTTAGAGAACAGAGAATGGACTCGGAAAAGAAAAACGTGGCCAGGAAAGATGCTAGGGCTGGAGCCCAAAAGGTTGAGGTTTGTCCAAATTGTCAAAGAAAAGGTAAAACAATGGGGACTGTGGTATAACATAAGAAATAAAGGGCATGGAACTGACTCTCCTTGACCTCAAATAAGACTCCTCACCTCCATGAACCTCAGTCTCCTTATTTTCATATCGAAGATTAAAAATTCAGCTGCCTTTATTGATAAGGATTATATTCACCCAGAGTTGTGATAATTAAATGATGATCCACATATAAATTGTCATATATGTTGTTATATAATTTGTACATAATATGTATTATTACATGTATAAGTAATATTCTATGCTTATTATATTTATATTTGCTGTATGAATAACTACAGTGGAAAGCACAACAGAATGAGACTCAGGAAGCTAAACCTTGTGTGTTAACTTGCTCCATCAGAAGCCAGTTGGAGTGGTCAGATAAATTACGGTACATCCATCAAATGGAGTTTTTTGTAGCTGTGAAAAATGGGATATATCAGTACATCTCAGCAAGGAAAACCTTTCCAAGACAGACCACTAGGAGGAAAAGCAATGTGTAGGGCCATAAGAAAGTAAAGTATGGACCTTTTTTCATACAGAAAAGCATTAAATATAAATATGTACATGTATAAAATGTAAAAGAAAACAAAAACAGATCCTAGCTATGCATACAAATGCGCATGTCCTTTTTGGATATGTATACATTTTCTAGAGAAAAATACATTGAGTACCTACAAGAGTGGAATTAGGCAAAAGAAAAAGGAAAAAGGGGCTTTCCATCTTATTTTATACTTTATTTCATCTTTCCACTTTATTGTATATTTATCTACATTCTTTGTATGATTACAATGTGTATGTGTGTGCGTGCATGTGTGTGTATGTATGTGCAATTCAACAACAGAAATAAAATGAATTTGAGTTAAAATACACACACACACACACACACACACACACACACACACACACACACACACACACACACACAAAACAAAGGCTGGCCAGACCCGGAGCTTTGAGCTTCTTCCTCTGTGTTCTAGGACAGCCCAGCAGACATGGTTGTTTTTCTAGGTGGGAATAATTTCATTTTCTTGCCCTAAATACTGGGCAAAGCCCATATCCAGCTCAAAGTCGACAGACCTGGTTCAGGGGAGAACAGTTTCACCACCCCCACCCCTGCGACAGATTTTGCTGTTTTTATGCGTGGGCACAGAGGTGGGCATGTTTGGAGAGTTGTGAAGAGGAACTGAACATGTCCTTCAGAAAGGGGAGGAGCTGATAGTGCCTAATGAGGAGCTTGGTGTGGCATAGCACTGAAGTTTTAAATGCTTTAAAGTAAAACCAGAAATAAATTTAATTTCAAGTAAAATGCTGATATAATCCCTGTATAGAAGCTGGAATCTTTTGAGTGAATAGACGCTAATTTGGGGGACTGTCTTTTCCTTCACTGGCTGTAATGTGTGGAACGGTGACCCCCAGAAGGATTTGTCTGTGCCTTAACACTCCTAACCTACAAACATGACTATATTTGGGAAAATAGGCTTTGCAGATGTAATTAAGTTAAGAATCTCAAGATGAGCTCATTCCCGGGTTATCTGGACAGACCTTAAATCCAATGACAAGTGTTTTTATAAGACATTTGTAAGAGACAGAAGAGAAGACACAGAAACAAAGGAGAAGGCTGTATGCAGACAGAGGCAGAGACTGGTGTGATGTAGCCACAAGCCAAGGAATGCCTGGAGTCACCAAAAGCTGGAAGAGGCAAGGATGAATCCCCCCTAGAGCCTTGGGGAGGAGAATCCCCCTGATGACACCTTGATCTCAGACTTCTGGCCTCTAAAACAGGGAGAGAATAAATTACTTTTGTCTGAAGTCATCAAGTTTGTAGTAATTGATTATAGCAGCTCTAGGATGCTAATACTCTTACCAAAGTGGCCTGGGTTGCTTTGGATTAATTCCCAGCGAAAGGGGAAGATCTAAGGATACAGGAAAGGGAAAGATAGACTTCTACTCCACACCCAGAATGCCTGTAACCACACCATGCCAAACCTTCAGACAGGCCCTGGGCCCTGATCTTCCTTCTCTAAATAGCTTCTCCCAGTGCACTCTATTGGAATATTCTGCTCTATTTTTCTGCATGGGCCTGTCATGACCCATAATTATGTTATGTATTTGACTTCTTTTTTTATAGTGACTATGTTCCCCGAGGAATGGGAGCTCCATGAGGGCAGGGGCCTCCCAGTCTGGCCACCTCTGAATGCAGCCCACAGAACAGTGCTTTGTATGTGGGGCACTGAGATGATCTCTGTGGAAGAAGTGAGGAGTGATGCTCTGGGCCCTGAGAGGGAAGCAGAGAGACCCCACACGCAGACCCAGCCCCGACCAAACACTCAGGCCAAGCAGGAGGATATAGCAAGTGCTGGGGAAGCTGTAGCACAGGTCAGAAATGTTAAAAGAAAGTGGCAAGAAGTTGTAAGAAAGGAGTGGGGACTCTGAAGAAAAATGAAGAGGAAGGGACAGATGTGAGGACACTACAGGGAGGACCCAGGAAGACCAGGCCAGCAGCAGTGCTATGTGTGCTGGGGATGAAAGAGGGCACAGAGGCTTCAAGCTGGGAGCTGGCCCAAGTTCATGTCAAAGGCACTAGGCCCACCTGCCCCAGAAACCAGCTTCCTCAGCTCCCAGGAGAGTTGTCTGCATGACTTTTCCTCCTTTACAAGTACCCAAAGCTCATAGTTAAATTAGTTATTAGAGCTATGCATTAAATTATATGATATTATATGCTAAGTACTATTCCTAAGAAAATTTTTAATAATTTCAATAATTCATATGATAGGATAATTCCCTTTTTACAAGTGAGAAAATTGAGGCTCATATTGAAGTGGTCTCAGAACAGGCAACTAGGGGAATCAAGATTTAACCCCAAATCGATTGACCTCAAAGCCTGTGCTTTCACTCTGGTCTGTGTAGCTTGCTATTGCAAAGAGTTTCATGATTTCTAGAGTAGTGCACACTCAGGACTCTCATTTGACCTGAGAATTTTGGAGAATCCAGGTCAGAGGCCCCTCACCCAATTTTGGAGAACAGAAAGCTGAGGGTTCAAGAAATGCAGGGGTCTTCCCCAAGGCACTGCATCTGAGGAGCTGCAGACCTGGGATGAAGAACATCAGTGTTCCATACTTACAGTCCTTTGCTTAGGATTTCAATCTGAACTGTGTCAATATACAAATGCAAGATGAGAGCAGTGGGAACAGGAAGCAATAGGGACTGGGGTGCAATTTGCTCCAGATCTGATGCCAGCTGACCAGGACTGTTCCCCAGGGCCCAGGTCAGTGGGCAGTGATCCAGCACATCCATCCCCAAAAGTGGCTTCCAGAAAAAATCTTACTCCCTAGAAGGGGTTGGCTGCATCCATCTTGTAGGACAATAAGCTATTTTCACCAGAGAGCTACAAGGCATAAATTTAGATTTCAGAACATTTTTTATGAACCAACATGATGGCCTCTGGACACCTCTTTACAAAGCCATAAAGAGTCAGACAGCCCTTTCCAGAAACTGCACATCCACCTGTGTCCCAGATACAGCTGACAGCCTACAGCCACATGGCAGGAAGGGCCTCCCTTTGTTTGTTGGAAAAAAGAAAGGAATCAATGGCCAGTGCTCTTAATGCAACCGTGGGCGCCCTGTCTGTCTGTTTTGCTCTACCATCTCTTTCCTTGTGCCCTGTTACCAGGTCAAATCCTGGGATGCAGAACAAATCCTAAAAAAGGCCTACCTGGGTTCTGCCCTCAGCCCCTGCTCAG
The DNA here is from genome assembly GCF_000001405.40 of Homo sapiens. Lineage (NCBI taxonomy): Eukaryota > Metazoa > Chordata > Mammalia > Primates > Hominidae > Homo > Homo sapiens. The sequence goes on from NC_000016.10 coordinate 65,529,187, forward strand.
TGCCCATCTTCCTGCCTGTCTTCCCTGGCTCTCTGGGCTCCCCTCTACCACAGGGCCTTTGCATGCTGCCACTCTCCCTGCCATGTGTGCCTAGGTAAGCCCTAATGTTCTCAGACCCCAGTCAGCCCTGCCTCCCACCATCTAAGTCAGACTCTTTAGTTATATTTTCCTAGAACTATATTTATTTTCTTCTGAGCATTTACCTCAGTTTGACAGGGTTTGTGTAATTATTTGATTAGAATCTGTACCCCACCCTAACTCCCCTGCAATCTTCATGAACACAAAGAATGTGCTTCCATTGCATGCTCAGAGCCTGAGAAGATGTCTAGTCCATATTCAGTTGTAAGAAAATACTGTTAAATTAAATTTAGCCTAAAGCTGCATCTTTACATATTTTAAGTTCAGTCTGCAGATCTCTTCTTACATGGTGAACTGTAACCTAAACAGTTGTAACCTACTCTTATACCAATCACTGAGTTTTGGTCAATCAAAGGTAGCCAACTGTTCAAACTAGGGTCAAATAAGGCAAACACCAAGCCATGACTGACCCAGCTATTTCTGTACCTCACTCTCATTTTCTGCACATTGCTTTCCTTTTCCTGCCCATAAATGTTCTTCCACCGCATAGTGGGGCTGGAGTTTCTCTGAATGTATTCAGGTTCTGGGGCTGCCTAATTCATGAGTTGTTCTTTGCTCAATTAAACTCTGTTAAATTTAATTTGTCTAAGATTTTTCCTTTAACAACAGTTACCAAATAAATAAATGCATGAATGAATAAATAAGTGAATCGATGAATAAATAAATGAATGGACAACAAACAATTGCTTAGTGTAGTGGCTCTCTACCAGGGGAGATTTTGCCCCACTGTGTACTTGGCAATGTTGTAAAACGTTTTAGTTTGTCAGAACTGGGAGAGGTGGTGGTAGTGCTACTGGTTTCTAGTGGATAGAGGTCATGGATGCTGCTAAACTTCCTACAGTGCACCAAACAGTCCTTCCTGCCATCCTCCCAGCAAGGAATTATCTCGCCCAAATCATGCTGAGGTTATAAAATTCTGTGTATTTGTTCCCTAGAGCTGCGTAACAAAACACCAGAAACCGGGTGTCTTAAAACAACAGAACTTTATCCCCTCAAAGTTCTAGAAGCCAGAAATCCAAAATCAGTGTGTTGTCAGGGTTGGTTCCTTCTAAACCCTGTGAAGCAGAATCTATTCCACAGCTCTCTGCTGGCTTCTGCTGTTTGTTGGCAATCGTATTGGTCCATTCTTATGCTGCTAATAAAGACAAACGCGAGACTGGGTAATTTATAAAGGAAAGAGGTTTAATGGACTCACAGTTCCACATGGCTGAGGAGGCCTCACAATCATGGCTGAAGGCAAATGAGGAGAAAAGTCACATCTTACATGGCAGCAGGCAAGACAGCATGTGCAGGGGAATTCCCCTTTATAAAACCTTCAGATTTCATGAGACTGACCCACTATCAGTAGAACAGTAAAGGGGAAACCACCCCCATGATTCGATTATCTCCACCTGGCTCCACCCTTGACACTTGGGGATTACTACAATTCAAGGTGAGATTTGGGTGAGGACACAGCCAAACCACATCAGCCATCTTTGGCATTCCTTGGCTCACAGCTGCATCACTCCAATCACTGCCTCTGCCTTCACATGGCTGCCTTCCCCATTCGTCTCTGTGCAAAGCCTCCTCTTCTTATAAGTTATTAGTCACGGAGTTTAGGTCCCACCCTAATAAACTCATCTTAACTAACTACAAGGCAGAGAACCTATTTCCGAATAAGATCACCTTCATAGGTACTGGTCTTAGAATTTGAACATATCTTTCTAGGAGACACAACTCAACCTGCCACACTCTGGTTTAGTGGAAAGTCAATCATATTCAAACCCCTCCCCTCAAAAACGAAAAAAAAAGGCAAAGAAACTTGTTTTTTCTCTTCTCCTCTCACATCCCCCCATTGTCCTGTCACTCAGCCAGATGCCTGGTTGGCTCCTCAGCCTTCCTTCCACCCTACCTCTCATCCAATCTGTCGGTCACCTGTACCTTGTCAGTTCCCTACTTTCAAAATATTTGAGAAATCTGCATTCTCTTCTATATCAGGAGCATCGTATCAAGTGGGTTATGTACATTTAATCCTCACACCAATCCCATAAGCTAGGTATTGTTATTATTGCCTTCATTTACACATAATGAAATCAGGGATAAAGTGCCCAAGGTTATACACCTTGTAGGTGACAGAACCCGGTCATCTGATTCTACGGCCCACACATAACCCCCGTTCTCTGGGGGGCTTCCTCGTCCTCGGGTTGAAGGCCCAGTTCTCTCATTTACTCCTCTGTCAGGAACTCTGCCCTGTGCTCTCAGAATGTGAGGGACTTGCCTCCACCACAGTCCTTTGCTCTCAGCATCTTTACTGTTTGTTTACATTCCTCTCTCCCTTCTAGACTATGAGGGCTTTCAGGGAAGATACGATGTTTATTTCATCTCTGTATCCCAAGCCCAATACCTGCCCTGGAGCCTGACACTCACAACCAGTCAATGTCAGTTGAGTAAATGAATGCATTCATAGCTTCAACAATCTAGACTAGAGACATCCCCTTTGTTTATACTAGAATTTTCCAGGTTACACTGCAATAAATGCAATACAGCACTATGGCTCTGTCAGAAGAGATCAGAAAGTGAAACAATTTTTTAAAGAAAGAAAAAGATTCCATAGTCAAATTACCCTGGACAACTCTAGATTAACCAACACTAAAGACGTTTCCTTCCTGCTGGAAAAGCTCTGTGAACAGAGCTTTAAATATTCTAATTTGCTTTTAGACTTTTTGGAAGACAGGTGGTCATCCAGGTATGCAGAATTCTTTTATTAATCAAGAACACTTTTTAAAACTTTATTTGAAAGATCTCAAGAAATACCAACCATAGTTAGAGTATGCTGGGGTGCACCGTGGCCCCTCCTGGACAAAGAGGCCTCCCTCAAGGTTAAGAGGTGTAGGGGCTTCCCTCTGGAGCTGGAGATGCCATCACTGGCTAGCTAGGATGATTCTTCTCTCCCGCAGATCTCAGATCTGCACCCACCATGTTCCTGCGACACTTTCATTTTTGTTTTTGGTTGATTTTCCCACTCTCATTAGAGCCTGTATTCCCTGTTTCCGTCCTGAGCTGAAAATGAAAGTGGATGGCCTAAAGCTCTCTGAACCTCATTAACCTCCACATTATCTCAGGGAAATTATGCCAATTATCACACCGGGGCTCAGGATTGAAAAGCTACCATGTCTGAGCCGACGGTGATGGATGCTACCAATTTAGAGAGAGGAGGGGCAGCTCTTCATGTGGTGAAAGAATCATTTGTTTTGCCAAGAGAAGCTTTCCTGTGGCAGACACAGAGTGTGGCTCTGACAGGGAAGTGCTCCTGGCATCCTTTTGTAAGCGACCCATTCTGAGCACAATTTTAAAAAAATAGCATGTGTTGGTTAAGCTTGCTTTTTTATTGTCTTAATACAGAGAAGTATAGAGAAGAAGAAAAAAAAAAATCTAAACATATAAAAATGGCCCGTAATCCCCCTACCCAGTGATTTCTGTTGACCTTTAAAACCAATCAAAATAAAAGTAATACAATATAGGTAGGTCTAGACAATTCAAAGAGTTCAGTAAGTAACAAAGTTAAAGTAAATATCTTCCACTTCCTTTTCCAAGTCCAATCTCTTAACAACCAATAGAGTTTTGTGGTTCCTTTAGAAACATTCTAACAGTGGAACATCAGGGCTGAGAGCTGTGGCTCTCAGATATGAGGGGACATGAAAGTCACCTGGATTTGCTAAACGGAAGGTGGCCTGGCATCTGCCTCAGAGATTCTGATTCAGCTTGTCTGGTAGGGAGTTTCTCAGGTCACGCTAAATCCCTGCTTTCTTCCCAGCTGTGTGATTTTGAACAAGTTACTCAGCCTCATTTTGCCTTGTTTTTTTTATTTTTTATTTTATTTTTCCATAAAATGGGGCTAATAAGAGAGTTGTCAGAATTAAATGAATTAAAATGATAAAAAGGCTCTGCATATTAAGAACCATGTAATTTTGCTATTTAGCATATACCAGCCTGTAAATATGTATCCAACTACCATTTATGCTTTTTAATGTTAGTTAACAAAAGGATAATTTTATAAACACTTCAGTACTATGTTCACAATAATTTTTCATATATTTACATACAGATCTATTTAGTCTTTGTGCTTAACATGAAATCATAGTTTAGATGTATTTTCTGGAAGACATGCTAGTCTTCTGTTAAGTGACCACACTAATTGTTTATTCTTTATATTGTTTTATTTTTTATTTTTATCTTTTATTTGCAGTTCAGGCATACATGTACAAGTTTGTTATAGATAAAGTGCGTGTCATGGGTTTGGTGTACAGATTATTTCATCACTCATGTAATAAGCATAGTACCTGATAAGCAGTTTTTTGATCCTCACCCTCCTCCCACTCTCCACCCTCAAGTAGAGTCTGGTGTCTGTTTTTCCCTTCTTTGATGCCCATATATACTCAATTTTTAGCTCCCACTTATAAGTGAGAACATGTGGTATTTGGTTTTCAGTTCCTGTATTAATTTGCTTAGGATAATGGTCTCCAGCTTCATCCATGCTGCTGCTAAGGACATAATCTCATTCCTTTTTCTGGCTTCATAATATTCTATGGTATATATGGACCATATTTGCTTTATCCAGTCTACCGTTGATGTACCAATTGTTTCCAGGTACTAGCTAATCTAAGAAGTGCAGCAAGGGATATCTTGCATATATCTGACATATATCTGTGAGTATATTCAGAGTTGAAAAATTCAAAGTTAAATACACATTTTGGGGAAGGCTACTTTTGTTTCTAAGCCTGGGGCTGCCAAAAATCCTGATGGGACCTACAGGCAGATGATGTTTTCCCCATGGAGTTTGTGGTCTTCATCTTTAAAATGAGGGTGAGAAAGCAAGCAAACAATGTTGGCATACTGAGTCATATGTTCATAGCAGGAAGCAAGAAGCTGAGGATCTAGAATCAGTTAAAGTGTGCTCCCCATACACAAGGAACCCTGGTCCTCAAGGGACCCAGAGTTCCTCGTGTATCCCGGCAAACAGATGTACTGTAGGCACAGTAATAGAGTAATGCAGGAAGATAAAAGATTGCACAAAAAGGGAGTGAGGTGGGTAGAAGGGATCAGGAAAGGCTTCAGGGGAAAGGAGTGGATGTGTTTTGCAAAGTGAGTAGGAATCACAGGATGATTAAGAGGGAAAGGCATTTCAGAGAGAAAAACCAGCATGTACAAGAGCCCAGAGGCTTGGTAGCACCTAACACAGCACCTAATATAAGATGGGCACTCACAGGGCGTTAGTGTTAGTTGAATACAGTCTTGGCCCTCGAGGGGTGTATGACACAGAGAAAGCTAGTGTCTTAGCCTCTCTTTGATCCAACTAAAGACCAAGAATCTCTTCAGACAGGGCTGCCACATCCTAACGTGAGATTTTAGGTTCGTGAATAGTTTAGTACCTTTTTGATGAATTCACATAATCAAAGGGAAGATTTGCCCTCTTATACCTCTAAAATCACCAGGTTGGAATATAAATGTAGAAAAAACTTTCAGATAGACCTTGGCCTTGCCTGCAACATCTACACCCTTGGTGCAAGCCCCAGGATTCTGAGTGCAAATTGGTCATAGCCACTTCCTTCTACCAAGATTTCATTCCCTGGGGGACAACCAGTGGACATCACTTTAGCTCCCACTGCCAGCTCAGAAAGTCTGTTAATACCATCAATTGAAACCATGTAAACACACAAAGCCTTTCAGTTGAAACATTTCAATCTTGCAAGCTTTTTGCTCAAATGGTAGAAGAAAGGAAAACATGAATCTGAACTCTAGGGGACATTTGATACTGGTTGTTTCAAGGGACAGAGTGCAATACTGGTTGTTTCAAGGGACAGAGTGCACTGAGCTAGGCTGCTTTTCAAATATTTCCAAGGATGCATTGGAACACTTCACATCAGAAAGGTGATGTTTTATTGTTACAGTTTGCAGTTGGTTTCAGACAAGGGCCATAGTGAGTCCACAATATGGTCCACTGTCATGGAATAAAAGCAGCAGATATAGTCTTCAAGTTGACCCCAAAACATTCCCAAGCCAACACCTCCTTCAAAGGAAGCTGGGAAAGAAGGTCTTTAAGATGCTCTAATTAACCTGCTCCATAATCAGTTTCCTGATCGATAACAAGCCAGTATGCCCTTCTGACCGTGCAGTTTCCCCAGATAGATTTAAAGGGGAAAAGACTGACTTGAGTCCAAACTCTGCCACATTCTAGCCATGCAACTTAGAGAAAGTGAGCCAACCATACTGAGCCCCAGTTTCCCTCTCTATAACATGTTGATAATGTTGGGAGAATTAAACAGTAGCATTTGTGGAAAGGTCCAGCTCAGAGGCTCAATCATAGACAATTTCCACAGTGCCCTCAATGTTACTGGAAAAAAGAATTACCTTATGTCATTTTTAGAGGTGGGATAGCCTACAAGCTTGTCCCTTAACTATGAGTTTCACTGATGTTCTGCCATATGTACTAATAAGAGGTGGGAAAAATAAAGTGACAGAATTAGTTAGGACTTTATTTTCCAGTTAAGGCTATACCCAACTTGAGCTGGCTTAAGAAAAAATGCAGGTGATATATTAGAAATAGTGAATCTTCATAAAATGATGGGATGAAAATTGCAACTGAGCCTAGGGAAGGGCCTGGAAACCAGGACAGAAAGTCATAAGTAAACCTGATAAATGGCTGTCTGCAATTTATACTCCTGCTTGGTCTTGATTCATCGTTTCTCCTCTGTTTCCTAACAGCATTTCTCTGCTCCCAATTCTCATGGTAGAATATATGGCCCCACAACTCCTGTCTTCACCTGCTAGAGGACCAGTCAGAACTCAAGACCATCAATACTTAGAAAATAGAAGCTGATTCTTCCAGCGTGAGGCTACACTCGCTCTAATCAGCAGGTGGATAGAGCCACAGAGCATAAAAATGGCTATTAGGGGAATCTTGTGCATCATGGTTATAAGGTAGAAAGACTCTAAGTTGAAAGGACAGATTGATAATTTTAGGAGAGAGGAAAAGAGAAGAGGTGTACCTTCAGTAGTTGACTAAATGTTGCTCAGTTCCTGCTCTCTATAAAGTAGTGTTGAAGGCACAGAGGTATACATCTGGCTTTGGAGAAGTTACAATTTTATCTATTTTTTTCTTCTTTGTCATTTCTCTTTTTTTCCATAAGTTATTTGGGTACAGGTGGTATTTGGTTACATGAGTAGTTTCTTTAGTGGTGATTTGTGAGATTTGGGGGCACCCATCACCTGAGCAGTATACATTGCACCCTATTTTTAGTCCCTTATCCCTCATCCCTCTCCCACTCTTCCCCCCAAGTCCCCAGAATCCATTGTATCATTCTTATGCCTTTGCATCCTCATAGCTTAGTTCCCACATATCAGTGACAACATACGATGTTTGGTTTCATTCCTGAGTTACTTCACTTAGAATAATAGTCTCCAATCTCATCCAGGTTGTGCAAATGCTGTTAATTCATTCCTTTTTATGGCTGAGTAGTATTCCATCATATATATATACACATATATGTATATATATGTGTGTATATATGTATATATATGTATATATGTATATATGTGTGTATATGCATGTGTATATATGTATATATGTATATATGTGTATATATGTATATATGTGTATATATGTATATATATGTGTATGTGTATGTATATGTATGTGTATATATATGTGTATATATATGTGTGTGTATATATATGTGTGTATATATATATGTGTGTATATATATATATATATATATGTGTGTATATATATATATATATATATATATGTGTGTATATATATATATATATATATATATATATATATATATCACAGTTTTTAAAATCCACTCATTGATTGATGGGTATTTCAGTTGGTTCCACAATTTTGCAATTGTTAATTGTGCTGCTATAAACATGTGTCTGCAAGTATCTTTTTCATATAATGACTTGTTTTCTGAGAAAGTTGGACTAGATCAATAGTTCCTAACCTTGGCTTATTATTTAAATGACATGGGAAGCTTTTTAAAAGCTCAATATACAGGCACCACCACCAGATAGAATAAATCTGAATCTCTGGCTATGGGACTCTGGGTATCAATATTTTAAAAAATGTCTTTAGATGATTCCAGTCTTTAGCTAAGGTTCATAACCAGTGAACACGATCAGTTATTCTCAAATGAATCACCTCAATCTAGCTAACATAAAGATGGTGACATAATAGGTTACAGATGGGGCATGGAATTCTGCATTGCTAACAAGCTCCTAGGTTTTATCAATGCTGCTGATCCATGGATTATCCTTCCAGTAGCAAAGCACTAAGGTATTCCTGCATCCCAGTCTAGTCCTGAGATTCTAAGAGAGGGAATATTTACTTGACAAATATTTATTATCTATACCAAACCTTGTGTTACATGCTGCGGCCAAGAAAGCCAGTAAGTTTCTGCCACAAAGAGGTTAATATGTAGCCCTCACGGCTTGAGAGAAGCCCAAGGAAATATTCTGTGGATAACATTTTTTTTTTCAGAGTTGTGTTTAGAAGTCTATTTATTAGGAATTTTTGTTTGTATTCTTTTTGTTTTGTTTTGTTTGTAAGAAAACATTCTTACTGAAAAGGCAACTGGCTTTCCTGTGAGAATGAAAGCCTGCTCAAGTCTGAGACTCAGGCAGTTTGGCATGGAAAGAAGGAAGTGATAACACCTAGAAATTTAGCGTAATGCGAGCAAAACACGAAGTCTGTGATGAAGAGAGTTTGGCCCTGGGCACAAAGGGCAACATAGAACCTATAGCTGGTGAAAAAATAATGATATTTATGATGACAGATAGAGAGAGAAAGAAGGAGATATTATGGATGGATGATGGCTGAATGAAGAGATAGATAGATACATACATACATACATAGACACACAGAAAAATAGATAAAGGTTCCGTGAAAGAATCTGCTTGTCTCCCAACGGATTCAATAATGAATGATCAAGCTCACTCTACAAAAATCATGAATATGTTTCAGGACATAGTTAAAATTTCTATTAATAACAGAACCAAAGTTGATCCAGTGCTTATGGTGTAAGTCTGTTATGTTTCATTAAGCTATTCTATGTGTAGAAAGCCAGGAATCCACATGTATACCTTGTTCCAAATCACAGAGTATGCATTCACATAGTGTGGGGAGGGGGAGGCCATAATAAATTGCCATCCTTGCATTCATCAAATATTCTCTGAGTGCCTACTATGTGCCAGGAACTGAATTTGATCAAAGTTTCCACATTGCCACTTTAGAGATTATTCATATGCCATTATCTTTTGAAGCCAAGTTCAAGATGTTTTGCTCTGCATGGTTACATGTAATACTCACGAAAACCTGTTACATAGAAGTCAATGTGGGAAGCTGTTGATGTTGATGCTGGTGATGATGAGTGTAGTGGTGATGGTGATGGTGGTACTGATGGTGGTGGTGTTGCGATATATCTTCTACTTAAGACATTTTTTAAACTGACTCCAAAACGTGGAGAGACCATAGAAAGTTCCACTGTTGGTAAGTTCTTACCAAACTGGGGCAAGAAGTCAGGTGGCCAGACTATAACTTCAGCTTCCTGTCCATTCCACCAAGGAATAACTAGAATATTAGGTAGTTTCTAAAGTTTAGTTTTTAGTTGGCCATGGTAAACACATGTGAGAAGATGAGCAAAAAACTCAGGTTCTGCAACGTACTATGGTTTCATGACTAAGAAGAGAGAGGCTTTAAAATGGCAACTCCTAAAGTTTTACTGATTTTTCATTTCTAGCTTGCATTCTTTTCTTCTGGCAAGGCTGGCTGGAACAAGAATCAGTCATAAAGGAAATGTTTCACTCTGCCTCACAAGTGCATTTCTGTGCCAAAGTTAGCTCCTACCTTTATAGTTAATACACATAAAAAGAGAATATTTAGACAGGCACTTCACAAACGTGTGGTTAGCTTAGGAAGTCAGAAGATTATAACTGCCCCCAAGAAAATGTCGTGCCTTTCAAACAGCTTCAATCCAACTGGCCTTGCAGCATCCCATCTGGTCACACTCCAACCCCTCTCCACTCTGCAGCCAGAGTGAGTCTTTACAAAATGTAAATATGATTGCATCTCTCCAGGGCCCAACATTCTCAATGGCTCCCTGTCATCTGCAGAAGAATCCTCATGCTCCCTAGTCTTGCAGACAACACCTTTTGGGGTTTGGTCATGGTTAACCATTCTAGCTTTATTTTTCTTCCCACCTTTTGGCCTTCTATGATGTGCTTGGGCAAAAGCAAGTCACATGTAGCTGAAGTCCGCATTAAAGACCACTCTGCCAGCCCAGGCAATATAGTGAAACCCACTCTCTACAAAAAACAACAAAAACAAAACAAAACAAACAAAAAAAACACTTTGTTTTTTTTTCAAATTAGCCAGGCGTATTGGCACTTGCCTGTAGACCCAGCTACTTGGGCAACTGTCTCATAAAAAAAAAATTACCTCTCTTGGTGATGCTTCTAGGCCTCCTAGGTCCCTTTGCAAGAATGCTGTATCTGCCTTCACCCTGTCTTCACCCCACAAACTGTTACTCACCCTTAAGGACTCACCCTACCCAAAAACACTTGCTTGCCAGACCAGCGTCAGATGAGAATAGGGGAGCCACCTTTATGCCTAATTCTATCAGAGTGTGCCATAAACCATGAATTTTTTAAAAAGCAAAATCCACTCATCATCATCATTAATCACCACCACCACTTCAAAGAATCATTGAGAGCCTACTAAGTTCCAGCCACTGTTCTAATCACTGTACATGTATTATCACATTTAATATCTGTGATATTCTATGAGATCTGACATTAAATAAGTTAACACACACACAAATAAAGGCACAAACTATCTAAGTATAGCAGTGCCTGGCACATAGTAAACATTGCAATAATTTGTTGCTCAACAATTTGTAAAGCTAAGTTAGTAACTATTTGTTCAGTTCTTTTTTAAAAAACATGGGCTTTATTTTTAGAGTAGTTTTAAATTCACACAAAAAAGTTGAGAAGATAATACAGGAAGTCCCCATGTACCCTGCACCCATTGTTCCCTATGCCTATCCCACATTAGCATCACATCTTTGTAACAATTAATGAACCACCATTTATACATTATTAGTAACTAAACTCAATAATTTGTTCAGATTTTCTCAGTTTTTGCCTGATATTCCTTTTCTGCTTCAGGATCTAACATAGGATATCAATGTACACTTATTTTGACGCCTTCTTAGGCTCTTTTGGGATGTGAAATTTTGTCAGACTTTGCTTGCTTTTGATGACCTTGACAGTTGTGGGGAAGAATAGTTGGGCATTTTGCATGATCCACTATAGTGATTTGATGTTTTTCTCATGACTGGAGTAGGGTTATGGGTCTTGGTGAGAAGACCCAAATGGTAAAGTACCATTTCATCAAGTTATGACCATTGATGTTGGCCTTGATCACCTGACTGAGGTAGTACTTGTCAGGTTTTTCCACCAAAACATACATTTTCCCTTTTCTCATATCGTAGACCTTGGAAGACAGTGATGCTTCCCCTCCTTGAGGGTAGAGTATATAGATAAATTATTTGGAATTCTTCTACATGGGAGATTTGTCTCCTCTCCTCCATTTTTTAATGTATTCAATCATGTATTTAGATAAGTATGAACTCATGGACATTTATTTTATTCTTTGTGTTTTCATCCAACACTAGTTAATTTTATTGCTCAAACTGTTCCAGCATTGGCCCCTGGGAGCTCTTTCAGTTGGCTCCTGTACTCCTTTGACATAATCCCATCCATGTGAGCTTTTTTTAATATGATCACTTCCTGACTTTCTGCTCCAGGCTCATCTTGCATATTTCCTGCCCTGGTCCTAGAGTTAGCCACTTCCACAAGTCCTGGTTTGTTTTATTGGAGAATGGTATTAGAAACCAAGATCTAGTGCCAGCTGTGCCCATTGTTATTGGAGGGCTTTTGTTTTGAAGACTTGCTTGACTGAACAAAACAAACAAAAATATATGTATATGTGTGTATGTATATATGTAGGTATGTGTTGTAATTCCTGCATATACATATACACATACCTATAAATATTTCAACCTGTAATTGTCTGTATGTGTATTAAACTAAACATGAGTAGCTGATGTCTCCAACTCTAATCCATTATCACATGGATCATTCTAGCCTCCTACCCTTGCTTATCTGTAAATTTCCATTCCAACAGCAAGAAACCTAGCTCCCACCACCTGCCATCTATTTACTTAATTATTCAACTCCAGTATGCATGCATAGCAATACTAGAATTCTTAACCTATTCCCCTATGAAAAACAACTTTATCAATATTAGTACAGTGCTTATATGCAGTTTATTTTGCCCTTAATCTCACAGACTCTACTGATCTCCAAAGTCACTTAGGTCAGCACCTTTTCCTTCCACCCTCTTCAGTGAGATTGGTTTATACATTTGTAATACAGTTATATTTGCTTGTCACCATCTGCCTTCCTTCCTGGGATTCCCCTGATTTCCTAAATGATTTTTTATGTGCATACATTAAGGTTAATGCTTTGTGTGGTACGGTTCTATTATTCATTCATTTTTCATCATCTATTTATTCCCCATTCATTTATTGTTTATAACACTATTTCACACACACATACACAGAAGTTAAATTAACTGACATTTAGAAAATGACCCTAACATAGCATTTAAAGTCAAACAGAAAGATCAGAGTCTACAGAGAGGAAGGGAAAGGTAACCATATCAGAGCTTAGCATGAGACAATTACTGCAGTAAAGAATTGAGGTTAGCTCAGAGTCCCTTGGCTGCCAAACTGATGGAAAGAAGCATAGCAGCATCCTAGAACAAATAGTTCCTATTCTGGACCTAAACACTAAGTGGCAGTTATAAGGGAGGAAGGTAAGATGGGACTAAGTAAGACTGACTTTGGCTGAACCTGCAGACTTCTAGGGAGAACGTGTTTAGGCTTGACCCTTAAGTCCATAGAAAGTTGCATTTCAAATTTCCTGTGGTTGTTCCAGAAATTCTCTCCCAGAAGTCCAGGACAGTACAGAGATTCACTGCCAGCTTGCCAGCTTTGGGAATAAGCCTTCATCCTTACCATCATCATGAGGAACACTTAAACATTTATGCTACATTTACATTTACAAAATGCTCTTGTATTTTCTTCTTCTTTTCATTCTCATGTCCACCTGAGGAGTCTGTTGTCAAGTATATGGTCATTCTCATTTTATAGATGAGTAAGCTGAGGGTCAGAGAGGGCTTGATTTTCTGGAGACACACAATAAAGACAAGCAACTCAATTCTAGAATCTGGATTCCTCTCCCCTCTTCTCCCAGAGCAGCTCATGCCACTGCCACTCCTTGACTACTTTGAGGACAGCAACCAAAATACAAGTAATCTCAGGTGGCAATCAGAAGTTATGCATTTGAAATTCATTTGACTCCACTGAGAATCCATATTAAAGGACCTGAGATTCCAACATGGACTTTAAAATTCTGCAAAAGTGTCATTTCCAATGTCATTTCAAAGTGCTGCAAAGTGGCCTGTGGCCTTCTCTGGAAAAAGTAAAGCAGATGTTTTGTTTTGCTTTCCCCAGTCATTCTTAGGTATCGATGTTTTCACATTATTTTTTTTTGAGACAGGGTCTTGCTCTGTTGCCCAGGCTGGAGTGCAGTAGCATGATCTTAGATCACTGCAACCTCCGTTTCCCAGGCTCAAGCGATCCTCCTGCCTCAGCCTCCTGAGTAACTGGGACCACAGGCAAATGCCACCATGCCCAGCTAATTTTCATATTTTCTGTAGAGACAGGTTTCACCATGTTGCCCAGGCTGGTCTCAAACTCCTGAGCTCAAGTGATCCACCTGCCTCAGCCTCCCAAAGTGCTGGGATTACAGGTGTGAGCTCCCAGCCATCTCATATTTAATGTCATTCTTAAATTATCTAGAAACTAAGAAACAAAGGATAAAAGCTTCTGCACAGTCAGAGAAGGCAATGTTCATTCTGTTCCCTCTTTATTTGCACATACTTATTCAGGTTTTTCACTCTTATTTTACACAGAACTCAAATGTCTGTAATTACCTGATATTCAAACCCACAGCATATTAGAAACAGTAACTGGAAAGAGAGAAGAGTGGGTACACGAACAATTAGGCATAAGGATTTAAAACACGAAACCATCTAGAAACATTTAGTTCAGGGGCAAAGTGTCTTTGTGCACCTCAGTTTCCCCTAACAGCTTTAGTTTATTTAAGCAGAGCAGCATAATCTGTGCTCATAAAGATATTTCCAAATTATTTTTTAAATCCAAATAATGTTGTGTATACTGCACTTGAAATAGTGGCAATAGTTTTTTCTGTTTGTGTGCTTGTTTGCTTGCTTTTAAAATATTTTTCATTCAAAACAGTCAAAATAAAATAAGTAATTGCTTCAGTGTTTAAAGCGCAGAAGCCTTGGATCTATGGAAAGTAAGAGTACCCAGTATAACTCATTAACTCAATAAACATTTACTGTGTAAAAATTGTACATCAGGAACCGTGGATGGAGAAATAAATAATATTGATCCCTGTCTTCAGGAAGCTCAACATTTAATTTGAGAATATGTCCCCAGGGATCTGCATTGCTGAGATTTTTATGGTATAAAAGGATGATGGTTAAATCCTTCCTGTTCTACGAGTCTTAGGACTCCCAGAGGTGAGCACCACTGAATCAAAGCCTTGAAGTTTGAGAAGAAGCAACAGGATTCATATATTAAGGAAAGAAGGAAGGAAGGAAGAAAACAGGGAAGGAAGAAGGGAGGAAGGAAGGAAGGAAGGAAGGAAGGAAGGAAGGAAGGAAGGGAGGGAGGGAGGGAGGAAGGAAGGAAGGGAGGGAGGGAGGGAGGAAGGAAGGAAGGAAGGTAGGTAGGTCTTGGAGTCAGAGAAGTTGGTACATCCCCCATCTCTGCTACTAACTTTCTGATTGACTTTATAAACCAGTCAATTTTTCTGGGTCTCATCAAATTTTTCAGAAGGAAGGAAAGAAGAAAGGAAGGAAGGAAAGAAGGAAGGAGGGAGGGAGGGAGGGAGGGAGGGAGGGAGGAAGGAAGGAAGGAAGGAAGGAAGGAAGGAAGGAAGGAAGGAAGGAAAGGGGAAAACTGAAAAAGGTTGGCCAGACCGAACTGGAAGCTGGAGGGTAAAGAAATCCCCTGGTGCAGATGGTAGAGGTCAGGCACAGAGCAGAGTGAAAACAGAGCACGTCTGGAGAGGCAAATAGAACATGTTCATTCCTGCCACACTGATCCATTCCAACATGGAGTCCACTTTGCTCAGGATCAAAGGACATTTTCCCATTAGCATCAGAAGTGGTCTCATGATCCTTCTCAGCAAGCCCTCCAGGCAGAGTAGAGTCATTGGTTAAAATTGGACCGTAAGTTGGGCCATATTTCCCATCCTTGCCCAACACAGTCTTGAACCTTCTTTCATATTCTTTTTTCGTTGGTTTGATTGTCTTGATTTTAGTAATGCCTTATCACTTTTTGAAAGGTGATTTTAACTTGTGTTTGCTGAAACCACCATATTGATAATGCTTTGTGGATATAAAATATCCAGAGAGACAGAAACATTGTCATGAAAAAAAAAGCACTGGACTTTGTTTTAGAAATCTCCGTATCTTACTAACGAGATTGGCTGATCTTGGACAAGTCATGTGCTTCATGGGAGCCTAAGATCTAACCTATGTGTAGTAGGAATGATGAAGTTACCTCCCAGAACACCAAGGATGTTAACTTTTACAAGGGAAAAATACAAAAAAAAAAAAAAAAAAAAAAAAGGTGCTGCATGATTCATAAGAAAGTAGTGATTTTTTAGTTTAGTTATTATTTTTTAATAAGGCATCATAAAGAGGTGAAGAGATCAAGCTGTAGGTTAGAAAACAAGGCTTTGAAACTTGGCTCTGGAACTTCCTAGCTGGGTGACAATGAGCAAATGTCATAATCTTTCCAAACCTCAGTTTCCTTATCTACAAATGGGAATGACTGCAGCACCCACCTCACAGGCTACTTGTTTCATGATATTCAATGAGGATAACCAAAAGCATTAATTATTACTGCCTTGTTATGGCTGCAGAGGATGCCTTCAGAGCAGGGAGCAAGTCCATACGTTATTCACTAATTTGATAGCATTTATTGTGCCTTGTCAGGGTCTAAGATTTATGATTTAGCTGGAGACAGACATCAACAGGCCTTTCTACTTCTCCTGAGACCACAGCCATAAACAAAATTAAACTCCTGAGTGCTGTTCCCTCCAAACATTTCTCCTCAATTTTGTTTGCCCAAGTTTCAGAGACCATTACTTCAGTCATGATTTTCAATGTGAGCTGATTGAAATCACTGGTCTTGGAGTCAGAGAGGTTGGTGCATCCATCCCCCATCTGTGCTGCTAACTTTCTTATTGACTCTATAAACCAGTAAATTTCTCTGGATCTCATCAAATTTTTCTGAGGAGAGAAACGAAGGAAGGAAGGCAGGGAGGGAGGGAGGGAAGCATTGATTTACACCAGACAACCCACTAAAAGTTTTCATTTTATAATAACTGTAACACCATCAACCATTCTTTGAAAGCACATCTGTTGGCTTCCAGAGTTTCTTCATCACTCTTAGACGTGGAAGGTGTTTAACAAGCTCAAAAAGACACACAAATATCAAGCACCTACTCTGTGACTGGCATCAGATCTATATTTAATACACTTTGGGTATTTTCTGAAACAAAGATGATTTTCCATAACCAATTCCCAAACCAAGAACATGCATGCATCTGTGTCCGGCAGAGTGGAAGTAATGAACATGAATGCCACCTTTGTTAAATTCTGAAATGGACCTAAAGGTGCCCGAATTCTATATAAAGTCATATTGCTAAGCTTTGATTCATACCTAATTTCCTCAAATGGGAAGGGTGGAGGATTAGTTGAATGAAGGGCTGCTGTAGAAAGAGCAACACATGTCTTCTTGGCGAATGTCTGCTTTTCTTCCAGTTATTAGAGTTAATGCCAGCACAGGAAGGGAGCAGCAGGGGCCAGAGTTGTTTTTCCCCTTAGAGCAACAGGGAGAATGTACTGCAGATAAGAGTCACCCGAGTGTTTGGCTTTTGGAAATGGAATTAGAATTGCTGTATACATGTCAACTGGATCTGGGAAGCCTGACAATTCTTCTCCCTGCCCCCATCTCTTAATTCTGATTACTGCCAGACTGAGACCTATCTATCAGTTCTGAACGTTAAGTGCAAGAAAGGTTTCATTGTGAGGGGAGGGTTGGGGGGAACTGGCCTTATTTTACCAGGAGAAGGCTATTATCTTGCAACAGCTGTTTATAGTTAACTGCAGCCCATACTTAAAGCCTGAATGTTAGAGCCTTATTTAGTGCCTGTGGATTTGTGGTGAACAGAGTCAGGCTTAACTCTTTCTTCCCCACGTTGCTAATGATAGAAATGAGGTGGAGGGGATCTGCAAACAAAGAGGGTGACACGGAAGAGGGCTGGAGCATGGAAGCAGGGCAAGCAGTTATTTCAAATGAGGGTGACTACTGAGGTTTTACTGCATGTTAGGGATGCATGGAGCATGTTGCATGCATTATTTCCATTAATTTTGACCATCAGCACTCTGATATTGATATGATTCCACCTATTTCACAGGGGAGAAAAAGGAGGCTTAAGCAAGAACGCCAGGATTCAAGTCCAGAAGAATTCAACTGCAGAACCAAAGCTCATAAACCCTAGATATGTATCTTGTTAATTCAGAAGCTTTAACTGAGGATATTCAAGATGGCCTGCACTGTGCTGGCCTAGCTATCATGGATAGAGGGTTTCCACCCCACAGGACCCTTAGGCTGGCCAGAAAGGTAAGCGAATACAGTTGATACACTGAGGATGGAGAAAGGCAGTGAAAACCACATAAACTTCTCACTCTAGGGGAAACAGAGTAGATCAGAACTCAGAGGAATTTAGGGAGGGTGGCAGAATTTATACAAACGAAGCTCATTTCAAGAAGAGAACACAGCTGCTGAAATACATACATACATACACACACATACATACACATGTATATACGTACATGCATTGCAGAGAGAAACACTCAGAATTGTTTCAGAGAGGGCTGGGAGGGGTAAGCAGGGCCCGAGCCCCAGGAGCACTCTGGCTGCCCCTGCACAAACTTAGACTTGATTTCTACAGGTGACAAGCAACAAGGTGGTCAGAGCTACATTTTAGAAAGGTCACTCTGGCTGCAGGGGCAACAAGGTTGTGGAGGTGGCAAAAGATGTCAAGAAAAGTCAGTACATTCTATGACAACCCAGGGAAAGGAAAAAAAGGCCAGAACTATAGAAGTGGGCAGTTGGGAATGGAATCAAGAGATGTGTTGCAGGTAGAACAAGTAGAAATGTGTTCATTTCTTTGCCTCTCTAAAGACTAAAGAGAGGTTAAATTTTCCAGCAGGAAGTTGGAAGGAGCATTGCTCAAACCACTAACCCAACCCCAAATGATATACATTCCTGAGGGTTACAATGCTAACCAGTGGTGTTGGGGGTGGCAGTGAGACTGCACCAGCACACACACACACACACACACACACACTTTCATTTACTCAAAACGTCTGGAATTTTTGCTCTCCTCTTTGTTTGACTCCAACATCTTTTCTGATGACAAAGAAAACCAAAGATTTTGAAATCCATTGTTGAGCACAAAGAGAGGCGGAGTAAGAGGGTTGTGGGGGAAAAGTTGGCCGACTCTGAACTTTATACCCTGCCTTGGTACCCAACAATTCGCAGTGGGAGAGAGAGTAGCTTGCCAAAGAGCTCTGTGTGACTGGGCTAAGCTAGAAGAATATGTAAAGTTCAAGATGAAAAGACAGCCCTCACAGCTGAAAACAGAGCTGGGAGCTAACAGAGCTTGGGAAAGGAGACTTCACAAAGAAAAGTGCTTATCTGCAAACTCGTTTCTCTGCAGCAAACGCTCCCAGGACCTCTGGCAAAAGGAATTCCTGGACACAGGCCTTTCCACTGAGCTTTTAGTGATCTGTGGTTAATTACTTCTCGCCAGGCTCTCTTCTACAGCCAATCCATGGGGCAACCTGCAGAGGCCTGGGGTAGAGGTTTTGCCATTTTAATTCCAACATTCAACAAAGTTAAAGTTTTACAACTGCAGAACTGGGAAGAACCTTACTTCTCCTTCTACTCAGAATTCCTAATTTTTGCTGGAGTGGTGGGTCAGACAATACAGGGAGAAAGGCCAGGCTGCCTGTGAGACAGCAGCATCTGCTGCCTGCAGGGGGCTGGGGATACCAGCAAGGGGTGTCTCTCCTGCTGTAAGGAAGTCCAGGAGAATCTGACGGTCACTCAGCAAAAAGGGCTGTTCTGGTCTGCCCCAGGGCATTCTTGCAATTGAGCCACAGATTTGCTACCATTGGCCAAATGGACTAAGGCTTCTTCCAGCACTGCATCCTGGACTCGCATGATTTTACATCAAAACAAAACAAGTTTCCTGAAAAGAAGGTGTTTTAGACAGGGTTCTCCAGAGAAACAGAAAAGCATGTCTATTCTATCTATCTAGCTATCTACCTATGTATCAATACTATCAAGAGATTTTTTAAAAATTGGCTCCTGAGGCTACAGGGGACAGCAGGTCTGAAATTTATAAGCCAGGCCAGCCCATTCAGGTCAGAGTGGATGTTGCAGTCTTGAGTCCAAATTCCACAGCGCAGCAAGATGGAAACTTAGGCAGGGTTTTTAATTTTGCAGTCTTGAGAATTCATTCATCAGGGAACTTCTGTCTTTGCTTTTAAGGTCTTTAACTGATTGGATGAGGCCCACCCACATCTCTTAAAGTCTACTGATTTAAATGTCGATCACACTGTTAAAATACCTTCACAGAAAAATTTAGACTAGCATTTGACCAAACGAGCAGGCACCATAGCCTAACCAAGTTGACACATAAAACTTACCATCATAGAAGGTATTACAACAGTGTGTAAAGCAAGACAAAAGTCTATATATTGTGGAATATATAACTGGCAAAGGATTGAGATTAATACAGGACCATGCATTTTATTGTACTCAAAACCATTTCAGATAACTGAATTTCCTACACACTAGAGAGAATAATGACCCCCCACCTAACTCAAAGATTCCCAGTCCCCTGCCCCACTTGCAGTCCCCACCAACACACCCACTAGAGGCCTATTCCTCCAGGAGTCCGGGGTCCCTATCAACCTCCCTTGGACCTCAGACAGTGGGCAGCACTGACCAGTGACATACACCAAGTGGGGATGTCCTCCAGCCTGGGAGACCCTGTGTGCTAGGGATAAAGTCGCTGCCTTCAAATTTTTGTCTTTTCTTCCCTAACTAGGGTTTAACTCAGGCCATTCTACATCTACCTGCACCCCCACCCCTATTTTCAGCCTTCCCAGATCAAGCTGACATGTATACAGCAATTCTATTTTCATTTCCAAAAGCCAAACACCCGGGTGAGTCTTATCTCTGGTACATTCTCCCTGTTGCTCTAAGGGGAAAAACAACTCTGGCCCCTGCTGCTCCCTTCCTGTGCTGGCACTAACTCTAATAACTGGAAAAAAAGCAGACATTTGCCAAGAAGACATATGTGTTGCTCTTTCTACAGCAGCCCTTCATTCAACTAATCCTCCACCCTTCCCATTTGAGGAAATTAGGTATGAATCAAAGCTTAGCAATATGACTTTATATAGAATTTGGGTGCATTTAGGTCCATTTCAGAATTTAGCAAAGGTGGCATTCATGTTCATTACTTCCACTCTGCCGGACACAGATGCATGCATGTTCTTGGTTTGGGAATTGGTTATGGAAAATCATCTTTCTTTCAGAAAATACCCAAAGTGAATTAAATATAGATCTGATGCCAGGCACAGAGTAGGTGCTTAATATTTGTGTGTCTTTTTGAGCTCGTTAAACCCCTTACAAGTCTAAGAGAGATGAAGAAACTCTGGAAGCCAACAGATGTGCTTTCAAAGAATGGTTGATGGTGTTATAGTTATTAAAATGAAAACTTTTAGTGGGTTGTCTAGTGTAAATGAACCTTCCTTCTTCCTTCCTTTCTTTCTCCCTCCCTCTGTCCTTTCCTCCCTCCTTTCCTCCCTTCCTTCCTTTCTTCCTTCTTGTATTTTATTGATTACAATAACTCAAAACTTTTAGTGGGTTGTCTGGTGTAAATGAATCTTCCTTCCTTTCTTTCTTCCTTCCTTCTTCCCTCCCTCCCTCTCTCCCTTTCTTCCTTCCTTCCTTCCCTCTTTCTTTCCTTTCTATTAGCTATTTTTTTCTGATGTGGTCATGTATTTGACCACGAGGAGAATTCCAATGCATTTCAAAAAGCATAAGTTACACAAAACTTCTTGTTTTGCCACTATAAAACAAAATTAGAAATTAAGAAGCAGCAGCCAGGTGTGGTGGCTCACACCTGTAATCCCAGCACTTTGGGAGGCTGAGGGGGGTGGATAGCTTAAAGCCAAGAGTTCAAGACTACCTGGGCAACATGGCAAATCCTCATCTCCACCAAAATTACAAAAATTATTTAGTCTCATGACCGTGTTTCAAAAAAAAAATTAAAAAGCAAAACAAAACATATGAGATAACAAATACATATATAGCGATTTTTCCTGATGCACTCCCTCCCTCCACTGCCCTCCTTCCCCCAATTGTGGGTTTTTATGTTCCTTCTTATTTTAAACCAAGAGATAACAAAAGGGAAAAACATTTTAGGGAGACATAAATTCAAAAAAAAAAGTCGCTGGAGCCAAGATGGCCGAATAGGAACAGCTCCAGTCTACAGCTCCCAGAGTGAGCGATGCAGAAGACGGGTGATTTCTGCATTTCCATCTGAGGTACCGGGTTCTTCTCACCAGGGAGTGCCAGACAGTAGGCGCAGGACAGTGGGTGCAGCACACCCTACGCAAGCGGAAGAAGGACGAGGCATTGCCTCAGGAAGCGCAAGGAGTCAGGGAGTTCCCTTTCCTAGTCAAAGAAAGGGGTGACAGACGGCACCTGGAAAATCGGGTCACTCCCACCCCAATACTGCGCTTTTCTGACGAGCTTAAAAAACGGCACACCAGGAGATTATATCCCGCACCTGGCTCAGAGGGTCCTATGCCCACGCAGTCTCGCTGACTGCTAGCACAGCAGTCTGAGATCAAACTGCAAGGCGGCAGCAAGGCTGGGGAAGGGGCGCCCGCCATTGCCCAGGCTTGCTTAGGTAAACAAAGCAGCCGGGAAGCTCGAACTGGGTGGAGCCCACCACAGCTCAAGGAGGCCTGCCTGCCTCTGTAGGCTCCACCTCTGGGGGCAGGGCACAGACAAACAAAAAGACAGCAGTAACCTCTGCAGACTTAAATGTCCCTGTTTGACAGCTTTGAAGAGAGCAGTGGTTCTCCCAGCACGCAGCTGGAGATCTGAGAAGGGGCAGACTGCTTCCTCAAGTGGGTCCCTGACCCCTGACCCCCGAGCAGCCTAACTGGGAGGCACCCCCAAGTAGGGGCAGACTGACACCTCACACGGCTGGGTACTCCTCTGAGACAAACCTTCCAGAGGAACGATCACACAGCAGCATTCACAGTTCACGAAAATCCGCTGTTCTGCAGCCACTGCTGCTGGTACCCAGGCAAACAGGGTCTGGAGTGGACCTCTAGCAAACTCCAACAGACCTGCAGCTGAGGGTCCTGTCTGTTAGAAGGAAAACTAACAAACAGAAAGGACATCCACACCTAAAACCCATCTGTACATCACCATCATCAAAGACCAAAAGTAGATAAAACCACAAAGATGGGGAAAAAACAGAGCAGAAAAACTGGAAACTCTAAAAAGCAGAGCGCCTCTCCTCCTCCAAAGGAACGCAGCTCCTCACCAGCAACGGAACAAAGCTGGATGGAGAATGACTTTGACAAGTTGAGAGAAGAAGGCTTCAGATGATCAAACTACTCCGAGCTACAGGAGGAAATTCAAACCAAAAGCAAAGAAGTTTAAAACTTTGAAAAAAATGTAGACAAATGTATAACTAGAATAACCAATATAGAGAAGTGCTTAAAGGAGCTGATGGAGCTAAAAGCCAAGGCTTGAGAACTACGTGAAGAATGCAGAAGCCTCAGGAGCCGAAGCAATCAACTGGAAGAAAGGGTATCAGTGATGGAAGATGAAATGAATGAAATGAAGTGAGAAGGGAAGTTTAGAGAAAAAAGAATAAAAAGAAAGGAACAAAGCCTCCAAGAAATATGGGACTATGTGAAAAGCCCAAATCTACGTCTGATTGGTGTACCTGAAAGTGATGGGGAGAATGGAACCAAGTTGGAAAACACTCTTCAGGATATTATCCAGGAGAACTTCCCTAATCTAGCAAGGCAGGCCAACGTTCAGATTGAGGAAATACAGAGAACGCCACAAAGATACTCCTCGAGAAGAGCAACTCCAAGACACATAATTGTCAGATTCACCAAAGTGGAAATGAAGGAAAAAATGTTAAGGGCAGCCAGAGAGAAAGGTCGGGTTACCCACAAAGGGACGCCCATCAGACTAACAGTGGATCTCTCGGCAGAAACTCTACAAGCCAGAAGACAGTGGGGACCAATATTCAACATTCTTAAAGAAAAGAATTTTCAACCCAGAATTTCATATCCAGCCAAACTAAGCTTCATAAGTGAAGGAGAAATAAAATACTTTACAGACAAGCAAATGCTGAGAGATTTTGCCACCACCAGGCCTGCCCTAAAAGAGCTCCTGAAGGAAGCATTAAACATGGCAAGGAACAACCGGTACCACCCACTGCAAAAACATACCAAATTGTAAAGACCGTCGAGGCTAGGAAGAAACTGCATCAACTAATGAGCAAAATAACCAGCTAACATCATAATGACAGGATCAAATTCACACATAACAATATTAACTTTAAATGTAAATGGACTAAATTCTCCAATTAAAAGGCACAGACTGGCAAATTGGATAAAGAGTCAAGACCCATCAGTGTGCTGTATTCAGGAAACCCATTTCACGTGCAGACACACACATAGGCTCAAAATAAAAGGATGGAGGAAGATCTACCGAGCAAATGGAAAACAAAAAAAGGCAGGGGTTGCAATCCTAGTATCTGATAAAACAGACTTTAAACCAACAAAGATCAAAAGAGACAAAGAAGGCCATTACATAATGGTAAAGGGATCAATTCAACAAGAATAGCTAACTATCCTAAATATATATGCACCCAATACAGGAGCACCCAGATTCATAAAGCAAGTCCTGAGTGACCTACAAAGAGACTTAGACTCCCACATAATAACAATGGGAGACTTTAACACCCCGCTGTCAACATTAGACAGATCAATGAGACAGAAAGTCAACAAGGATACCCAGGAATTGAACTCAGCTCTGCACCAAGCAGACCTAATAGACATCTACAGAACTCTCCACCCCAAATCAACAGAATATACATTTTTTTTCAGCACCACACCACACCTATTCCAAAATTGACCACATAGTTGGAAGTAAAGCTCTCCTCAGCAAATGTAAAAGATCAGAAATTATAACAAGCTGTCTCTCAGACCACAGTGCAATCAAATTAGAACTCAGGATTAAGAAACTCACTCAAAACTACTCAACTACATGGAAACTGAACAACCTGCTCCTGAGTGACTACTGGGTACATAACGAAATCAAGGCAGAAATAAAGATGTTCTTTGAAACCAACGAGAACAAAGACACAACATACCAGAATCTCTGGGACACATTCAAAGCAGTGTGTAGAGGGAAATTTATAGCACTAACTGCCCACAAGAGAAAGCAGGAAAGATCCAAAATTGACAACCTAACATCACAATTAAAAGAACTAGAAAAGCAAGAGCAAACACATTCAAAAGCTAGCAGAAGGCAAGAAATAACTAAAATCAGAGCAGAACTGAAGGAAATAGAGACACAAAAAAACCTTCAAAAAATTAATGAATCTAGGAGCTGGTTTTTTGAAAGGATCCACAAAATTGATAGACCGCTAGCAAGACTAATAAAGAAGAAAAAAGAATCAAATAGACGCAATAAAAAATGATAAAGGGGATATCACCACCGATCCCACAGAAATACAAACTACCATCAGAGAATACGACCAACACCTCTATGCAAATAAAATAGAAAATCTAGAAGAAATGGATAAATTCCTCAACACATACACCCTCCCAAGACTAAACCAGGAAGAAGTTGAATCTCTGAATAGACCAATAAAAGGCTCTGAAATTGAGGCAATAATTAATAGCTTACCAACCAAAAAGAGTCCAGGACCAGATGGATTCACAGCCGAATTCTACCAGAGGTACAAGGAGGAACTGGTACCATTCCTTCTGAAACTATTCCAATCAATAGAAAAAGAGGGAATCCTCCCTAACTCATTTTATGAGGCCAGCATCATCCTGATACCAAAGCCGGGCAGAGACACAACCAAAAAAGAAAATTTTAGACCAATATCCTTCCTTGATGAACATTGATGCAAAAATCCTCAATAAAATACTGCCAAACCGAATCCAGCAGCACATCAAAAAGCTTATCCACCATGATCAAGTGGGCTTCCTCCCTGGGATGCAAGGCTGGTTCAATATACGCAAATCAAATATAATCCAGCATATAAACAGAACCAAAGACAAAAACCACATGATTATCTCAATAGATGCAGAAAAGGCCTTTGACAAAATTCAACAACCCTTCATGCTAAAAACTCTCAATAAATTAGGTATTGATGGGACGTATCTCAAAATAATAAGAGCTGTCTATGACAAACCCACAACCAATTTCATACTGAATGGGCAAAAACTGGAAGCATTCCCTTTGAAAACTGGCACAAGACAGGGATGCCCTCTCTCACCACTCCTATTCAACATAGTGTTGGAAGTTCTGGCCAGGGCAATTAGGCAGGAGAAGGAAATAAAGGGTATTCAATTAGGAAAAGAGGAAGTCAAATTGTCCCTGTTTGCAGATGACATGATTGTATATCTAGAAAACCCCATTGTCTCAGCCCAAAATCTCCTTAAGCTGATAAGCAACTTCAGCAAAGCCTCAGGATACAAAATCAATGTACAAAAATCACAAGCATTCTTATACACCAACAACAGACAAACAGAAAGCCAAATCATGAGTGAACTCCCATTCACAATTGCTTCAAAGAGAATAAAATACCTAGGAATCCAACTTACAAGGGATGTGAAGGACCTCTTCAAGGAGAACTACAAACCACTGCTCAATGAAATAAAAGAGGATACAAACAAATGGAAGAACATTCCATGCTCATGGGTAGGAAGAATCAATATCTTGAAAATGGCCATACTGCCCAAGGTAATTTATAGATTCAATGCCATCCCCATCAAGCTACCAATGACTTTCTTCACAGAATTGGAAAAAACTACTTTCAAGTTCATATGGAACCAAAAAAGAGCCCGCATTGCCAAGTCACTCCTAAGCCAAAAGAACAAAGCTGGAGGCATCACACTACCTGACTTCAAACTATACTACAAGGCTACAGTAACCAAAACAGCATGGTACTGGTACCAAAACAGAGATATAGATCAATGGAACAGAACAGAGCCCTCAGAAATAACGCCGCATATCTACAACTATCTGATCTTTGACAAACCTGAGAAAAACAAGCAATGGGGAAAGGATTCCCTATTTAATAAATGGTGCTGGGAAAACTGGCTAGCCATATGTAGAAAGCTGAAACTGGATCCCTTCCTTACACCTTATACTAAAATTAATTCAAGATGGATTAAAGACTTAAACGTTAGACCTAAAACCATTAAAACCCTAGAAGAAAACCTAGGCATTACCATTCAGGACATAGGCATGGGCAAGGACTTCATGTCTAAAACACCAAAAGCAATGGCAAGCAAAGCCAAAATTGACAAATGGGATCTAATTCAACTCAAGAGCTTCTGCACAGCAAAAGAAACTACCATCAGAGTGAACAGGCAACCTACAAAATGGGAGAAAATTTTTGCAATCTACTCATCTGACAAAGGGCTAATATCCAGAATCTACAATGAACTCAAACAAATTTACAAGAAAAAAACAAACAACCCCATCAAAAAGTGGGCAAAGGACATGAACAGACACTTCTCAAAAGAAGACATTTATGCAGCCAAAAAACACATGAAAAAATGCTCACCATCACTGGCCATCAGAGAAATGCAAATCAAAACCACAATGAGATACCATCTCACACCAGTTAGAATGGCAATCATTAAAAAGTCAGGAAACAACAGGTGCTGGAGAGGATGTGGAGAAATAGAACACTTTTACACTGTTGGTGGGACTGTAAACTAGTTCAAGCATTGTGGAAGTCAGTGTGGCGATTCCTCAGGGATCTAGAACTAGAAATACCATTTGACCCAGCCATCCCATTACTGGGTATATACCCAAAGGACTATAAATCATGCTGCTGTAAAGACACATGCACACGTATGTTTATTGCGGCACTATTCACAATAGCAAAGACTTGGAACCAAGCCAAATGTCCAACAATGATAGACTGGATTAAGAAAATGTGGCACATATACACCATGGAATACTATGCAGCCATAAAAAATGATGAGTTCATGTCCTTTGTAGGGACATGGATGAAATTGGAAATCATCAATCTCAGTAAACTATCACAAGAACAAAAAACCAAACACCGCATATTCTCACTTATAGGTGGGAATTGAACAATGAGAACACATGGACACAGGAAGGGGAACATCACACTCTGGGGACTGTTGTGGGGTCGGGAGAGGGGGGAGGGATAGCTTTAGGAGATATACCTAATGCTAAGTGATGAGTTAATGGGTGCATCACACCAGCATGGCACCTGTATACATATGTAACTAACCTGCACATTGTGCACATGTACCCTAAAACTTAAAGTATAATAATAATATTTAAAAAATAAAAATAAAAAAGTCAAGGAGTTTAAAATATCTTATTCTAAAAAATAATATGCCACTGTCTCATATTCTTTTACACCCATTTTGGCCTTAATGTCAGCTCACCTAAGAGGAAGACTACCCCCTTGGGTTAGGAGTAAACATTCATACTGGGCTTTTCCAGCCCTCTAGTTAGTGTATTCAGGCCCTGCTTTCTCTACTTGCCTAAGAAGCAGTTATATTTGTAAAGACAGAGGTGGAAGTTTATGGTGTAAGGTCTTCACTCAGGTAAAGGGTATTTCCTTTAAAAATTCATCTTCTTTTTCATGAATGCCCCCAAGAGAATGTCATCTACCCCCACAGAATTCAGTAAAACATAGCTAAAAAATTGAAGTGAGTGACCCCACTAGACCTTTAATAAGAATCACTCTTGACAGGATGAGAATAAAAACCAAAAGCACTGGAGTTGTTGGGTGCTGGTAGTAACACTTCAGATTGAGAGGGTCATGCAATTATGCCAGCACCACAGTAAATATTCATACACAGGCCTCAGTGACATGGCATATTTCAGTGCCTTAAGACCTAAGTAGGGCCAGAATCTAACTTACCTCTGAGGTTGCCAATGCATGAAATTCCTCATATGTCTTCTGATGGACATGACCTGTCCTCAAGGCTCCCCTCAAACCTGCACCTTTCCTTTTAGCATTCCTTGCCACTGCGGCAAGTAAATTGCTGGTTTAATTATTTACTTAATGTCTTTCTCCTCTGTTGGATGGTGACTTCTGTAAAGTCAAGGACTGTCTTGTGTAATGCTTGGCACGACATTGAGTAAATAAGTGCTCCATGAACATCCATTCCGTGAATGAATGTACCAACCAACCCACCACAGCCAGGGTCCTACATCCCTCAGGTGTGAATGACCAGATATTTTCATCCATACAACTATGTCCACTTGCAGATACCATAGACATAAATAAAACCCGAGTGTTTAAAATACTTTTCCTTTCTGCAATTGGGGTATTCACATTGATAAATTGTTCCATGCTCTCAGGAATATTAAGAGGCTGCCATTTATATAACACCACTTTCTACCACCACTACTTCTTAGGAGACTATTTTTAAAAAAGAAATAACTGTCAGTGTGTGCATGATTTTCAACTACACATCTTTTATTCTTCAAAACTTGAAGAAAAGCTGCTGTGTTTGTGTTTCTTTTACATTTAGTTTGGTCTTTCACAGCAAAGGTGCCCAGAAGCCTGTTTAAGTGAGACATTGTTCAAAGCCCTCTATAATTTTATCCCCCTCTGCCAATTTTCCTTCCTCTTTTCTCACCACTTCCTACCATGCCCTAAACGCCCCAGCCCACCATTGCACGAAGGTATACACAGAGGGGTGGTAACCAGGCATCAGATCTTGAGGAAGATCCTGAGAACACACAGAGAATAACACAAATATAGTCGCAGCCCTCATGGGTTTATACTTTATTGAGGAAGGCAAGAATTAAGAAAGTACTTTGAGTTTGATGAAAGTTAACAAAGAGGGCTTTAAGACTATATTAGGAGCATACATAAAATAACTGGAGTCTAGTGTACCAGGACAGGTCAACTTGAGAACATGACACTTGAGCTGAGAATTAAAGGAATCAGTAGCAGCCAGGCAAGTGAGCAGTGTTGGGTTGAGGACACTTTGTAGGCAGTGGGAAGGGTGTTTAAGAAGACCCAATGTTCAGAAGGAACATGCTGGATTAAAGAAAATGAAAGAAGCCAGAACACCGGCAGAAGGGAAAGAGTTATCCTAACCCAACACACGTACAATTTCATTCATCTCCATTTTTTCTCTCTTGCTGTTCCCCTTGGTCTTAAATGCTGTTCTCCTTCTTCTCAATCTATTACATGCTTAATTCAACATTTATTTATATTCTGAGAGTTTTACCAACATCTCCCCTGTTGGAACATCTACCACCATGACTCGTTTTTTGTGTGTGTGACAGGGTGACAGGGTCTTTCTCTCACCCAGGCTACAGTGCAGTGGTGTGAACTCCATTCACTGAAGCCTTGATCTCATAGGCTCCAGTGATGCTCCCACTTCAACCTCTAGGTATCTGGGACTACATTTATGTGCCACCACACCCAGCTATTTTGTTGTTGTTGTTGTTGTTGTTTGTAGAGATGGAGCTTCACCATGTTGCCCAGGCTGGTCTCAAACTCCTGGGCTCAAGTATCTACCAGCCTCGGCCTCCCACAGTGCTGGGATTACAGGCATGAGCCTCCACACCCAGTCCCCCAAAATTCTTTATGCAAACTTTTACCATGGTGCCCATCTATTTGTAGTTCTACTCTATTACTGTGCCCTCTACATTGTAGTAACTCCCATACACCTTATTCCCTGGGCTCACATCGCGGCCGATGCAAAGAGAAACTCAATGCTGTTTCCAAAGTGAATTGAATTGAATTGTTTGATACAGCAACATTCAATGTGGACAATATTCTAGAAGGCTTTCAGTCCACAATCCCACCTAATACGGGAACACATTCTTCCGTATTTCTGACAAGGCTTTCCAGCTAATTATTGTCCCCATAAAAGCCCACATAGGGCAAAGAATGTAAGCTTCAGCGTTTGGAAATATCTTTAAAAGAACATATTGAGAAAAAGGCTTAACTCGGGTAAGAAGATTAATAGACTGAGCTTAAAAGTCATTAAAAAGATGTAAAGGAGGAATAAAGTTTGAATAAACAAAGCCATGTCTAATGAAACATTTTTTTTTATATCAAAGGCAAGTTATGAGCAGTGGGACTGACATTGGGTTTATAAACATCATAAAGTGTCATGGATAGTGTGAGTGGGAAAACCTGTCACAGAAGGATGCAAGGCAAAAATTAGGTCAGCACTGAAGATCTTAGGACATTCTAGAGTTGCTCTCAATGTGGGTTCCTAGACTCAGTAACTGAGCTCCCCGCTTATTTCTCTAATCCAGCTTGCACTTCTTTAGCAGGTCCTGGCCTCTGGGTCCTTATACCAGATGCTCAAAGGTATATGTGAGGCTGGGCTCAGAGGCTCACACCTGTAATCCCAGCACGTTGGGAGGCCGAGGTGGGCAGATCACTTGAGGTCAGGAGTTCAAGACCAGCCTGGCTAACATGGTGAAATCCCATCTGTACTAAAATTACAAAAATTAGCTGGGAGTGGTGGTGGGTGCCTGTAATCCAAGCTACTGGGGAAGCTAAGGCAGGAGAGTCTCTTGAACCTGAGAGGCAGAGGTTCCAGTGAGCTGAGATCACACCACTGCACTCCAGCCTGGGTGACAGAGTGTGTGAGACTGTCTCAAAAAAAAAAAAAAAGGTATATGTGAGATAATAATAATGATTATAACAAGAAACACAACTGCAGCAACAACAAAAATAATGCATTATTTAAAAAAAAAACTCTTCACCTCTGTGAACTGCCCTTCCCTCTTTGTAAAATGCAGATAATAATGTTCACCCTCCATAGGTCACAGAGTTGTCCTATAGACAGTATACCCACATAAAGGGTCATTGAAAATAGAGGCATCATGTCATAGCAGAAAAACATTGGTGTTCACTCAGGTAAACATGAAGCAAACCTGATTGTTATACTCATTCATTTATTCAATCATGCATGCATTCCTTAATCAGCAAATGTTCGTTTCATTACTTAGTTTTGAAAACCCAGTAACTATCATGAATAATACATCATACTTTCTACTTCCCACCAAGCATGCTTTATGAAGTTGCCAAGATGAGTAAATTTGATGGCAAGTCAAGGTATACAGTCTTTTGATTTAGAGCTTGTATTTGGAATCTCAGTTTGTTTGCTGTTTTCATAGCACGTAGTATGAAGAGCTTTTTCTCCTCCACGTGGCTGGCACAGGGCTCTTGTTGGATCTGCCTTCAACTCTAGACTGTAGTCGTCTATTTTTTATGGTGTCCCCTGGAGCCACCCAGTAGGAATTTTGGCTTTGGCAAATAGTTTATATTTTATCTTAGGCTATGCCTTCCAAATGGCCAGTATTTCATCCAACAGTGTTTGTGAAATATGGTAACAAACAATCAGAAATTTAACTTTATTTATGTGGACACCATAATAGACCTTGAGAACATAATGTTAAGCAAAGAAGGCCCAGCCAGCACCAGCATCTGCCTTTCTGTAGCTTAATATCTATAAGGGAAGACAATATGTCATGCAAGTAATCATAAGAAAGTGTGAAGAGTGTTAAAATAGAGGAAGAAGAGGAAAATGTGCAAACATACAGCAGAAAGAGACCTAACTCAGTTTAAGGGTCCATGACATTTAAAGAGATCTTTATGAAAGTGCAACCTTAAGTGATTCAAAGGCAGAGGTGAGGGTAGGCGAGGAAGTAGTGAGGACAGAGGAAAGTCCCATTCTCACAGTAAGTTGGCATTTTAATGCTGGCATCTAAAGCATAGTGGTTCAAATCATACCTCTGTTCCTTACTAACTCTGTGAATCTGGACAAGTCACATAACCTTACTGTTCCTCAACTTCTTTATTTGTAAAATGTGAAAATACAATACCCAAACTTGTTGCATTATTGTGATCCTCAAACAAATTCATACATAAAAAGCTCTTAGAAACATGCACGGCTCATAGCGAGAGCTACATAAATGTCGGCAGTTATATTTTTACTACTGCTACTATTGCTAGCTATGTCATTCCAAGAGATGCAGCTAAACTCCCAGAGCTTCAAGGTCATCATCCATAAAATGGGAATACTAATACCTACATTATAAGGAGATTATTAACGAGAATGATAAATGCAAAATATGTGCGTCTGATAGGCATCCTATAGATGCTCAGTAAATACTATCGGGTATTAATAGCAATAGCCTAAACTTCATGGAATGCCTTGACCTTGGCCCTGACCTACTATTTACAAGTGATCTATGTGTATAAATACTGACTAGTCTTTCTTGTCTAGGTTTGGCTAAGGCAACAAAGCTCAGGTAGAGGACAGGTCAGGTGTGCTACTGCCACCCTAACACAAAGATGGGCCACCATTCATAAGTCTTAAGCAAAGTCCAACACTATCTAATGATAATACATTCCCTTTATAAGTTATTTAATGATGGTGCTTCCGATATCCCTGACCCTGGAGAGTTTTCCATGTCTCTTGCTCTGAGTGTCACATTCAATGGGGAAAAGGTCAGCAACAAAAAGGAGATGAGAACAACTAGGAAACTCTTGTGCCACCACCTGTCAAAGAGAGACTCAATGACCTTTCAGTGGCTTCCCTTGGGCTCCCCTTGATGTAAGTCCAAGAGGCAGAAGACTGAGCTGCTCTTGGGAAAAAGGATCCATCACCCAGCCATTTCCCCAGGTCCATTAAAAGTCTGACACCATTAATCTGCACTACTTTACTTTTCATTATGTAGAACTGTGCCTTGATCAAAAGTCCCCTTGTGTAGCAGCCTGATTCATTACCAATAGCTGTGGGCCACACACCAGAAATTCATAATCAGCTGACATTATCTACCCAGATCATTCCCCGGATTTGAAAAGCTCCTCATGTCTATCATTATGAAGAGGCAGCCACACGGGATACAATCTGCAAACAGGTCTGAGGGTTAACACAATGGAATGCCCTTTGAACAAGGTTCCAGTTAAGGAATGAACTCCTATCTCCGTTGTACATGTTTGGGTCACCTACTTTCTGAGAACTCACCCACATGAACCCTACATGGGAACTAAGAATCCTACAATTTGGAGACAAAGAGGACCTAGGATAGGTAGACACAAGCTCAAGACACCAAGATGCTATCTCTGGGACACAAAGCCCCTGGTAAAAGATGAGATACTTCTAGTTCAAGCTTACATGTTTCTAAGTTTGGGGCCCTTTCTCCAACATCCAAATTTTCCTTTACCATTCACTTGATGTGTGATCTTAGTCCAATCACTTGCATTCCATTCTCAGTTTTATTTTATTTTATTTTATTTTTTGAGACAGAGTTTTGCTCTTGTTGCCCAGGCTGGAGCGCAATGGTGTGATCTCGGCTCACTGCAACCTCTGCCTCCCAGGCTCAAGTGATTCTCCTGCCTAAGCCTCCCGAGTAGCTTGGATTACAGGTGCCTGCCACCATGCCTGGCTAATTTTTGTATTTTTAGTAGAGAAGGGGTTTCACCACATTGGCTAGGCTGGTCTCGAACTCCTGACCTCAGTTTATCCCCCCGCCCCCCACCCCAGCCTCCCAAAGTGCTGTGATTACAGGTGTGAGCCTCCACGCTCAGCCTCTCAGTTTTATTTTTTTCCTTTATTTGTACAAATGTATAGGGCACATGTGAAATTTTGTTACACATCTAAAATGCGTAGTAATCAAATCAGGGTATTCAGAGTGTTCTTCACCCAAGTGTAATACATTTTTGTTAAGTATAATCATTCTACTCTGCTATCAAACATTGAATTTATTCCTTCTATCTTACTGTATACAGTGTTTGTGCCCTTTAACCCACTTCTCTTCATCCTCCCTCCTCACCCTCATCACCCTTTCCACTCTATTTTATCTACCTTTCTACTCTCTACCTCCATGTGATTAGGGTTTGTAGCTCCTACACATAAATGAGAACATGCAATATTTTTATACGGGCATGCCTGGCTTATTTCACTTAAGATAATGACCTCCAGTTCCCTTCATGCTGCTACAAATGACTTGATTTCATTCTTTTTTTTTTTTTTTTAATTTCACTTTAAGTTCTCGGATACATGTGCAGAATGTGCAGGTTTGTTAACGTAGGTATACATGAGCCATGGTGGTTTGCTGCACCTATCAACCAATCATCTAGATTTTAAGCCCCTCATGAATTAGGTATTTGTCCTAATGCTCTCACTTTTCTTGCCCTCCACCCCCCGGCAGGCCCCGTTGTGTGATATTCCCCTCCCTGTGTCCATTTGTTCTCATTGTTCAACTCCCACTGATGAGTGAGAACATTTGGTGTTTGGTTTTCTGTTCCTGTGTTAGTTTGCTGAGAATGATGGCTTCCAGCTTCATCCATAACCCTGCAAAGGTCATGAACTCATTCTATTTTATGGCTGCATAGTATTCCACAGTATATATGTGCCATATTTTCTTTATCCAGTCTATCACTGATGGGCATTTGGGTTGTTTCCAAGTCTTTGGTATTGTAAATACTGCTACAATAAACATACGTGTGCATGTGTCTTTACAAAGGATTTCATTCTTTTTTATAGCCATATGGCATTCCATTTTGTGTATATACCACATTTTTTAATCCATGCATCCACTGATGGACACTCAGGTTGATTCTTTCTCTTTGCTATTGTGAGTAGTGCTGCAATAAACATGGGAGTGCTTTATTCTACCTCTGTCTCTTGCAGGAGTGATCTGTATTAAATAAAAGACTGTGAGTAGAAATGTGTTATGACTGTGTGTCTGTTCTATGGGCAATAACCTTTCAGTTGACTACCAACATTTTTTGCAAGAAATGGGAACCTAACAAAGCAGTTAATATTAATCAAACGATTAGCTACCTAATTCCCTGAGAGATAATTAGGTGCCAGATAATGTGTGGCAGGTGCTTTGTAAGCATCATAACAGTTTCAAACAGTCACAGCCATATAGTGTCATCATGGAAGTTGAGTAAATTAATAAATATAAAATGTTTTAAACATATAATAGTAAGGCCTTAATAAATGATATCCATTAACATCCATTAATGCTATCACTGGAATCCTTACTAAACATGCCTTAAAAATAGTACTTTTGTCATTGTTCAAACATCTGACAAGGGGATCATTTTCTCCTGGAACCCTCTATTGCAATTCTAGACCACTCTGGCTGTTGGGTTGATCTGCCATGACTTAGACTAGAATCTGCATCTTCCCAGTTCCAAGCCACTATTTCTACATTTGCCCCCTAGTCACATAGAAGTCTACCTCCTTTCATAAGGAAAAATACCTGGAATTACTTAAAGAGAGTGATCCTTGTCTTGTCAAGATTTTTATTTTCTAGGCTAAAAAAGAGACATGTCTTTCAGTTGGATCTGGTGTGACTTGACTCCAACTTTGTTTCTGAACTTATCATTTAACTCTGAGTATTACCCACATCTCTTGGATTCACATGGAGGAAACAGTGGAGAACAAGCCAAATAACTTTTCTGGCTAATAAAGCAAAAGAGGGAGCCGGCAATAAGCAGATACCTGGGTATGTTCCTCCCAGATTAAACAGATGTTATTGTTTTGCTCATTTGCTTCAATTTTCTTTTAAGGAATAAACAGCACAGTATGGCTAAAACCCTACCACAATATTCCTTTGCTTCTCTATCCCTCCCCAGAGATGACCTAATACCTGGAAGTGGATATGAAACTTTTTGTGAGAGTTTTTCCATTTGTGTACATATGGATGTCTCCACAAATAATATGTAGGATTGTTTTGAACATTTAAAATGTAAATAAATGCTTTCATGCTGTGCATACCATTTTACACCTTACTGTTTGTACTTCACATTACAGAGATTTATCTATGTTGATACACATACTAATTCATTTTAATTGTTGCATAGCAATCCACTGTGTGAGTTGCCCACAGTCTATTTACTCAATCCCATTATAAGTAAGACCACTTACCTGTAGGTTAATTAGACTGATTCCGATTTTTTTGAAATTGCAATTTTACAAATACATATATATGTATGTATACACATACATATATGTACATACATGTTTATATACACTTGTAAACACTCTCATGCACGTATACATATCTATGTATCACTTTCACATATATCTGTAAGTAGAATAGCTGTGTCATAAAATATGTACATATACAGCAATATTCGATATTGACAAATTGTTCTCCCATCACTATGCCAGTTTATCACCACCAACAATGTATCAAATTTTGTGCATGACCTCAAAAAATTTAATAAAATGTAAAGCAAAGAAATTATATAGGTCACACTCCCTAGTCATAATGCAATAAGTTAGAATCATTACAAAGAAAAAGCAAAAGTCAAAATTACTTGAAAATCAGGAAACATATTCTTAAATAACTGAATTATAAACCCAGGAAGCAATGAATAGGTAAACACTCACATAGCAAAACCGATGGAACTTAACTGACAGCTGAATTCAGAGGAAAACTTATGGCCAGCAAATTAATACAGAGATTAAAAATGTATTGATTTCAGAATTATGGGACAAGGAAAAATTAAGAAAAGTAATATTCACCTTAATAAATGAGAAAATAGGCCGGGCACAGTGGCTCATGCCTGTAATCCCAGCACTTTGGGAGGCCAAGGCGGGTGGATCACCTGAGGTCAAGAGTTCAAGATCAGCCTGGCCAGCATGGTGAAACCATGTTTCTACAAAAATACAAAAATTAGCTGGATATGATGGCAGGTGCCTGTAATCCCAGCCACTTGGGAGGCTGAGGTGGGAGAATCACTTGAACCCAGGAGGCAGAGGTTGCAGTGAGCCACGATCGTGCCATTGCACTCCAGCCTGGGCAACAAAGTGAGACTCTGCCTCAAAAAATAAAATAAAATAAAATAAATAAATTAATTAGAAAATAATGGAACAAAATAAAACAAAAGAAAAGAGAACTTAATAAAGTCTACAGTTAATAAAATTTTGAAGGTAGCAATGACAATGAAATCCAAGAATTATTTCCTTGAAAAGACCAATAAAATAGACAAATTAGGAGTTTTAGAGGGAAGAGGTAGAGAGAGGAGAGAGAGAGTCAAGATTATAAGAAAAAAGATACACTATAGGCAGAAAGAAGACTAAAGAATTAAGGGAATCATATATACAACTTTATGGAATTGATTTGAAAACTTAAAGGAGATGAATGACTTCCAAGAAAAATATAAATTACCAAAATTAACCCAGGAAGATAAAAATAGAATAGTTATCGCTATATCAGCTTAGGTAATTTGGAAAGGTAACTTAAAATTTATCATTAAAAAAGGCAACAAAACAGATAGGTCAAAGTTAACTTTCATTCATGTGACATTTACAAAATGGATGATTCAAATGTTATATAAGCTAGTTCAGGCCATAGAAAAAATGGAAAACTAGCTAGTTTTATATGCAGCCAGCAAAATACCAATATCTGATGAAGATAGTATAAAAATGCAGAGCACTTTCACTTATGAGAATATAAGCACAAATATCAAATCAAATGTTGACTAATTGAACCAGTGATATACTAAAGACAAACATATGTGAGCAACTGCAAAAGTGGCAAAGGCTTATTTCAATTCATTGGGGAAAAAAATAGATTAATTCAAAATAGTTTTGGCACAACTGGCTATCCATCTGGAAGAAAAGAAATAAATGTTTAAGACTATATACAAAATACTTATAAATACACTCACATCTTCAATGTAAAAACATATATATACAGGAATACACACACAAAATATAGGGTCCTGCAGGGAACATGTCTTGATCAAACCTGAGAACTGAGAAATGTTGAAATAAAATGTAAACACATTTGTTCAGGTAAAATATTTTACAGCACAATATAGTATACCGAATGTTAATATAAAAATAATATTTCCCAAATGACTTAATGACTTTGCAATGCAGATGACACTGGGCTTATATTATAATACTTAAAGTAAACTGACATAATGAGAAAAAAGAGGCCCCAATGGAAAAATGAGCAAAGTTATGAATAACACACAGGAGAACAAATCAAAAGGGCTCACAAACATTTATATATACCCACATTCAGAACCAGAGGCATGCAAAATAATAGTGAAATAATAATTTACACCTATGGTAATTTTTTAAAATTTAAAACCAGCCATTGTTAGCCAGGCACAGTGGCTCACACCTGAAATCCCAGTACTTTGGGAGGTCAAGGCAGGAGGACTGCTTGAGGCCAGGAGTTTGAAACTAGCATGGGCAACATAGCAAGACCTTATCTCTCCAAAATATTAAAAATAAAAAAATAAGCTGGGTGCAGTAGCTCATGCCTGTAATCCCAGCACTCTGGGAGGCTGAGGTGGGCAGATGACTTGAGGTCAGGAGTTTGAGACCAGCCTGGTGAACATGGGAAAACCCCGTCTCTACTAAAAATATAAAAATTAGCCAGGTGTAGTGGTGGGTGCCTGTAATCCCAGCTACTTGAGGGGCTAAGGCACAAGAATTGCTTGAACCCAGGAGGTGGAGGTTGCAATGAGCTGAGATCACATCACTGCACTCCAGCATGGGCAACAGAGTAAGACTCCATCTCAAAAAATAAAAAAATAAAAACCTGTGTGGTGACATGCACCTGCAGTCCTAGCTACTTGGGAGGCTGAGGCTAAAGGAGTCCTTGAGCCTAAGAGTTAAAGGTTACAGTGAACTATGATCGTGCCAGGGCACTTTGGCCTAGGTGACACAGTGAAACTCTCTCTCTTTAAAAAAATAAAAATTTAAATTTAAAAATTTTTTAAAAGCCATTTTTTCGCAGGGATACAAGAAAATGGGTACTCTCGCATATTACTTGTAGAAATCAGAATTGTTAATTTCTCTTATGAACAACCTAGCAAAATGTATTAAGCCTAGAAATACACATACTCTTCAACCCAGCAATACTGATCCTGGATCTATTCCATAGAAATAATAAGTGTTTGAGGAAGGAGATGGATATTCTAATTATCCTGATTTTCTCACTATATATTGTACCTGTGTATCAAAATATCACATGTACCTTGTAAATATGCATAATTATTATGTACCAATAAAAATGCAATTAAACAATTAAAAGAGTCTCCAATGAGGGATGATATATATGTGATCATATTTTTGAATATTACTTTATATTAATATATTTGGAATAAAAGTGAATAGATGATAACACACCCACATAGAGACTTACATGAAGGCATATAGACATATTAACATTATATAATTGTCTCCAGAAGGCATTGATACAGTACAGTTGTCTGCATATTGCTTTGCTGATTTAACAGTACCTGATGGATATCTCAGCAAATTAAAGGGTGTACCT
The DNA here is from genome assembly GCF_000001405.40 of Homo sapiens. Lineage (NCBI taxonomy): Eukaryota > Metazoa > Chordata > Mammalia > Primates > Hominidae > Homo > Homo sapiens. Next base: position 65,569,248 of record NC_000016.10, read on the forward strand.
CTAACTAATTCTAGTTAATTCTTCAGGTTATTTTTTGATGTAGGAGCCTAATAATTTGACCCAACATTTCCCCAGACTCAGACAGTTTCACTAACAAATTTTACCAAACACTCAAAGAGTTCATATCAACCTTGACCCACTCTTCAAAAAATTGGATGGGAGGGAATGTTTTATAACTCATCCTATGAGGCCAGTATTACCTTGTTACTAAAACCGAATAAAACATAGAAAAATTGTAGACTAATATCTCTTATGAATATAAATGCAAAATCTTAAACAAATACCAGCAAACCAAAGCTAGTAACATACGCAGACACAAAATTTTACAGCATGACCAAGTGGGATTTCTCACAAAAATGCAAGTTTGGTTTAACATCTGAAAACTCAGTTAATGCAATTCAGCTTATTAATGGAATGCAGGACAAAAACCATATGTTCACCTCAGTAGATCCAGAAAAAGGATTTGACAAAATCTAACACTCATGACCAACAACAACAACAACGACAAAAAACCACATTCAACACACTAGGAATAGTAGATAACTTCCTCCATCTGATGTAGAATACCTACAAAAAGCTCACAGCTAACATCACACTTAATGGTGAAAGACAGAGTGCTTTCCCCTAAGATCAAAAAGAAGAAAAGGATGTCTATTCTAATTACATCTACTCAACATTGTATTGGAGGTGCTAGCTAGGGCAATTAGATAAGAAAAAAGAAATAAAGGCAGCAGAATTAGAAAGAAAAAAGTAAAATGATCTCTATTTGAAGATAAGCTTATCTTATACATAGAAAATCCTGAGGGTTCACAAATTAAAAGAAAAAAAGTTATTTGAACTAATAAATGAGTTTAGCAAGGCTACAGGATATGAGTAATATATAAAAGATTTTTTGTTCAACATTTGTGTTGTTTCCACTTTTTGTACTTCTATATACTAATATTTTTGTATTTCTGTACACTAGCAATAAAAAATCTGAAAATGAAATAAAAACAATTACACTTATAGTGGCATCAAAAAATAAAATACTTAAAAATACATCTAACGTAAGTATAAGACTTATACATTGAAACTAAAAAAAATTATAGAAATGGAAAAAAATCTAAGTAAATGGAGAATTACCCCATGACTATGAATCAAAAGGCTTGATAGTGTCCAGATGGCAATACTCCTCAAATTGTTCCACAAGGTCAATAGAATCTCTACCAAAATTTGAGCTTTTTTTTCACTGAAGAACTTGGCAAGCTGATCCTAAAATTCACATGAAGATTCAAAGGATCCAGAATAATCAAAACAATCTTGAGGAAAAAAAAAAGTTACAGGCACACAGACTTTCTAATTTCAAAACTTACTATAAATATACAGGAACTGAGACAGAGTACATCTACTATAAGGATAGCCATATAAGGAACAGAATTGAGAGTCCAGAAATAAACCCTGATATCTATGATCGATTGATTTTCTACAAACATGTCAAGACAATAAAATGGGGCAAGAAGAGTCTCTTCAATAAAGATTTCATCAAAATTAAAAACTTTTGTACATCAAAGGACATTATCAAAAAAAGATACAGAATGAGAGAAAATATTTGCAAATCATATATTTGATAAATATAACTATATCCAAAATATGTAAAGAACTCTTACAATTAAATAATAAATGACAATAACACAATTAAAAATAGGCAAAATATTAAATACACATTTCTCCAAAGAAGATATATAAATGGTCAATAAGCACTTGAAAAGATCCTCAACATCATTAGTCACTGAAAAATGCAAATTAAACCACAATTAGACCCCACTTCATACCCAGTAGAATGGTTATCATAAAAAAGAAACACAATAGCAAGTGCTGGCAAAGATATAGAGAAACTGGAATCCTCATGCAATGCTGGTGGTAATGTAAAACGACGGCACGTAAAAAGAAAGATCTTCCTCAAACTGTTAAACAGAGTTACCATATGATCCCACAGTACCACTTCTAGGAATGTACTTAAGAGGAATGAAAACATATGTCAACATAAAGACTTGTACACAATGTAAACACTGTGTAAACTACCAGTAGTTTTTATACTAGCCAAAAAAATGGAAACAACCCAAATTTCAGCAACAAATCAATGGATAAGTGTGGTATACTCATGATAAAAGCTATATAACAAAATGAAGTTCTGATACATGCCACAACCTAAATGAACGTTGAAAACATTAAGTCTAAGTCAGAAAACACCAAATATTATATGATTCAACTTATATGCAATGTCCAGAATAGGTAACTCTACAGACAAAAAGTATATTAATGGTTGCCCAAAGACATAAAAAGAAAACGGATTTCTTTTTTGAATGGCAAATACATCCAAAATTAAATTGTGGTAATTTTAACACAGTTCTAGAAGTATTCTAAAAACTATTCATTTGTGCACTTTATACGGGAAAGAGGCATAGCATGTAAATTATAATTAAAGAAAGCAGTTCAAAAAACACAAAAGAATGGGTCGAAATTCTGAAGGTAAATCAGACTCACCCACGTTTGTGGTCTGGTGATATGGAAATGTCTCTTTTCACCCGTGAGACTCCAGGTTTATTCCCTACTTCCAGTATTCATGAAAAATAGGACAGAGAGTCGAGCCTTTTCTTCTTCCACGGAAATTAACACCACACGAAAATTGCCATTCTGTTCTAGAATATAAGGAAATATCTCATTGTAAATGGTATGTCTATTTACAAACTGATAGCTAGAAACAGCTGGAAAGCGTGTTTTTGAAATCTTAGAAATTTAAAATCTGAAATTTTAGAAATTTAGAAATTTGAAATTTTAGAAATTAGAAGTTAATGTAAAAATGTACTTATGCCATTTGCAAACTTGATACCTAAGTTAGTAAATTCCAGAATGTGCTAGTTACAAAAATAAATGTTACTCAGTGTTGAATGTGATCTTTTACCATTATTTTTAATTTGGGAACAAATTATTGACTCAAACTTAATGCATAAAGATTCCTTTTCTATAAATGTTCTGGGAAATTAACTAACAATTAAGTATGACTAACAACTGAAAAATGAAAGCGCATATACTAGGGCTGATTCACAAGTGAGATACTTCTGGAGTTCATGATAGCCTGTGTGGAGTTTCCTGGAATCTTTGCAGTCACTACATAACATAATGTCATCCTCTTCTGGCCACTTTAAGTGACACAGGCTTGCCCAAGATGCACTGGGAACTCATAAGAAGCCACCAGAGTGTCTATCTTCTGCACTTTCTCCACACCATCTCCTATCAGTATGTCCTGATCCTCTTTCTCAGCCTTTCTAAGTAAGAAGTCCTATTCCAGTTTCATGCCTCGGCCACTTGGGTGAATGTTTTGATCAGGGACTCCAGATCCCATAGGTTTCTGCAGTGATATGTTAAGCCTGGAAACTGTCATTGAGAGATATCTATACCTCAGAATCCTCTGGGCCAGCCCTGACCTTCTCACTGGGGTGGAGGTAATAAGAGTAATTATTACTAAGCACAAAGTATACATGGAGACTGATGTAGATGCTTTATATAGATTAACTTCCAATCTTCATGGCCGTTCTCTCCCATAAGATTTCAGGCTTAAATACTTTAGAACCTTACATAAAATGACTCAGCTAATATGGACAGAGTTTAAGCACTTCACGCTTGCAACAGTGTTTTGCTCAGCCTGGCCAAAGACCACCTATAAGATCACCTGGAGAGTCTGTCAAACACATAGATTTTCTGGCCCCAGCTAGGATCAACTGAATCAGTTGTTCTCCGAATCTTAATAGTTTCACAATTTTCTGAAGTAATCTGTGATTCTGACACACAGAAATTGGAAAAACACCACTTTCTTCTTCCTTGAGCATCAGTACAGTGTTTCACAAATTTTCTAACAAGCTGAAACCTCCAAATGGCCTTTCATTTTCACAGTGGATGGGGGATGGTTTTCATATACTTCTTTTTCCAAAATCCATTCGTTATATTCTTCACATTGCATGATATATTAGAAAATCCCAACAGGAAAAAAAAAACACCACCACTATTAACAAATAACTCTGTGTCGGAGGCACCACTTGACTAAAAAGATGAGCTTGGGAATCTGGTTTTTACTAGTCTTTATTCAAACATATATATAGGACTCCTATGCCCACTCTCCAACATCTCATATGGCTAAGCTGCAGCCTTGGTACTTAGTTACTAAACCCTCTCACTAATGCCTAGAATTTGGGTTCCCAATCACAGGCCTATTTAGACATAAGATCCACGGGCATAAAGAGATGTTGCCACTCTTCATACTCTTGAGAATAAGGCCCTTCAAAAATGGGAAGGGTTTTCTTAGGTGCTTGGTAGAAAGGCTTTGTTTAGGATTTAGCTAACTAGTTGTATATATCAGCCCCAAATTTAATCTTCTCCTCTACCCAGCACAATGCCTTGTTAATGGTGAGTTCTTTCAGAAATATTTACTAGATGAGTGAGTCAAGATATTGATCATTTGATGTCTGAATATCAGAACTGCAAGAGACCACTGGGAGATGCAATTCAAACCTCTCCATCTCTTTTTACAATTGAGAAAACATCACTGGGATCATTGGCCAGAACTCAAATCCCTTCCCAATAGGGCAAGGTCACTCCCATTGTCTTCACATTTCAGAGCATTTAGTTGAAGCTATGTCCAAGATAAGAACTCTAAGTTCCTGATTCTTTATAAATTTATCAGTTGTAATGTCCTTTCCCCAAATCACTCTGCCTCTAAGGCAGTAGAATTTTGCCTCTCTTTTTTATTTAGTATTGATACCTGCAATATGCCTGAGAAAGAAATCTAAAGGGACACTTATTGAGACAATAAAGGCACATGCAAGATCATGAAAGAGACAGAGAGGTGGAAAAGATGATGTTTTAAAGATGATGCCCATTGAAAGATGAGCAGAGAAAAGAATGCAGGAGATAATTTCAAGGAAAAAAAAATTTCACTGAGCTAAAAGTGTTCAAGCCTAAGAATACCCCCTCTAAGGGTAAAGTTTCATTCTCACCGATATGACAAACATTTTCCCAACAGAAGAAATTTAACACATTATATAAATACCCCAATACGCAAATGGTGGTAGTAATAATTAGTTTTCTCCCCTTTCATCTCCGTTGTTTCTGCCCACACGCATTTCCTATTTCGAGCTTTGGTGTAACAAATGCATCTTTTAAACTGGAAGCCCACGCCTTGTTTTTGCACAAACACAGGTCTCTTTATCGCCACGTGCAGTCTCTCCAGCTCAGGGAGCCGAACAATGAGGCATTTTCTTCTCTCCCTGGCTGCAGAGCTCTGACAGAATTCATTTAATTTCCATGTAAAGTGTAATCGGCGGATAATAATAGGTCACTCACAGCAATATCATTCTGCTCGCCCTGATCACCCATCATTGTGCTAATTGCGGGATAATGTAATATACAGCCAAGGCACACACATAGAATTAGACTGAGCATTTGTTTTTGTGATGCTATGAACAGGATATAAGAGAGAGTGTCATGTCAGCAAATATCATAGACATAGCCCCAGTCTTCCTAAAATGACTCAGGAAATAAAAGTAAAGATTCTTGTATACAGAGGATCTTTGGTATTCTTGATGTCACCTGCAAAATCCACAGGACTTAGGTGATTTTTCTGGGCACAGCTAGACCACGTAAATGCTCTGTCATCCCTGATGTCCCAGTTTTTTGGCTCCTTGGGACAGAAGCTTAGAGCAGCCAAATGATTGCTTGGGCAGGTGACAATCACCTGCTAATTGGCTGTGCTCATTTTAAAATATTTCAAAAATATTGATCATAAACCTTAGATTCTTCTTTCTAAGCCCAAAGACCCTCAAAGCAGCAGAGGCCTTTTCTGTATAGAATTGCTATCCTGGCCAGGCACGGTGGCTCACGCCTATAATCCCAGCACTTTGGGAGGCCGAGGCAGGCGGATCACGAGGTCAGGAGATCCAGACCATCCTGGCTAACAAGGTGAAACCCCGTCTCTACTAAAAATACAAAAAATTAGCTGGGCAAGGTGGCGGGCGCCTGTAGTCCCAGTTAGTCGGGAGGCTGAGGCAGGAGAATGGCGTGAACCCGGGGGCGGAGCCTGCAGTGAGCCGAGACCGCGCCACTGCACTCCAGCCTGGGCGACAGAGTGAGACTCCATCTAAAAAAAAAAAAATTGCTTTCCTTCCTGTAGAAACCTAAATTTTCCCATGCATGCTGTTTCTTTTTTGTCTCTGTGTTGGCAAAGTCAGGAGCTATCATAGCACATGGGCGCCAAAAAGGTGGGTCCTAAAGATGGCCTAGCCCAACACGTTCATTTAATTTATTTCATGATTTTTTATTCTTGTTACAAAGACAATTCATGTCTATTGTAAGTTATCTGGAAAGAGGGAAGAAAACAGAAGTGAACCCAACCCTCCAGAGAGCCCTGCAGTGCAGAGAATGAAGGTGAAGCCACAGAGAAAAATAATTTTTCTTTCTCAGAGAGGGACACTAGGAGGGGTGGAAGGATGTGTTTGCAAGAGGTTTGAAAACTCATATCTGAGAATAGTGTATGTCCGTCTTAGCAGTCAGCATCCCTCATGGATGTTGTCTAATCCTCATGCGCTGGGTGGGGCCTCCCAGCAACTCTCCTGCCAAGAAGCAAGGCAGCCTACTGGTCAGCACAAAGCTTGGCCAGCTCCAGCGCTTCAAGCCAGATTTTCAGGCTTTGGAAGAAGAGAAGAGCCAGCCCATTCCCTGCTCTCCTTCTCTGGTTTTTTTGGGGTATGTGTGAAGATGGAAATTATGCTCATGACCTGACAGAGACAGAAAGATAGAGAACTTCACAGACGCTAGGAGATGGAATCAGATGAGAAACAGCCTGTATTAATCTGTTTTCACACTGCTATAAAGATACCACCTGAGACTGGGTAATTTATAAAGAAAGGAGGTTTAACTGACTCACTGTTCCGCATGGCTGGGAAAGCCTCAGGAAACTTACATTCATGGTGGAAGACGAAGGGGAAGCAACACACTTCTTACGTGGCAGCAGCAGCGAGCAAGGGATCGAAGGGGAAGTGCCACATTTTTAAACCATCAGTTCTCGTGAGAACTCATTCACTATCACGAGAACAGCGTGGCGGAAACCACTTCCATATTAAAATCACCTCCCACCAGGTGCCTCCCTCGACACGTGAGGATTACAACTTGAGATGAGTTTTGGGTGGAGACACAGAGCCAAACCATACCAAGGTCCAAGGGAGAAAGAACCAGAGAAAGCAGATGGAGCTGAGAGACAAGTGTAGGGGAGAAACAAATACAGCACCAGGAGTGAGAGAGTGAGGAAGGGATAAAGGAACAAGACAGAGGCCCAGAATGGTAGGGAACAGAGAAACAGAGGGAGAGAGGTACAGAGGGAGAGGATAATGGAAGGGAAGAGAGAGAGATGGGCAATGAGGGATGAAAAGAGAAAGAGAAACCCAGAGTGAGACAGAACTAAATGAAACTGACATGAGTGGCGTCTATACAACAGGCTGAGCCCAACGTTGTGGCAGGGGTCTGGAGGGAGGTGAGTGTGAATGTGTGCATGTGCATGTGTTTGTGCATGAGGGGGCGCTGTTGGTGCTAGAAGGAGCCTTAGACAATGCACAGGATTTAAAAGCTTCCTCTGGCTGGGCGCCGTGGCTCACGCCTGTAATCCCAGCACTTTGCGGGGCCCAGGCGGGCGGATCACCTGAGGTCAGGAGTTCCAGACCAGCCTGGCCAATATGGTGAAACCCCGTCTCTACCAAAAATACAAAAATTAGCTGGGCGTGGTGTCAGGTGCCTGTAATCCCAGCTACTCAGGAGGCTGAGGCAGGAGAATTGCTTGAACCTGGGAGGCTGAGTTTGCAGTGAGCCGAGATAGCACCACTGCACTAAGGTCTGGGTGACAGAGCAAGACTCTGTCTCAAAAAAAAAGCTTCCTCTGACTTTTGATTCATACACTCATGTCTACCCCTAGATACTCAGAGCACCTTGATAAGCCTGAAGAGGAGATTGTGTTCTTTATTCTTTCTCTCTTACCTGAAAAGCATTACTTCTTCCCATATTTCAACCATTTCGTCAACAATTTGGTGATTCCCTGGTTCATGACTCTGCACACTGAGAAGCATGAGGTCATTTTGGAGGGGGCTCCAACCAGACCAAATGTGATATGAGCTGAGCAGAGGGAGTGGGGTTTGGTGAGCGGGAAAGCAGTGAACACCCTCTGTTGGTTCAGTTCAGGGGTCAGGCCCAGCTTCCCCAGGGCACTGAGAGCTAACTCAGATTTCCAGCACTGAGGTCACAGATCCAGGAATGGGGACAAAGAGTGCCAAGCCTGAGGCTTCAGGTGAGTGGTCAATGACTCTCCATCCAGGGCGTCAGCCTATAGGTCCATAAGTAGAAACTAGCAGGCATCAGACTGAAGGGACACTGGACCCTGGGCTCAAAGCCCAGGACCGAATTCTAGAAGCCAACATAGCAGGGGGTGGAGGTGAAGAGAAAGCTCTGTTCATGAGCAAAGTGGCCCTAGGGACACTGGATTCTGAGAATAAATGGCAGTGGAGGGTCCCTAAGATGGAACAACAGAGTTACTCAGTAAACGTAGCTAGGCTTCCCCATCCTAGATCACAGTGGCCGACTTGATTCAAAGCATCAGAAGGTGGACAGAGGAAGCAGCTGCTACCCTCCTGCCTGTGAAAGTTGTCTTGAGCTCTGGTCAATGGAAGACTCATTTGTGAAGAATGGAGAGAGAGAGAGGAGACATTGTCCCTGTCCTATAGGTGTGCCCAGTCACAAGGGAGACATGAGAAAACACCCCCCGACACACACACACACACACGCAAACACATCTCCAAACATGCTTATGACTACCATTATGATAATGGAGATACACAAAAAAAAGGAATAACAAATTCTACATCCTTGCTACTCAAAGCATGGTCCACGGACCTGAAGCATCAGCATCACCCGGATGCTTATTCAAAATGCAGTAGCCCAGGCCCTGCCACAGCTATAGAAGTAGGATCTGTGTTTTATCAAGAGCACATGAAGCCTGAAATGCCACACTCCACATGACAGGGGATCAGAGAAGGCTTCTTGGAAGTGTAACACTTCCGTGAGTTGGGTGTTACTTTGTCTTATAAGTAAGGAAAATGATATTTGAAAGACTGGATGGGTAGCCCAAAGCAGCATATCTCTTAAATGACCAAAGCTGGTCTCAAACTCAGGTTTATGACTGAAAATTAAACTTACTAAATCAAAGATCACCACTTATGTCATGGCGGCTATGTGCCAAGCCCAGAGCTAAGTACTTTATTACTCAGTTCTTTGTGTGTTTGGATTCTCACAATAACCATGTAAGATATATTTTCCCCAGTGCACAGAGGAAGTAACAACAGGCTCAAAAAAGGCAGGTGATGTTTCCCAAAGCCACACAGCTAGCAAGGGGCAAAGCTGGGATTCAAATACACAACTGTCTATTCCTGAGTCTGGGCTTGATCTTCGATCTGCTTTATATTGCCCAGGCCTGGTCACTGTGCCCCCCTGCCTCATTTTCTAAAGATGGAAAACCTGCTCTTCCGGTGACATCTATCATTCTGTTCTTCTGTCTGGTCACAGCCAGCCAACTGTGGCCAAGCCTGTGGCCAGCCGGCAAGGACAACAGAAGCCACAAGCTGGGAGCAGGCAGCAGAGAGATCTGTGGCACATGCTGGTCCCTAGCATTGGGCACGAGGGCTCCAGATCAGCACAGCATTTGGAAACCCACTTTAGGGTCAGAACTGGACATTTGTGTGCTTTCTGCCTGAACCATGCACTTAATGTCCTCCCATATCCACAGGCCAGACCCCCTGGAGCTGCCAGCCTGGGAAATGTTAAAGGATGTCAGGTTCCCAGAATGTTTTGAGTTTTCCCAGTAGCAGGATGTCGGGGCTGGGGAGGCACTTCTGTGTGCTCGACTGTTTCTCTCGTTATAGCAAGATGTCTTTCAACTCCCCCTGCCCGGTGTTCTTCTCATGCAAACTCCACGTGGCATTTCCTGTCCTCGCAGCTCTTGCCTCAGATATAGGCAGCCATAGAATCCCTGCCCTTCTACATTCATCTGCAAAGAGCTGACAAAAGGAAAGCAGGTGGACATTCTCTCCACTTTGTTTTTAGACTTACAAACTCCCCCAGCCCATGAATGCATCTGCCTGTAGGAGGGAGCTCTCTGAAATGCAAACCACGTGTACCTAAAGAAAGAAAGCTTGTTGTATTCCATTATAGGAAGGCCAGCAAAACCCAAAAATAAAATCAAATGGAGTGACTCTGAAAATATCCGCAGATCACCATCATGTATCCCTCCGGGACATAACCATTCAGAAGTCTCTGAATCTCAATTCTGATTTTCTGAACTGCCACTGTAAGTCATTCCCCTATTGGGCTCAGCTTGCCTCAGGCAGGCTGGAGGCCCAGGGCCCTGCTCAGGTGCTGCTGCTGAGTGGAGCAGGCTCCTAATAAGGCAGGTGTCAGTCCAGAGAGAAAACATCATTAGCGATTGTTTGTGAAGGAGAAAACATTCACAGGGTGGTTGGGAAGGGAGGTGACTGTCTGCCTAAGGGGACAGTGATCAGGATATAAAACCCTCAACCCACCAGCAGCTGATGGGTATTCAGGAAGCAAGAGCATGCCACCTCTATCCCTTAGAGAGCAAGGAACTCAGGACAACACGTTATCTTGTGAGCTGGGGTTCAGGATCTCCTAATAGGTACAGAAATACTTGACCAAAGTGGTGTTGGTTTGAGTGCGCGCACTAGGGAGGCTTGGTGATTTCCCAGAACATCACCTTGGGAGTAAAAACACAGCATTCAGCTCTACAAATGCTTTTGAGATTAGAGGAGCCCCTCGATGGCTTTGAATTTAAGTGGAGATTGTTCCCCTGGGAGAAATCAGCCACAAATTTGCACAAGCACATGGGCATAATGAAGGCAATTGTTCCAGCAGGGAGGCTTTTATCAAAGAACATGATGTGGAGTTAGAAGTAGAGAAAGGCCCTCCATGGGCATCAGTGGGGTGGACTTCTGGAGCTCCATGGTAAGAGAGGGGGCTGAGAAGACACGAATTCAAAGCTGACAGCTGCCCCTTCTCAAAGTGAGGACTTTGCTCAGGAGGTGGCAGAGGAGAAAGAAAGAGTGTGGGGTTTAGAACCAGGAATCCTAGCTTGAAGAACCCAATCCAACTTGTTTTCACCACCCTTCCCCAGCAGGATAAATGTTTTTGGTTTTTTGTTTCTATAACCAAATCATTATTTACAGGCAACAAAATTTTCCAATTTTAAGTGTGCGGCTCATGGAGGTTTGACAAATGTATTTGCCATGTAACCACCATCCCAGTAAAAATATAGACTATTTTCATCACCCTAGACAGTTCCCTCCACCCTTATCACTCAGTACCCACCTGACCCTACTTATCTTCCAGAGGCAATCACTGTTCTGGATTCTCTCACCACGAGGTAAGTTTTTCTTATTCTAAAACTTCAAATAAATTAAATCATACAGTGTATACTATTTTATGTCCAGCTTCCTTCACCCAACAGAATGCTTTAAAACTTTGTCTCTTCTGTTGTGTATAGTAAAAGTTGGCTTCGTTTTACATTATGTAAATATATCAGGCCAGGTGTAGTGTCTCATGCCTGTAATCCCAGCACTTTGGGAGGCTGAGGCAGAAGGATCACTTGAGGTCAGAAGTTTGAGACCAGCCTGGGCAACATAGTGAGACCATGTCCCTACAAAAAATAAAAAATTAGCTGGGCATGGTGTCATCCTTCTACAGTCCTAGCTGAGGTGGGAGGATTGCTTGAGCCCAGTTGTTCAAGGCTGCAGTGAGCTATGTTCTCGCCACTGCACTTCAACCAGGGTGACAACGAGACTTTGCCTCAAAAAACAACAAAAAGAAAAATATATTTTGTTTACCCATTTACCTGTAGATACACATTGAGGTTGGTAAGAGTTTCTGGCTATTATGAATAAAGCTATTAAGAACATTCTTTTATAAATCTTATTGTAGAAATATACCTGCATTTTACCTGGGTAAATATCTAAAAGTAGTATTTCTGAATCATAGGGTAGATATATTTTTGGCTTTATAAGAAGCTACCAAACTGTTTCTCACTATAGCTGAACTATTTTACATTCCCATCAGCAATGTAAGAAAGTTCCAGAATAATCTACATCCTCACCAACCCTTGGTATTGCCAGTCTCTAATTTTAGCCATTCTGATGTCTGTAAAGTAATATCTCATAGGATTTTGATTTGCACTTCCCTGAAGACTAATTGTAAGATGCATCTTTTCTTATATTTGTTGGCTAATTATATGCCTCCTTTTACAGGTAATCTGTCCTTTTTCCTATTGAGTTATTTGTTTTTTATTACTGAACTTTAGGAGTTCTTTGAATACCCTGAATATTAACCCTTTGCAAATATTTTCCCCTGTCTGTGACTTTATCAATGGTGTTTCTTTTTTTCCAAGAGCAGATTTTAATTTTGCTAAGGCCCAATTTAAGATTTTTTTTATTAGTACCCCTTTAGTCCTAAGAAATTTTCACCTACCTTACAGCATGAAGATATTATTGTATATTTCTTTTAGAAGTTTTATAGTTTTCATTTGTATGCCTGGGTCTATGATGTAGCTCAAATTATTTTTTGTGAATGATGTGAAGTGAGGATTGAGGTACCCCTTTTTTCCATATAGACATTTAGTTTGTCCAACACTTTTCTTGAAGACTTTTCTTTTTCTGTTTAGTTACCTTGGCACCTTTATTGAAATTGGTTGAACATATAAATGTGTATTTGCAGACTCTCCATTCTGTGATAGGGCTTCTAAGGATATCTTTTGTTCCCATATTTGGTCTTTGGCCTTGGTTTCTGACACAGAGCTCCTAAACTCCTTGGAATTCCTCATGATAGGAACATCTTTTGTTCTAATGAGATGACTCTTGATGGGCTCCCAGACGGGGGCTAGTCACTAGAAAACCAAGTCATGCATAGAAGCATTAAACTTTCAGCCTCAGCCCCCATCCCTTCAGGGAAGGAGGAGAAGCTAAAGACTGAGTTAATAACCAATCATGTCTACATAATGAAGCCTCCATAAAAATCCCTAAAGTAAGGGACTTAGAGAGCTTCCAGGTTGGTAAACACATCCATGTACCAGGAGGGGCGATGTACCTCAACTCTATGAGACAGAAGCACCTGCACTGTGGGCCGTTATGGACCTCATCCTGTGTGTCTCTTTACCTGGCTGGTCATCTGCAGCCTTTATGGTATCCTTTATTTTATAATAAACCAGTAAGCATAAGGAAACATTTTCCTGAGTTCTGTGGCTGTTCTAGCAAATGACTGAACATGAAAAGAAGCTCCAGGGAACCACCAATTTTGTAGCCACGTCAGAGAGAAATTGTGGGTCACATAAAGACTTACCACTTGCAATTGGTATCTGAAGTAGGGGGACAGTCTTATGGGACTGAGCCCTTAACTAATGGGATCTATGCTAATTCCAGGTAGACAGTGTGGAAATTGAATTGTAAGACACCTCGTTGGTATCCCAAGAAAATTTGAGAATTGACTGCTGTAGAAAAAAAAAAAAAAACTTCACATTTCTGGTGTCATAAGGGAAGTATTGAAAGTACCATGAGAGTAAAGGAAAAGGTATTTTTTCCTATATATATTGCAGTTAATTACATTCATTGATTTAAGCATGCTAACCCCACCTTGCATACCTGGGATAAATTCCTTCTATATACTTCTGGATTAATTATTCAACATATTTTTAAGAACTTTTGCATTGATAATCATGAAGGATTTTTGAATGTAATTTATTGTCTCCTTGGCAGGTTTTGGTATCAGAGTAAGATTAACCCCATAAAATCGGTCATAAGTGTTCTTTAGTCCTCTATTTTCTGGAGCAGTTTGTGAAACTTGTGTTATTTCTTCTTTAAGCGTTTTATAGAACTTTTCAGAGGGACCATATGAGTCTGGAGTTTTCTTGTCAGTAGGTTTTTTTCCTGAATCAATTTATTTCAAGGATATATTACTATTCATATTTTTTCTTGTGTTAGTTTTAGTATGTTGTCATGTTCAAGAAATTTGCCATTTTGTTTCAGTTGACAAATATATGGACACCAAGTCATAGTTTTGTAATATTTATAGGATCTGAAGTCACTTGTCCTCTATCATTCTGATATTGGCATAAAGCTGTTAGTTTTGCAATATCTGTAGGGCATATAGTGGTGCAGAAGGGTTAACATCAAAGTTCTGACTGCTATCATTTGCTATCATTTCAAGTGTGGCCCTTGGCTGGCATCTGAAAACTTTGATTTTGGAAGGGTCCTTGCCACCCAATCTGATAAGAGTAGTGCGCTAACTACTGCACAAGAAATATGGTTTATGCTGAATACGCACTTTCCTTCTGGGAGTCTGCAATTTTGGTATATGGTGGACAGAGGCTGCCAAAGTGTTCCCAGTAAAAATCCTGGACACAGATCTCTGATAAGGTCATTAGACACTTCATACATGTTGTCACAAGTCACTGTGGGGGAACTAAGCATATCCTGTGTGGTTCCACAGAGAAAGCACGTTTGAAACCTTGCATCTGGTTTCCTCTGGGCTCTGATCCACGTACCTTTTCCTTCTCTGATTTTGCTTTGTTTCCTTTGATCGTGTCTTAGTCCGTTTTGTGCTGCTATAACAGAATACCCAGAATACCACAGACTGGGTAATTTATAAGAAACAGATATTTATTTCTCACAATTCTGGAGGTTGAGAAGTTCACAATCAAGGCACCAGCAGGTTCAGCTGTCTGGTGAGGGCTGCTGTATGCTTTCAAGAAGGCACCTTGTTGCTACATCTTCTGGAGGCAAGAAACACTGTGCCCTCCCATGGCAGAAGGTAGAAAGGTAAGAGAGACAAACTCCCTCCCTCAAGCCCCTTTATAAGGGCACTTAATTCCACTCATAAGAGAAGGACCCCTAATAACATAATTACCTCTTAAAGGTCTTCCCTCAGTACCATCGCATTGGCCATTAAGTTTCAACACCTGAATTTTAGAGGGAACTTCTTCAATCCATAGCATGTTGTAAAAAATCTTAGCCAGGGGTAGTGTGCTGAGTTCTGGGAGTCCTCCTAGCAAATTTTCAACCCTAGGAAGAGCCTGGAGATTACCAACACAGAAGTTATTTTTCTATCATACTGTTATTAGTAATTGATATTTTCTCTCTTCTTTTCTTAGTTGGTCTAGAAATGTTTTTAAAGAAAATACTTTGACCTTGTTGACTTTCTCTGTTGGCCAACATTTATCATTATTAGTTTATTTTCTATACTTTCTGTTAGTTCTGTTTCTATTAGTCTATTTTAATAATTTCTGTTCTTTATTTTTCCCATTTTTACTTATTTTGAGATTAATTTGTTCTTTTACTTGCTTCATATGGTAGAGGTGTAGATCACTGATTTGAAACTTATCATTTTTCTAATATAAGCATTTAAAGTCATACATACATTTCTAAGCATTTCTTTATTTACCTCACAAATTTTTGTATGTTGTGTTTTCATTATCATCCATTTCAAAATCTTTTAACCTCCTGTGTTATTTCTTCAGTTTCCAAATATTTTGGGCTTTTCTGAATATCTTACTGTTATTAATTTCAAATATTGTTCTACTCCTGTCAGAGAAATACTCTGTATGATTCTAACCAGCTGACATTTATTGAGACTTGTTTTAAGAATCAGCAAAAGGCCCATGATTATAAAAGTCCCATATGCACTTAAAGAGGACATGCATCCTGCAATTGTTGGGTATATGTTCTACAAATGTTGTATGATCAAGTTGGTTAACACTATTTTCAAATCTTCTGCATTCTTTCTGTATTTTTATCTACTTGGTTTTGGTTTTTGTTTTTGTTTTGTTTTGTTTTTTGTTTGTTTGTTGTTTGTTTGTTTTGAGACAGGGTCTCACTCTGTCACCCAGGCTGGAGTGCAGTGGCAGGATCTTGACTCACCTCAGCACCCTAAGAAGCTGGGACCACAGGCATGAGCCACCATGCCCGGCTACTTTTTATATTTTTGGTAGAGACAGGGTCTTGCTGTATAAACCAGGCTGGTCTCAAACTCCTGAGCTCAAGCAATCCACCTGCCTCGGCCTCCCAAAGTGCTGTGATTATTGGCGTGAGCCACCGCAGCCGGCCATGTTATCTATTTGTTATATCAACTCTAAATGAACGGTATTAAAATCACTATGTTTGTGCATTTTTCTATTTATGCCTTTACTTTTGTCAACTTTTTCTTTATGTATTTTGGAGTATTGTTATTTATTGCATACATTTAGAATTTCCAGGTATTCTTCAGTAATTGACCATTTAATCATCATGAAATAATGCCCTTTATCAATGGTAATACTCCCTGCCTTGAAATCTACTTTGCCTAATATGCAATATGAGATCTTTCGTATTTATTTTCACACAGGTCATGAGGTTCTGCTCAGCATTTTTTTTAATCTTTTTGCATTTAATTCACTTTTGGCTTTATAGGTAATGTATATCTCTTTTAAAAAAAAGTACTTAATTCTTTATTTATATCCAGTGTGACAACCCCTGCTTTTCGATTGGAATGTTTAGTTCATTAACATTTAATGTAAGTATTAATGTAATTTGGATTAAATATAGCAGCTTGCTATTTGTTGTTTATCTGTGCTTTTAGTTCTTAGTATTTTTACTCCACGTTTCCTGTCTTCTCTTGGGATAATCATGCTGTTGGTTTTTTTGTTTAGTTATTCAACTTATCTCTTCTATGGCTGTTTTGCTTTTATTCCTCTTTTTCAATGGTTGCTCTAATAATAACAGTAAGCATCCTTACTTAACTTGTCTACATCGATACTGAATTGACATTATATCACTTCATATACCACGTTAAGAGCTGTAAATAGCATCTTCTCATCCTCTATTTCTGCAATCATCACATGTTTTACTTTTCCTTTGTTAGAAACCATCATTTTGTTATTATTTGTGCTCTAAACAGTCCATTACATTTTATAACATTTGAGAAATGAAAATATAGCTTTTCATATATACTATTCTTAGTGCTCTTCCCTCCTTTCTTTTGGATTCAAATGTTCACTTGATATCATTTACATTCATCCTGAAGAGCTTTCTTGAGCATTTCTGGTAGTGTGAGTCTGAATACATTTTCTTAGCTTCTGTCTACAGCTTATCTGGCAACTATCTTTATTTTTTCTTCATTTTTAAAAACATACTTTCATTTGATGAAACAATCTATGTGATAGTGTCTTCCCATGCCTTATCCCCTGCCCTGACACTTTAAAATGTCATTCCTTTATCTTCTAATTTTCATTGTTTTCTTTTTTCTTTCTTTTTAATAATAAATATGCTGGTATGCTGTTAGTCTTCTCCAGATTCTCCTGTATATGTCTTTACCCTGCTCTGAATACTTTTAATGCTTTTTCTTTTGCTTTGGTTGATTACACTTTGACTACAATGTGTTCAGGTGTGATTTTCTTTGTATTTGTTCTTCCTGGAGTTTCCTGGGCTTCTTGAGTCTGTAAGTTGATGTTTTTGTTTTATCAAACTTTGTAATAGTTCGGTCAGTATTTCTTCAATTTTTTTTTCTGTGTAATTCTTATTCTCCTCTCCCTCTGGGACTACATTACAGGTTTTTGTTTTGTTTTCCTTTGCATTTCAGTTTTTCTTTCTCTCTCTCTCTGTTCTTATTCAGGATAAGTTCTAATAATGTATCTTTAAATTTATGAATACTTTCTTTTGTCGAACCCAATCTGCTGTTAACTTCATCCAATTAATTTTTTATTTTAGCTATCTTATTTCTTTAAGATATGTATTTGATTCCTTTTTAAGTTTCTATATTTCTTCTAAAATTCTCCATTATTTATTATATCTATTTCTTTAACACTTTTTATGTTGGTTAAAGTAATTACCTGCAATATACAATCTCTGGTCATCTGTGGGTCTGTTTTTTATTGATTCGTTTCTTCAATGAGTCACATTGTCTTTTTTTTTTACATGATTTTTTTTTCTTTTATTTTTCCTTTTTTTTTTTTTTTTTGAGATGGAGTTTTGTTCTTGTTGTCCAGGCTGGATTGCAATGGCATGATCTCGGCTCACTGCAACCTCCGCCTCCTGGGTTCAAGTGATTCTCCTGCCTTAGCCTCCCGAGTAGCTGGGATTACAGGCATGTGCCACCACACCTGGTTCATTTTGTATTTTTAGTAGAGTCAGGGTTTCTCCATGTTGGTCAGCTGGTCTCGAACTCCCAACCTCAGGTAATCCGCCCACCTCAGCCTCCCACAGACGATTTTTTTAATTGTGATTTAAGTATTGTTTTTCATACATTGTAGAGACTCTTTTGTTAATGTATTTGGAATAGTGTTGCTTATTTGTTCTAGACGTTAAATATATTATTCACAGAGCACCTTGATCCTCAAGCACTTAGTTTTAGCCTTTGTTTGAGTATGCTGCTTTTGCAAATGTCTTAGTTCTCAGAAGTAGTCTTTACTTCTAAAGTACGGCCTTTCTAGAAGTCCAGTGAAAAACCACTAAGGTATTTAACAAACCCCTCTCACACAGAGGTATTCTAACTCCAAACTCTTACTTCTCTATGGTGAGCAGCAGATTACAACTCTGCTTAGTTTATTCATCCTTCAAGCTCTTCATATTGCCTTTTAGATCCAGAGTTTCATCCAAACATGCATAGTCTGGGAGTCAGATGAAGATTAGAGAATAATTCAGTCAGTGGGTCCTACGTATCATGGTTTCCCATTCACTGATTCAACCATCTGCAAATCAAAAATATTCAAAAAATTATGGGGCACGGTGGCTTGCGCCTGTAATCCCAGTGCTTTGAGAGGCAGAGACAAGCGGATCACTTGAACCCAGGAGTTCTAGACCAGCCTAGGCAACATAGAGAAACTCCATCTCTACCAAAAAAATATAAAAAATAGCTTAGCCTGGTGGCATTGGCCTGTAATTCCAGCTATTTGGGAAGCTGAGGCAGGAGGATCACTTGAGCCCAGGAGGCAGAGCTTGCAATGAGCCGAGATTACAGCACTGCACTCTAGCCTGGGCAACAGAGTGAGACCCCATCTCAAAAAAATAAAATCAAGAAGTTAATAATAATACCCCCAAAAAATACAAATTAAAAAACCAATACTGTATAACAATTATTTACATTGTATTATTTACATTGTAAAGATGATTTCAAGTATATTGGAGAATATGTGTAGGTTACAAGCAAATACCACATCATTTTATGCAAGCAACTTGAGTATCCACAGATTGTGGCATCTGTCAGGGGAGGTCCTAGAACCAATCTCCTACAGATACAGAGGAATGACTGTATATGGACTTTTGGCTGTAGTTTTTCTGGCTGTACTCTTTCTTAGAATTTTCCTTATCAACATTCCAGAATCTCTGGAAATTCTGACTCCTCAGACCCAAAAGAGGGTGGCCTGAGTTCTAGCTGCTATACTGTGTAACCATTAGAGTATCCTCAAGAGAAAAATAAATGTACATCTCACCCAGTATGGCTCCCTTTTTTCAAGGATCAATTCCTTACTGGTTTATGTCCTCTCTTTGTTACTCTTTGGTTGCTCCTGTTCTTTTTTCTTATATTGTATCCATAATTTTTATTGTTTGCTCTAGGATGATTAGTCCAATGCAAGCTGCACTATTACTTAAATTAGAACTCCTTGAGTAAGCTTTATCTATATTCATTCAAGAAGAGTGTACTAAGCCCCTACCTCACGCCTAGAGCTTGGTTAGATGTTGGAGATGTAGTGGTGAATAAAAATACAAAGGGAGAGAGAGAAAGAATAAAGAAAGAAAGTGATAGTTCCCACCTTTGTGGAACTTACAGTATAATGAGAGACACACACACAACGAAATCACATAAATACATGTATAATGAGAGCATGTGGTTATGAGAGCCTATAACAGGGCAATTTGAACTGATCAAAAAGATCCAGGAAGATATCCCTGAGGAAGTCTTAATGGAACCACCATCTAAAGCTGCTGTTACCACCCAGGAAGTTTTCATGTGATTCTAGAAGCTGAGAACCCTTTCCTGAGACCATGACCATCACCTTGAAATCAGATGACCAGTTAACCATGGATGGTTTATGTCTGTCCTAGCAGAAGTCCAGTGATATGCTAGATACTGTGATGAAAGGATTCATCCTGGATATATCAGCTGTCTGGTAAAGCATTCTCTATAGTAGAGTCCATGAATTAGGGGCGCTGTCATGGGAGTCAGAAGGGAGAAAGGCGGAACAACCAGACACACCAATCCAGTGCAGGGACAGCTGCAAGAGCATCTGGCCACCCCAGCATTTTTGAAAAATTGTGAATGGACTTAAATGTCATGGAAGACACAGGTTCTAAGAACTGCCTTTCTACTGAATTATTTTTAAAAAATAGAAAAGGATTTTTAAAAAGAAAAGTTTCTTTATGGGTTAAAAATTCTGTTGAAAGCAACAGAGCTGTGTGAGAGAGAGAAATCCCAGGATTTTGTTTCCTCTCTGGGAGCCTGGGGAATTCACCACCAGGGAGGGATTCATGTGGAGATCCCCTGGGGGTGGAAGGGAGGGGGCTACCGAGTGAATTTTGGGGTGGGGAAGAGCACTTCCACTTTAAACCATGAAAAGGGAGAGGGCACCCCTCCTTTACTCGTGTTATAGTAACGTTCTTTTATGAAGGTTTATTCGAGTCCTGTCAGTCTGATGGTAATGTTTTCTCCACTTATTCTGTAATTATGAAATAATTATAAATGGATGACACAGATCCTTAGTCCCCCTTTTTCTTTCTATTCAGCGGTAGACATTCTGCCTGAAATTTGTAGTCTAATTAGTCATCTCTTGAAATAATTTGCCTATGGTAGATCTTCCTAGTCTAGTGGAAAATAAAAATTATCAACCTGAATGCATTTATTATTTTAGTATTAATTACATTTTACTTAACAGAGGTTCTTATTCCATGAAGAATATTTTTAAAAATGAAACAGGACAACAGGAGGAAAGACATAGAAATTTGCATAACCTAGTGCCTAAAGTTCACCACCGATAACATTCAGGGTTAGAGCTTAGTGCCCATGAGCAGGTGCATCTGGACAGAAAGCACGACTGAATGTGAACCGACAGTGGCTGGGGTATATGGGCAAGAAATCATGAGGCTGAGGAGGTCTCCTGTGGCCAAAATCACGGATAGCCTTTTTAGGCACGTTAAATATTTTAGAATTTACTCTTAAAGAAATGAAAAGTGGGGCTGGGCACGGTGGCTCATGCTTGTAATCCCAGCACTTTGGGAGGCTGAGGCGGACAGATCACTTTGGGAGGCCGAGGCTGAGGCTGAGGTCAGGAGTTCAAGACCAGCCTGGCCATGATGGTGAGACCCCATCTCTACTAAAAATACAAAAATTAGCTGAGCGTGGTGGCAAGTGCCTGTAATCCCAGCTACTCGGGAGGCTGAGGCAAGAGAATCGCTTGACCCTGGGCAGCAGAGGTTGCCATGAGCCGAGATCCCGCCGCTGCACTCCAGCCTGGGTGACAGAGTGAGACTCTGCAAAACAACAACAAAAAAGAAATGAAAAGACACTGAAGGGTTTAAACAGGAAAAATTCTATAACCAAATTCGTATTTAAAAATCCCTCTCACTGTAGTGTAGAGAACGTTATCTGAATGAGGCAGGGGTTCCTGAGGAGAGGCTATTAGGAAGCTGCTGCTGTCATCCAGATGAGAGGCAGCAACAGGACACTGATGGGAGTGATGGAGAAGGAGAGGAGTCCACAGATAAAGGAGACATTTAGGGAGAGCAAGTGGTGATTGATTGGACACGGGGTGCTTTCCAGGCTTTTATTTTTTTCTTATGCATAAGTTTTTCTTTATCTTAATAATGTGACCTTCTATACACAAATATTTTACCCTGCTTTTTTTGACTCAACAATAAGAGTTTATTTGGTATTACTTACTGTTATTAAATGCTGTGTAATAATTTCTTGAACTTATGCCCATAATTTAATTCCCAGCCTCTCACTGTAGGATGCTAAGGTTGTTCTCCAGGTTTTTCTAATAACATGTAATTCCTTTGGGCATAAATAACTTTCTTTATATTTGATTGTTTCTTGAGAATAAATTCCCAGCACATAATTTAATGGGTTAAGGTATATAATCTTATTAAGATTTTTATGGCAATAAATGGATACATCTATTTTAACATCATAGTTACATCATTTCTTTGGGGGAATGGCCTTATATCAGGCTAGTGATGTTGCGTTATTTTCATCATAGAAGGGACAGTGATTTGTCTTCACTGCAACAGATGTGTATTCTGGATATAGATTAGTCTTTCCTGCCCCCACAACTTATTGTCAGAACCACCATCTATGGACTGACAGAATGTTTTATTCACCACCGTGGAATAACGTGCAACATTGCTTCTGAACATAGGAAACTCATTTTATGGCAAAAGAAATGTGGCAGTTGGCTTTTACTCTGGAATTCAATGACCTCACAATACAGCCCATCCCTAAAAGTATCTAGCACCCTAGACTGATGGAATGGCTTACTGAGGACCCAGTGATAGGGCCTATTAGGAAAAAACATTCTGAAAAGTTTGAGGTTATATTTTTAAATGTGCGGTATATGCTTTAAATAAGCAACTAATATATGGTGCTATTTCTCCCACAGGATATATGGGCCTGGGAACAAATCTTTACTATTGTACCCATTAACAGAGTATTTGTTCGCTGTCTCTACAACTTGGAACTGTCCTGATTTGAAAGTTTAAGTTGTCAATGGAGAAATATTTTCACCAGGGGACACAATGATTGTCCCACTGAATTGACAGTTGCAGAGGCCATTTCAGGCTTGTCACATCACTAAACCCTTGGGAGGAAACAAGTTACCATCCTAGCTAGATGATTGATCTTGATCATCAATAGGAAATTTGAGTTCTCCTCAATAGGAAATAGGTCAGGAAGGACTAGATTTGGAACCTGGAGGATTCTCTTGGGGAAATTTTAGCATTCCCATGTGCAATAGTAACAGTGAATGGGAAGTTGCAGCAACCAAGATAGAAAGCAAAACAACCAAGGATTTACACCATATAGGAATGAAGATTGGGGCTGCCTACCTGGTAAAGAACATTGATTAGTGGAGATCATGGATAAGGGGAAAGTGAACATGGATCCAACTGTAAAGGAAAGTAGTTATAAATAGCAACCATGGCCTAATGAGCAGCTACATAAGTAAAGACTGAAATACATGCATACATGCACATGTGCACATGCGCACACATACAGAGCTTTTTATTTCACTTCTGTTCATCCTTATTATTATTTTATAAGGCATATTAGCAGTGGTTCAGAGCACATGTGGTATCCAGTTCACTGGTTATATTTAAAGAAAAATGTTCTTAAATAGTTTCACCGTGTATACCAAGGCAGAATAAATAAAATGGAAAAGTTCAGAGGATATGCACAGAGTTAAGGGGATATACTGCCTTCTGGAAGAATCGGCACAGTGCAGAAAAAGTATCCCTGTCTTGAATGGCCAATGGAGAACAGATTCCAGCTTAATATAAGAAATAGCTTTCTTAACAGCACTACGCAGAAATAAAATGGGTCTCACCATTAATGTAATAGGCTCCCTATCACTGGGAACCTAAATAATGTTCAAGGGGATTGATGCATTAAGCACAAGACTGCAAAGTCAAACAGGATATTGTTGTTGTTTTACATTTAAGGAAAATAATTATCAGAGAGGTGATGTGATTTGTCCAATATCACACAGCTAACAGTGAAGCTGGATAACTCCTTCTAATACCAAGATGTTGTTTTACTGTCTATTTGCTGATAACCAAAGAGGAGGACCGTGAGGAAAATTAGGGTTTGATTTTTTCTTTTTCCTTTCTCTCCATAAGAATTTTAGCTCTTCTGGGGAGTTGATGAGTTCCTTTCAGGGATTAGGAAGCTTATGTTGGGCATACTTTGATATATATCCAAAATACATCATTAATTATTTACTTCATTAACCTCTAGAAATTTCTAGAAAACTGGCATATCATTAACAAAACCCAAAGTCAATAACTTTTGTCAATATATCGCTTACACTCTCCTCACCTATTCAGCCACACACGGTACACATGTACACAGTACATGCCCCCCCAACACAGACACACAGTCACTCACACATCAAATACTATTTTCATTAACACGTGTGTTTGAATTAAAACATTTTTTCTCTAGTATTGTGAATACTGGAATACTGATGAATTTTGGAAAACGAAAGATGGCTAAACTATCTAGATACTCAGATATTTCTGTGCACAAAAATGGGTCTAGTTCTCCAGTCAATCCAAGGACATGGAAAGATTGTACTTCCCTGCACCTTTGAAGTACAATGTGGGCCGGGCACGGTGGCTCACGCCTGTAATCCCAGCACTTTGGGAGGCCGAGGCAGGTGGATCACGAGGTCAAGAGATCGAGACCATCCTGGCTGACAAGGTGAAACCCTGTCTCTACTAAAAATAGAAAAAAATTAGCCAGGTGTGGTGGCGGGCGCCTGTAGTCCCAGCTACTCGGGAGGCTGAGGCAGGAGAATGGCGTGAACCCGGGAGGTGGAGCTTGCAGTGAGCCGAGATCGTGCCACTGCACTCCAGCCTGGGCGACAGAGCAAGACTCCATCTCAAAAGAAAAAGAAAAAGAAAAAGAAGTACAATGTGGCCATGCAACTTATTTTATCTAATGAAATGTAACTAAATGTCCAAGTCACCCTGAAGCCTGATATTGAGATGTTGATATCATAAGTTAGTGGCGCCTCCATCAGATTGGATCCTTGCAGGACTACAGAGAACAGAGGACCCTCTCAAACTTGACTGGCCATGTAGCATGCACAAGAAATAATTATTTGTTGTTTTATGTCCCTGAGAAGCTCCATTTGGTTGTTACTGTCTGAGAATCTAACCTATTGTGAGTGGTAGACATGCCGACCAAAC
This sequence comes from Homo sapiens, assembly GCF_000001405.40. Classification (NCBI taxonomy): domain Eukaryota; kingdom Metazoa; phylum Chordata; class Mammalia; order Primates; family Hominidae; genus Homo; species Homo sapiens. The sequence continues at coordinate 65,594,303 of NC_000016.10, forward strand.
CCTATGTTAGAGATTGAAAGTACAAAGCATCTCTATAAGACAGACCTTATTATTTTCATTTTACAAGTGAGGAATTTGAGGTTTAGTCATCACTAACATGCCCCAAGTCACACAGTAAGTTAGAGCGGAAAGAGGTGAATGAGACAGTAATCCATGTTTCTAAGGAAAGACAAGTCTTTGTGTTTGATGCTGGAAATAATCAATTGTTTTCTCCAAAGGGCAACTTTGGGCTTTCCACAGGCTTGGAAAGCTCCCTTCCCTTACTAATTTATCTTAGGGCTTGCTTTGTCCATAACATCCCTAAGATTGGGCTCCTGGCTGAGGTCAGATGAGAATGACTATGGTGGAGACAGAGGGCTGGGGAGGAGTTATCTTCAAATAGATAAGAAATACATTCACAATAAAGATAATTTCTGGAAAACAAGACACAGAGGAAGCTGCAAATATATCCCAGTGGACTGCAGCTACTTCTAACCTGTCTGAATTGTAGGGGATAAAACAACATCGCAGGAGTGGATGAGCTCACGTGGGTGAGTGTACAACACTAGGAAAGGAAAGATTGATGAGTCTCTTCCCAATTCACCAGAATTGATACCTTAAATTTAGACAATATTCTTCAACTTTATTCTAAATTCAATATAGAGTTTCTGTTTACTAACTTGCCTACCAAATGGCCTTTGGAACATAATGTAAATTCTTGCTTCATTAATATATATGTCACCTGATGTTTACTTGCTTATACATTGATAATTGTTCTTCAGAATTGCTTTTCAGGTTTTACATTTTTTCAAAAGAAAGCATCACATCTATCTAAATGCATGTATCTAGTAATTCATATTAATTCTTGTGATGACATTTAGACTAAATTTAAGGTATCAATTTAGAATAAATTTAAGGTATCAATTCTGGTGAATTGGGAAGAGCCTCATCATAATATTGTAAGTTACAACCAAAGTGTTATGCCTATTATGTAAATCGTCCAATAAAGAATGACAAACATATTTATCACAGAAAGTTTACAAATTTTCAAGCTGACTGACCCATTAAAGCCTGTTCCTTACTTGACCTACAAAGATTTACACAAGATGATGGAGGTGCTTGCTTCTGAACATAGAAAACTAGAAACAAAAGATGTCCAACTTCTTCGTCCTCTTAACAATGTTGTCTCATCTATAAAAACAAATCAACAAACAAACTGTCCCTTTACCTGGAATGTTCTCCAACAGATGATGGAGACATATGGTTCCTAAAGATACATTGATTTCTAAAAGTGAACTATATAAACTTGCTGTTTTACATATTAGAAAAATAACCTTAAAAAAGGCAAAATAGTTCACCTGGCCAATAGCTTGAAGTAGGGCAGAAGAAGGAAGCCCTCTGCTCTCCTTTGGCCCTGCCTGTAGCCATCCACCTGGTCCCATCTGAGGTGCCACCATACCTGTCCTCAGTGCGCTCTTCTCTTTCTCCACTTCCTTGCCTGCATCTTGGCCATTTCTTTCACTTAGGACATTACAACAGCCCCATACTGGTCTTCCTGCCTCTGGTCTCTTCCCACCTCCCATTGTGTTTCCAATAAATGACAAAATGATTTTTCAAAATACCATTTGGGTCACATCACCATCCTAATTTTAATCTCTTCCATGGTTCACTGTAACCCTCAGATGAAATCAAACATCTCTTGGCTGAGAACGCCCTTCCTGATCAGGTGTGTCTCTACCTTTTTTGTCTTATTTCCTGGAACATGCTCATAAACACCTTTCCCTTTAATTCTATGGAATTACATGAAGTTTCCTCAGCCCACCCTTTGTTTCCCTCCAAACTCCTATTCACTCTTCAAAATCCATACCAGGCATTTTCTTTTCCAAGAAGCTTCCCTTGACATCTTATCCCATCTATCCTGGTTAGGACATATTTGATACTTTGTTTTGATTCACTGTTGACTTGACCTTCACCAATAGTAAATTTTGAAGTCATTGAGATCAGGAAATTCATGTTCTTAACTTTATATCACAGGATATAATATTAATATATTATATCACATAAATGCCTGTCACATAAATGCAGGGAGTGGGCTGGGGGAAGAATAAAGGAAAGAAGGAGAGAAAGGAAAATAGGAAGTAAAGAATAGACTGACTCTCATGTTCACTATCCCTTGATCCAGAGTTCTTCCTCCCACTTCATGGTCATTTCTGCAAATATCAATAAGTAAGATAAAAAAACAAGTGGCCATGTTGGTTTTTTAATAGTTAATGAAAATAATATTCTCACATTATTTTCTTCAAGTTCAATAAGAATATTTAATATGGAAATTTATATGGTTTGGCTGTGTCCCCACCCAAATCTCATCTTGAATTCCCATGCATTATGGGAGGAACCTGGTGGGAGGTGATTGAATCATGGGGCCACGTCTTTCCCATGCTGTTCTTGTGATAGTGAATAGGCCTTGTGAGATCTGATGGTTTTAAAAATGGGAGTTTCCCTACACAAGCTCTCTTCTCTCGTCTGCCACCATGTGAGACGTGCCTTTCACCATCTACCATGATTGCGAGGTCTCCCCAGTGGAACTGTAAGTCTAATAAACCTTCCTTTTGTAAATTGCTCAGTCTTTATCATCAGCATGAAAACAGACTAATACAGAAGTAATAGAATTTCTATAGTTAGTAGCTATTGTAGAGGTATTGACAAGCTCAGAAACTGGTGTTTGCATCTGGATGTTGATATGCTTTGTCTATGAGATTTGGCCACCCAAATCTCATCTTGAAATGTAGCTCCCATAATTTCTATGTGTTATTCTTTTGTTTGTCCATTCAATTAATCATTTAGTAAACATTAAGCTCCTACACTGTACCTGTGGGAGGTAACTGCATCTTGGGGGTGCAGTTTTTCCAATACTGTTCTCATAATAGTAAATAAGTCTCACGAGATCGGATGATTTTGTAAAGGGGAGTTCCCCTACACAAGCTCTCTTGCCTGCTGCCATGTAAGACATGACTTTGCACCTCCTTTGCCTTCCACCATGATTGTGAGACCTCCTCAGCCATGTGGAACTGTGAGTCAATTAAATCTCTTTTTTTTCTAAATTACCTAGTCTCGTGTATGTCTTTATTAGCAGTGTGAGAACAGACTAATACAGAAGTTAAAATAAGATGATCATAAAAATGACAACAAAATAGTTTGTTATAAAGTTACACAATTTTTAAATGGCATTCATGTGCAATATTTCATCTGATATCCCAAGATACCCAGAACACTATACTGAGTGTAATTAAAAGTATTACTTTTATCATACTATAGAAGAAGAATTGGAGGTTCAGAGAGGAAGTGATTCCTCAAGTGCACCTTGCAGATCATTGGCAGAACAGGTGCCCATATGCAAACCCCTGAACCTCTCATCATTAAACTTCACTTTCCACACACCCTGTTGAGCTATTTTGCTTTAAATAAAAGGTCAAGGAAATTTCCTTGGAATTAGATGTTTCCTTGGGCTTGACTGCCCTTTGTTTAGGATTTTATATTCTGCTTTCTATACAAGTTGTTACAACTCAGCACTTACCCAGTAACCTTCTCCAAGGGAAAAAATAGCAATAATTTATTTGGCTTATATTTTTTCTAAGATCTCAAAATTACTGTTTTGCAAATATCTTCCCTGAATTTTAGAGTGTATAAAACAAGAGTATATAAAATGGAAAGAAAGCCATTGGCCCTATGAAGTCAAGGACTCTTTCCATAATAATAAAAAAATTTAAATAAAAATTTGATCATAACTTAAATTCATGGAAGAATATTTGCATTAGAATGGGTGATTTATGTTAAAATATTTCAATATCCCCTGGGCCTAAAGGCAACAAAATTATTCTTTTGTTTGTCCATTCAATTAATCATTTAGTAAACATTAAGCTCCTACACTGTACCAGGCAGGCATTTTTTTTATATAGGACTTACTTATTTATAAGCTCAAAATCACAGATGTGGGGAGCATTGTACATCCTGTTGAATCTCTCTTCCCTCTTCTTTCACAGTTTCATTCTTGAATTCTCTATTTCCATGCCAGGAGACTCTTGTACTTAGGTTTGAATTGATCTATTGATAAGAATCTCATTACTTCTAGGGGTTCCTGAAGTTTACTAGGTTGCTATATCCACTGGTCAGTTTTCCGGGGCAAATGGACAATTCTCTCCCCAACAGAGCATGACAGAAACATGGAAGGACAACTCATTAGACAACTTTGTAAAGCTTCCCGCTGGTACTGCATTGGACTGGCAGTTCCTAGTCTGGATTCAGACAAAAGAGACTCAACCACAATTAAATAGTCACAGAAATTCCTTATGGGCTTCTGCCTGTGCACATTCAGAAGGACACTAATTAGGTGGGGACCCCTTCCATGCCAAGCTCCCCAGGCCTAGGGTTGGGGTGGGGGCTGGCTACATTGGAGGATTCTTCTCTGACTAGCAGCGGTGTTTGACCTCCTCATTGAGTCCCTAAATTGTGTTTGCCCCGCTAATAAAGCCCTAATGGTGGGAGCTGACAGACTGCCTGCCTTTCCCTATCCAGGGGACTCCACTTTCCCCCACTGTGGGTTGCAGGGCATGAATGACCCCTTTGTCTTCATTTCAAATGTTTTGGCAGGGCTTCTAAAAACAGTGGTGAATGAAAAACCACATGGTTCTAATTGTTTTCTCTGGGATCAGACTGATTTCCTTAGGCCATCCACCACGTACACACAGTGCCTCGAGATCAACACTGCCCATAGACTTTCCAGCTAAAACCCCAAACTGTGATTTTTAAGAAGTACCAAAATATATGCAATCGTTCTAAGAAAGAACATTTTCTCTACCCAACTCTAGCAATCGTCCAGGTGAAAACATCAGGGTGTGATTTCCTTTCCAATTAAAAGATACACTGAGCCAAGACAAGCCACCTGTTTATATCAAGGAAGGTACTAAAACCTTCAGGGGAGGGCTGCAATTTCTTGAATGAAGGAACAAATGAATAAACAATACATGGAGAAGAAGGAAAGGGGGTGGAGGAAAGTGTTCAACCCTAAACTGTGCAAATACTGGTTTGATGTTCACTTTGTCCCAGGCACTAGGTTAGGATTTTTCAACTATTAACAGTTTGGATCAGATAATTATTTGTGTAGGGAGGGTCTTTCCTCTGCATTGTGGGGTGTTTAATAGCATCTCTGCCTCTACCACTAGATGCCAGTACCAACACCCCACCCCCAGCTATGACAATCAAATATGTGTCAGATCTTGCCAAATGTCCACTGTGTGTTGGGGGTGAGATGGGGAGCCGGGGGAAGGGGCAGAATTCATCCCCATTTGAGAGTTACTGAACTAGATAATTCAAAAACACAAGAATTGCAGAAACACTAAGTGAGAGTTGGCTCAAGAGTCGGCAGCTGGGTAGGAATCCCATCTTTGCCTCTTACTAACTCTGTGACTTTGGGCTTAATACCCATCCTCCCTAAACCTTCAAATCTACTCCATAAAGTCTAGAGGATTAAATGAGAGGCCCCATGTAAAGTGCTTAGTACAGAGCCAGATACCCAGTGAGCTGGGCACACAATCAACGTTAACTGGCATCAACATCATCCTCATGGTATTTCTGCAACTTGACACAACAGCAGTCCTCTTCTCTGAGCATAACAGCAGTCCTCTTCTCATGCATCTGCTGAGCCCATTGGGTGCTGTTATGTCCACCATCAATTCTAGAGTTTCCAGCCTCCACATTTCAGGCCCAAGAACAGCGGGAAATGAGGACTCTGGCATCACCCATGACCCCTTGACTCCCTCCTGGGGTACACACATGCCAGGGGTTGAGAAAGAAAGATGTTTCCCATGGAAGAAAAGGCTGCTGACATTTTCACAAGCACATTTGACAGGGCTTTGACCAGCCAGGGCCAAAGGTCGGATTCCTGGCTTTCACATTTGCCTTTCTCCAAAAGGAAAAGAAAGCCCCATGGTGCTAACGGATATCTTCGGCCTCTGGTTACAGCCTGGGATGAATGAGCTGCCCCAGCAACCTGGTTTTTGCAAAGGTTCCCACACATCACATGGTCAGTCACTTCCACCAACAGTCCCCCAATCAGCCTGACCCAAGATCCAGACCTGCTTCTCTTCAGCCTGTAGCCACTCCATCTGCTTTCCATCAGCTCCTCTCCATCCTCACCTTTGTGTTCTGTTTAAGTCTCTCTCTGGCTCCCTGGATTGGAGATTTGAAGCACCGTCCTCTCTACCTCTTATCTCCAGGGCATCCTCCAAACCACCAAGTCATATTATTTTTCTAAACTGCAACTGTGACTGTCACTCCCTTGTTTAAAAACTTTCAGTAGCTCACCATTTCTTTTGAACTAAAGTCTTCAGTTAGCTATACAAGCACCTGAATGCCCATGCCTACCTCCCTTCATCTCTCAAGAAGTGCTTCCCTTCTCACTCCCACTTACTGCCTGAACAGCAGGTAAACCAAGCCCCATGCCATTCCCTGAAAATGTCCTACTCCTTTTCCAAGCTGATTCATTCCCTCAGCAGTACAGATAGAGTGCAGGGCCAATGACATCATCAAGAACTAACTGAAGTATTTAAGGCCGGAAAACACAGATGTATTGGATAATATATTTGAGAAGAAAACTGTGAAATCAAAATGAATAAACATTTCATTAAACAGTCACAAAACAATACGCTCTAACTAGTCAACTGTAATTCAACTCGTGATGCTATATAAATATAATAAACATTAAATTAAATAATATAAATTGTTTTGACACAATTGAAACTTAAAATTTTAATGTGAGATGTGCTATGTATGTATTTATATTCGGTTTAAAATGAGATGGGGCTTCAAGATGAAGAGGTTTTAAGTGTTTCTTGCAATCCTGGATCTTTGAGCACATTCTTTCTCTGTAGCATGTGTTTTCCAGTCTCTCCATCTGGAAAACTGTTTCTAATTCTTCAAAATTAACTTAGATGTTGCCTCCTGTAAGCAGCTTCTCTGAGGTCTGTTCCACATGGCCAGCCTTCTCTCTGTGGTCTCTGTGCTCCATCTCAACACCTCTCATACTATGTCAGTCTGTATCTCTCACCAGACTTTGGGGGTTAATGATGGAGAAGACTGTGTCTTATTCACCTTAAAACAGCTCCCTACTGCCTGGAACTTAGCATAAAATGAATAATTGATTACTGATGACAATAACCACTACAACAATTACAATGTTGTAATTTGGGCACCCTCCAATGGCAGACCAACCAAGAACCTCAAGAGAGAAGTGTACTTTCTTACTTTGCTGTGGCCACATTAGGGTACCCTCTGCTCTGAGTGTGGGTCAGGTCATGGCATGACAGGCTAGCCATTAGCTGGACAGGTGAGTCATCGATCATCAGAATGACCACCTTTCCTTCTCCAGACCACCACATGGAAATAAATGAGACAGGCCTGTCTCGGAATGGAAATAAATGAGACAGGCCTGTCTCAGACATGGCTGCTCTCAACAACTAGTACCTCCAGGACCTGACATAACCAACAAAGCAAGATTCCGAGGGGTTCCTCGGGCTTGGAACAAGGAACCAGTTATACTAGGGTCTCAGTGCAAATGAATGGCTTTTGTGGCTGAAGAAAAGTGGAAGGTGAAACGCTGAGCACTTCAGACATTCTATGTCCACCATGGCAAGCATTCTTGGCTACAGTCCCTAAGGGGACCACAAAAATTTCACAACATGCTGTTTATTTCTTCTCTTTCAGGGATTCTTGGGGGTGGGGTAGGAGGCAGAAGAAGCATGTTTTTGGTTCATGAACCAGATGCTTTATTTATCATTGCTCAGAAAAACTGAGGGAAACAAAAAGAATCAGGGTAGTAAGGGGAAAATTACCTTTGGTGTGAGCCAGGCTTGGGTTGGAATCCTAGCTCTGCCACTTATAAGTGGTGCGATTTGAGGAAATATCATGTAACTTCGCTGAGCCTCAATTTCCTCTTTCATTAACTGGCTGTAACACATACCTTGAAGATTTGATATGATTTCTGCAGTTCATACATTTAATGGCAACCATGAGAACATCTTCATCATTCATGTTCAATAGTCAGTGCTGTTGTAGATCATATGTTGTAGGTTACATGGGTGATCATATGTTCATGTCATATGTAGATCATGTGTTGTAGATCATATGTGTGAGAGTGATCCTGGCCCCATCACCACCACCACTACCCCTATGTCCCTCATTCCTTCCCCTATAATTGATTTTCCATCTTTGGAAGCAAAATAATAAGAGAAAATAGGGCATTCCTGAGGAAGCCTGTTCTTAGAGTCCCTGCTTTGAAGCACACCATGGCAATGGGCCACACTGCAAATTTGGGGAATAAATTTCATTTTGAGTCTTCCACCAGTTGTCTGAAGACAACAACCACTCATGCAAGAAAGGCTTCCAGAGAGAGTGGGACATCAGGGAGAGCCCTGGAGTAGTAGTTTAGTTACAATTTCAAATGTACCATCTACCCATTGGAATATTGCTATTATTGGGAAATAATAGCAATAGTGTGTTGGTACAGTTTTAGAGAGTTGCACTATTTACAAAGTGCTTTAACGAACAGCACAGAAAGTGACTTTAACAGGTGTAGCACTTGGCCTCGAGGTATACCAGTTGTATTGGCCTATGGAATTCCACTTTAACTTTTTAGTAACTTGAAGAGGAGTGGTGGCATCTATCATTATCCTTGTTTTATGTATGGGGAATTTTAACCACAGAGAGTTTAAGTGATGAGGTCACACAGCCAATAAAATCACTGAGTGAGGATTTGAACCCCAAGATCTGGTTGATTTCAAAATTGATATTCTACCCCCAAAGGACTCCCTTAGCCTTAGAAGTATGGTTATCAGAGATAGTAAATAAAAATGCATAATACCCAGTAAAATTTGCATTTCAGATAAGCAACAAATAATTTTACTATCAGTACTCCCCGTATATTTTTAGCATAAGTATAGCCCAAATATCACTTATACTTTTAAAATATCTATCTATCTTAAATGTTAATTTAACTAGCCATCTTGCATTTTATCTGACAACCCTTCTTAGGAAGTTCGTGTCACATGAGCACGTAAGAGGTGGTATGTCAGGGCTTTTCCAGAGACACCTGAGGTGGTGCTCGTGGAAATGTGCCATTCATAAATGTAAGCATTCTCTTTACTATTGAAAGATTTTTAGAGAAACATAGGCAAAGGAAAGCTCCAGAGATGATTTAGGATGTGTTTTCTACATGAATATGATATGGGTCTAGGTGTGCAGAGTGAGAAATCCAAATCAAAATTGACAGCAGGCAGACAACCTCGACTGGGTAAACTCAGGGTCACTAAGCCAATTTCACCCTGAACTCTCACAGGTCTCACTTGGAAGCCATAGCAAGTTGCTGACCTAGAAGCTGATGTTTACTGAAACCCACCTGTAGGGCAGCACCGTGCTGGCACTTTATGGCATCTCATTCCGTCTCCTGGCATTGCTGTGAGGTGGGCATGATCACCTCACTTACTGAGTGAGAGATTGGGATGGAGAAGTCAAGGCCATGGCTCATTACTGGTAGAGCTGACTTTGACACAGGTCTGTTTGAACCCTATCTACACGCAGCATCATATATATGGTTCATGGAAAGCCAGGGAGCCACAGTCTGATGCCTGAGATTTTGTAGGTATATATTGAGTGTCCCAAGTAACACAGTTTAAATTGTTCCTTCTACAGTCATTCTACCTGAATAGTCTCCTGTCTACTCATCTGCACCTTTTTTGACTCATCACTCAAGGCCCATGTCATCCCTCTCTGACATTTCTGCAAATTTTTGGACCATTGATGCTTTCCATAATACATGAACCCCTCCTCTACACCTCAAATCACTCTCTGGCTTGGCTTCCAATGGCCTTCAGATTTGACCTCTTACTGCAGGAACTGGGCACTTCATCTCCCATTGTGTGCACAATGCCTGCTACCACTCTTACAGAGTGGTATGCCACATAGCACAGTGGCTAAGAACACAGTCCATGGCTCCACCACTAACTGTGAAGGCTTGGATAAATTACATAGCACTACATGTCTTGGTTTCCTTGTCTTTAGATACAGATAATAATAACACCTACCTTAAGGGGTTGTTGTAAGGATGGATTGAATTAATGTTCATAAGTCACTTAGGACAGTGCTTGGCACACAGGAAATGTATCATTCATTTTATGTTATTACTATTACTAATGATGAGATCTATCATGATTTGAACTTTTCATAGGTGTTGAGCACGGAGCTGAACAGCTCACATGCTATTCTCACAACAACCCCGAAGGCAGATACAACTGCCATTCACACAGTTAGTAAATCATAGTGAAGAGGCAAAACTCATCTGAACATGGAGCCTATACTTTCAATCCCAGCTCTTCTGTTCTCTCATATTTCTCTCTCAATCTCTTATAGATTCTTGAAGGTGCTTCAAAATCATGGCTGACTTGAACTACATATTTTCTCTATCAACACATAAAGAGACATAAACATTTTTGCCTCCCCAGAATCGAATGCTCCCAAATCAAAGCCTTCTTTGTGTATATGAGCAAGGAGATGAAATTGAACAGCAGGGGGTTAATAAGAGCAGTCAAGTATGGGCTTACAGGTTAGCCAGCCTAATCTACAACCTGAGAGCTACCTTTGTCGCACAATGACGTCACAGCTCCAGGTCTCAGATTCCTTCTTGAACCATAAAAATATCAATCTTTTCTTTCTTTTATTCTTTAAAATAATACATCTTAAAAAGTTAAAATATTATTTAACTAACCCCAGGTTGGGGCAGGTGTTGGGGATAAAAATCAAAGCACATCTTTATGGATGTGGACCATGCAATGTAGCACCTATCAATGCCCGCATCCCAGGTGGCCCTCGGAGCACATTGCACCCAGCAAATCACTGATCTCGAGCAAACCACCCTTCCGATGACTGTGTAGTCACTAGAGATGTCTGCCTCCACCTCCAGCCTGTCAAAGACCTCAGAGAGATAACTTTGTTAATGAATAGGAAGGAACCCTTTCTAAAACCCCTGAGTGGAATATGTCTTGTCTATAGATGAACAAATGAAATGAAACACTCCAGTCTGGGACCCACAGTGACAGCTTCAAAAAGATATTAAATCTTCACAGACCAACCAAGAGAAAATCAAAGTTTATGGAAAATTTCACATGGCATTGGTAGATAAGACATGTGATGTAGAATCCATCTCAGGATACATCCAAGGATACCATGTGATAACTGTTTGTCTGTGGGCAAGCTTCTCAACTCCCCTGAACCTTCATGTCCACATCTATGAGTTTGTGAAAGTTGTCCTTCAAATTGGTATGGGCTCGAAATGAAGTCACAGATGTCAAAGCACCTGGTATGTCTAATTCCTACTAATCATATTATTTTATAAGAGCACGATTTCCCAAACTAATCATATTATTTTGTAAGGGCACGATTTCCCAAGTGTCAATTTTACCTTTATTCATAGCACACATATTTCTGATTTGGGAAAATAATAATGTTTTTATCAAACCAGTAACTACTGTGACCATTGAAATTCAAAGAGTCTCATCCCTTGCTATTTAATGGCACTGATTTGCTGGGTTTTCCCTTCTCATCCACCCAGAGTTCAGTTATCTGAGTGAAAAGACCAAACTAGAGCTATAAAAATATCATTACATTGCTGCAGCAAGTTCTCAAACTCAGACAGTTATAACCTGATGCAGGGCATTCCAATTTTAACTATCTACTGCTGTTTTTATTTCATAAAGACACTAAAAACATCCTGCACTGCTTTTATACACATCACTACTTTTATGGCTTTTGTGTCATAACAAAAGGCAGTTCATTGGAAGCTAAGGATTTTTTTTTCCAGCAGAATAAATAGCCAACTTGGAATAAGACATTTCTGTCTAGTCTCTCTGCCTTCTAACTCAGGCCCATTCAATCAGTCCACATTCCTCCATGCTGCCAAACTGTGCTTCCCAAAAAGTGATTTATAAGATATTGCCCTACTCTACCTTCAAAGGCCCCCAATTACCTTGATTGGAAGGCCCTACATCCTTAGCCTGGCATTTAAACATGCCTGATATCTAGCCTCACAAAGAAGCCACCTAAAACACAAAAAAACACTGAGTTTGTGGTTTACCTTCTTGATTTTATGTACAATAAGCTGCCTCCACAATTTCTGGTAAGCCCCTCTGCCTTACTTCTTTCCATAAGTTTAATTCCTACTTATTAATAAAAACTTAGATTTCTACATAATTTTTCTAGGAAGTTTTCCCTGGGATTTCTCCCTTTCCTCATCGTTAGCAGAACACTGCTTCCTCTCTTATTTCAACACAACAATACTCTGCCCAGTCACATGGCTTTCACTGTTGCCTTATCACCTCTCCACAACTAAATCCAAATTTCCCTTCGATTCGATTCTTTATCCTGTACTGTGACTACGGGGAATGCCAGGTAATGATGCATAAGAAAAGGAACAATTCTAAGAGGAAACTAAGCAGATTCCTTAATTTACCAAGGGTAAGTGACCTAGCCACAGTCACATGAAGTTCATGGCAGATTATCTGGAACTCACTACAGTGCACTTTCCAGAAATGAGGGAGGGAGTGCAAGAGGAAGAGGCGGAGGGATGGATGGTTGGATACACACATGCATGCATTCTAAGGGAATATCTGTCAAACTCTTGACTCAAGGAGAAGAGGATGCCTTCCTCTGAAGAGAGAATAAATAAAACACTCTGATGAACAGGAAGATGACACCTCTGTGTCTAGTTAGTAGAGTTGGAAGTTCCTCTCTAGCCCCAACCAGATTCAGCAAAAGATAACCCACTGAGATATTGGTGGCAGAGCAGCCAAGCAGGTGCTATGGGAAAGACTGTAGGTTTGTGGGCAACACTAGAACTAACCGGTATAAAGTGATGCTTTTAATCAAGGACCTGGACTCTCCCACATGTCTTCTTCCCTAGCTAATGTTTTCCCTCCCACTTCAAGGTCTTGACTATTCAGATCCCCAAACCCCTTCATTAATACAGTCAGCTCCAAGCACTGAGATGTGATTAGTGATTTATACTATGTTGTGGCCATTAGCTACTAATGTACACAGCTCTGGAGCATCTCAGAAAAGGACCCATCTAGGCATTTCTCACATGGACAGATCACCTAGTAGGTGACTAGACAGACTCTGATAATAAATATCTAGGAAGCCTTTGTAATGTTCAGACAATTCTGATTCCTATAAAGTTCCTTGTCTAGTAAGTTCAGTTGCTTCACCCAGTCTGTGTCAGCAAACAGCTGTTGATGTTGGACAGTGTGGTTGACATAATGTCATTTACCAAGATTATGGCAAAGGCACAGTGCCTTGTCCTCAAGGCACTTTCAGTCTAGGTAAAATCTCACTCTATGGAATCTCCCTATTAAGTCTTGAATCTAAATGAACATTTTGATTATCATTGAATAATCATCCCTACAGGAATTTGAAAAACAATCCTTTCCTTCTCCATCAGCATCTTTCTTGGTAACCATCACAGAGCTCCAATTCTTGTGAATACACCATTGTCTGAGTTCTTCTACACCCCTGGTCACCTCCAGTCTTTAGTTGCCTCTCTCTCTTTGCAGTATCTGAGCCATAAACAAAATAAAGGGAACTCAGCCCTTGAGTTCTATTAATATCAGCCCATGATATCAATAGAAACTCTCCAATCCAATGATCACACAGTAGGGTAGGTGAATTAGAACCAAAGCCAGATCAGTAATTCTCAATGATTACTGATCTGGCTTTGGGAGAAAGCCAGAACATAGGAATTCTCAGTAATTCTCTGTAGTATCAACAAAGTCACCATTAACCTGGAAACCCTGAAATCCCTTGGTGGGTGGCCATCTGTCTGCAAGATAGCCTGTTACTGAGTGGAGCATCTTGAGGTGTCCTTGACCTGAGCCTTGAAGTCTCGCAACATTCATCCTCAAAATTTCACATATGCTCACCTGGCTTAGCTTATTCTAAAAAATCTCAGAATTTTCAAAGCTTCCCCATAGGGTCTTTGATATAGCTGAGTTGTCTGGAGGAGTCCAAATACAGGGCTCTTCCAACATCACATCCCTGTATTCCTGTAATAGGTAACTGTAGCCTTTAACAGGAAAATGTAATAATTTTCAGCCTCATGCTTGTCTTCTTGCATTCTGCACATGGAGACAAAAACTGTTTTACAGGAGATTAAAATAAGACAAAGGCTGGAGAAGGGTCTGTGTGTGCTTACCTATTAACCATATTAGGAGTCAAAATGATTCATGCCTCCAACAGATTCTACTCTGTCTGGCTCTGAGCTTGGTTATGTAGTACCAAGATGAATAAGGTTCTTTTTAAGAGATATGATCTAAGAAGCCTGTGAGTGCAGTTATGCAGGCCCCTGTTTAAGAAAAGCCATGGCACTCCTATGTAAATCTCAGAGAGGAAATGTCTAGAAGGCCCTGGTATTCTTGAGGCTCACTTTGCCTTGGGATTTCTCATGCCAATGCTTCTACCACCATCAAATTGTCCCCAGTAAGTCCTGTGATGCCTGCAGCATAGACACTGGCTTCTTCTCTTCATGTGATGCCAGTAAAAGAAAGATGAATTGTTGAGGCAAAATTTTATTAAAGATCCATAATTAACAAGAAGGAAACAAGAAAACCAAATCATCATAGCTTAAAACTTAAGCTCTGTAGTCAGGCGGATTTAGGGTGTGAATTTTGGCTTGGCCAACTTCTATTTCTGTGATCTTGGGCAAGTCAACCTTTCTTTGACAAACTTCACATGAAAACTAAGAATTGTAGTACTATCACATTGAGCTGTTGTAAGAATTCAGTGGGAACAATAGAATAAGCTATACGCTAGGATAATTATCTATTACTAAACACTGTATAGAACAAGAGTCATCTGGCCTACATGTGAGGCCGGCCCTTCAAGCTTCTCCAGGATCCAATGACCCTCTCTTTCCGTGGTTTAGACTCTTTTCAGGCTGTAGGTATCATCCAAGCACCAAACACTCAGCAACACACCTCGAAATCCAGACCCGAAAAAGAGTGACACTCTTGCCCTTCTCGTCTCTTAAAATGCAAACTTTATTTGCTTCACATTTTTCCTCCAAAGTATTAAACATATGGTATTTCATCTGTCTCCATAAAATTTTAAAGCAGATACAGATGTTCTTCTCGGCTAAATGTTGGATTTAGAGTCAAAAGACCTGGTTGTGAATACTGCCTCCCCCACTTGTTAGCACTGGAATCTGAATCAACTGGCTTCATCTCTCTGAGCCTTGGTGTTCCTATCTGCAATGGAATAACAATGATATGATGGTAGGGGGGTGCAATGACAATAGCGACAATGATGAAAACAGGACGTCTACCTCACAAGCTTGTTAGGGGACTTTTAGGAGCTATGATGTGATAATGGTTGCAATGTTTAAACAATACAATTTCCTGTTCATCTTATTATTTATGATTTGGGAACAAAAGCTCATGGAGTGCAGAAGTGACTAAAGGTCACACAATTAACCTGTGCTGGTCATAGTGGGACACTTTTTTTTTTTTTTTTTTTTTTTTTTTGAGACAGAGTATCGCTCTGTTGCCCAGGCTGGAGTGCAGTGGCGCCATCTTGACTCACTACAAGCTCTGCCTCCCGGGTTCACCCCATTCTCCTGCCTCAGCCTCCCAAGTAGCTGGGAATACAGGTGCCCGCCACCACGCCCGGCTAAGTTTTTGTATTTTTAGTAGAGATGGGGTTTCACCGTGTTAGCCAGGATGGTCTCGATCTCCTGACCTCGTGATCCGCCCACCTCGGCCTCCCAAAGTGCTGGGATTACAGGCGTGAGCCACTGCACCCGGCCCATAGTGGGACACTTCTAATGGAATGACCACTTATACACCTCTGGGTTTGTTAGCCTTTGCCCCAGCTCTGGTCCAGTTTCAGGACAAAACACCCATATGCCTTGTAGACCAGGTCTAAGAAAAGCATGTTCACTTGATCTTCTATACTTTTTTTTTTTTTCCAATAACAGTGTATACTAGACTGGCAGTGTGAAGATACAACAGCAAATAAGCAGTTGCAAGGCTGCCATGTTTATAGTTTATTATAATCTGTAGAAGTAGAAGGAACTTACCAATACTCTAGTTTTAAAGCTTTATTAAAATCATGAGGCTATTGAGGCTCGGAGTGGCTACATAGCTTCTCGCATCTCACCTGGGAGAATGGGGAAAGACGGAATGGGAGCTAAAGTTGTCCAGATCCCCTGGCTGGTGCTCTTGGTTCCAAGTGACTCTCTGACACAAATAAATCATCTTCATCATACCACTCATTCTTTCATATTTCATATAGGATTTCTCTGGGACTTGATAAGATAGTTTGCTCAGTGTATTAGCCCTTCCCGGGTTATTTGACTTTCCTCGATTCCTACATTTGTGGAACACCCATGAGCAAGAAGAGGCCCAGCATCTTCACAACTCTATGGTTTTAATGTGATGGGCAAACATTGTTCCATGAAAGAACAGTATCTAAGCCCTTATCTAATTGATACACTGTCTT
This sequence comes from Homo sapiens, assembly GCF_000001405.40. Lineage (NCBI taxonomy): Eukaryota > Metazoa > Chordata > Mammalia > Primates > Hominidae > Homo > Homo sapiens. Next base: position 65,610,875 of record NC_000016.10, read on the forward strand.
AATTAAGGCTTATTTGGCAGGCTGAAATAAATTGGGGGATTTATTCAAAAGCTCCTGGGTAGTCCATGAAGTTGATGCAATGGTTAGGTCGAAACTTGGCAAGGAAGAGACCCACAGAAGCTCTGGAGACTCCCTTAGTAGGAGCAGAAGGCCATAAAACTTGACTCTGGAGTCATGCTGTCCAGTACAGTAGCCGCTGGCTGTTAAGTTTAAATGCAAAATTAAAATTAAATGTAATGTGGCTCACACCTGTAATCCCTGCACTTTGGGAGGCCAAGGCAGGCAGATTGCCTGAGCTCAGAAGTTCAAGACCACGCTGGACAACATGGTGAAACCCTGTCTCTACTAAAATACAAAAAATTAGCTGGGCATGGTGGTGCACGCCTGTAGTCCCAGCTACTCGGGAGCTGAGGCAAGAGAATCGCTTCAGCCCAGGAGGCGGAGGTTACAGTGAGCGGAGATCACATCACTGCACTCCAGCTTGGGCTACAGAGTAAAACTCCATCTCAAAAAAAAATGTTAAATGTAATGTAATGGAAGTTAATGGAAATAAAATTGGAAATACAGTTTCTCCAGCATGCTAAGCACCTTTCAAGTGCACAATAGTCACCATGTTGGGTAGTGCAGGTTAGAAATCATTTTCCATCATTGCAGAAAGTTCTATTGTAGAGCACTTCTCTCCACTGATGCCATTAAAGTGCCTCTATCCTGGACTCCCATGCTCTGTCACATTATTTCAGCTTTCTAATTTACAGTAGAGAGAATATGATAAGCCAGGTTGAGATCTGTGTCTGCATTCTGGAACAATCCACTATGATCAAGGAGGACGAAATCATTTAATACAGGCCTGGCTGGGCATCCTTCACTGAGGCAGGTGATATAAGGGATTCTTCTGTGAAAAGGGTATGGGAGTACAGTCATGTTACCTCCTAGACTCATCAAAGCTGGTGTCTCAACAATTCTATCTTGTGTCTGTGTAATGCCTCCCAGGACTTCCCCGTTCAACTCTCATGACTCTCAACAATAGCCTGAGATCATAAAGTGGACAATTGAAGTAAAGAAAAGCTCTGCCCAAGATTGTGGAACAAGAGAGTGGTAGACCTAGGGCTTCAATCCACTTCCTGTGTCTTGTCTGGTACATTCATAATGTCTTCTTCCACATTCCTCTTTTTAAAATGTAATTTATTGGAAGGATATTTTTATTTATTTTCTTATTGTTCATCTTGGGCAGCCTTCTTGAAACATCCTAATAAATCTCACTCCTCTTTAACGAGCTGCATTGAGCCTATTAACAGGAAAAATAAAAACAAACCACTATTATGTATCTTCATCTCAAGGTGTGACCCAGTCAATTCAGGCCCAAGAAGATGAATGGATCATTTTTTTTAATCTAGAGAACGCTCTGAATGCATGATGTGTTTTTTAGGACACAAATTCAAAGGAGGCACAGAGAAGTCAGCAGAAGCTTCATTTAGGGGCCTTTGTCTCTTCCATGAAAAGAGTCTGCACTAACAACAGAAACTGAATGCACAAAACTAATTATTGGAGTTGTATTTAATTAACCTGGCCTACTAATGTAATCCCTGGAACATTTGTTCATCTGCAGAAGTGTTATCTTCAGGAGCAAATCATCATTGGCTTTTTCACATTCATTGGGTCTACATTGATGGAGCATCATCAAATCCTTGCATGCCATGGAGGTTTGCACATCTAGGTTGATAAGAAGGCTGGGGGAGTGAGTTTCTTCATCTGCCCCTAGTTTCTACATCATTCTTTAGGTTTTCTCACAGAACACTCAGGTCTCTTCTAGGTATACCCACCTGTACAGCAATGTGACCATGGTGTCTAAACTCCCTGCATAACCTGGCCCAAAGACACTCCCAGCCCATGAGCTATAACGCACCCACCTATCCACACAGCAGTGCCATTCTAAGGATACATCCACCTGAAAACCCTCCAAGGTAGCAGGTTCTCAGCCTTGACTGCACATTAGAATTGCCTGTGGAGCTTTTAAAAAGACCCAGTTGAGCTGTACTCCAGACCAATTAAATCAGAAGGTTTGAGGGTGGGATCAGAATCAGTGATTCTTAAAGCTCCCCAGGTGACTGCAAAGACTAGTTGAGTGGCAAGTTAGTGGCCGGCAGTATGTGCATAACCTGGAGCTTGTTAGATGTGCAGAACTGCTGACCCCACTTTAGACCTACTGAAAGGGAATCTATATTTTAACAGGCTGCCCCAGGTGACTTATCTGTGTATTAAAGATTAAGAAGCACAGCCCAACCAGGGTTCTCAAGCTCATGCATGCATCAGAATAGCACCTTCAGAGCCTGCTAAAATGCAGATTGCTGGGTCCCATCCCCAGAGTTATTAAATCACAAGGTCTAGAGTAAGGCTTGAGAATTTGCTCTTTAATTATAATTTCAACTTTTATTTTAGATACAGGGGTATATGTCCAGGCTTGCTACATGAGCATATTGCATCTAGGTGGTGAACATAATACCCATTAGGTAGTCTTTCAACCCACGCCCCCTTCATTCCTTTGCCCTTTAGTGGTCCACAGTGTCTATTATTACCATGTTTATGTCCACATGTCCTCAATGTTTAGCTCCCGCTTATAAGTGAGAACATATGGTGTTTGGTTTTATGTTCCTGCATTAATTTGTTTAGGATTATGACCTCCATCTCCATCCATGTTGCAGCAAAGGACATGATTCCATTCTTTTTATGGCTGTGTAGTGTTCCATGTTTCCATGGTACATATGTACCACATTTTCTTTATCCAATCCACCATTGATGGGCACCTGGGTTGATTCTATGTCTTTGCTAATGTGAATAACTTGGCAATAAACATACAAGTGCATGTGTCTTTTTGGTATGATGATGTTTTCCTTTGGGTATCTGCTCAGTAAAGGGATTGCCAGGTTGAAGTTTGAATGGTAGTTCCGAGTTCTTTAAGAAATCTCCAAACTGCTTTCCACAGTAGCTGAACTAATTTACATTCCCACCAACCGTGTATGTGTTCCATTTTCTCTGCAGATTCAACCAGCATCTATTGTTTTTGACATTTTAATAGTAACCATTCTAACTGGTGTGAGATGGTATCTCATTGTGGTTTGAATTTGCATTTCTCTGATGATTAGTGATGATAAGCATTTTTCCATATGTTTTTGTCCATTTGTATATCTGCTTTTGAGAAGTGTCTGTTCATGTCTTTTGCACATTTTATAATGGGGTTATTTGTTTTTGCTTGTTGATTTGTTTAAGTTCCTTATATATTCTGGATATTAGGCCTTTGTTGGGTGCATAGTTTACAAATATTTTCTCCCATTCTATAGGTTTTCTGTTTATTCTGTTAGTTTCTTTTGCTATGCAGAAGCTATTTAGTTTAATTAGGTCCCACTTGTCAATTGTTGTTTTTCTTACAATTGCTTTTGGGGACTTTGCCAAAAATTATTTGCCAAGGCCAATATTGAGAAGGGTATTTCCTAGGTTTTCTTTTAGGATTTGTATAGTTTGAGGTCTTCTGTTTAAATCATTAATCAATTGTGAGTTAATTTTTGTATAAGGTGAAAGGTAATGGTCTAGTTTCATTCTTCTGCATATGGCTAGCCAACTATCCCAGCACCATTCATTAAATAGGGAGTCCTTTACCCATTGCTTATTTTTGTTGGCCTTGTCTAAAATCAGATGGTTGTAGGTGTGTGGCTTTATTTCCGAGTTTTCTATTCTGTTCCATTGGTCTATGAGTCCGTTTTTCTAACAGTACCATGCTGTTTTAGTTACTGTACCTTATAGTGTAGTCTGAAGTCAGGGCGTGTGATATCTCTGGCTTTGTTCTTTTGCTTAGGATTGTTTGGCTATTTGGGCTCTCTTTTTGTTTCATACAAATTTTAGAGTAGTTTTTTCTAAATCTGTTAAGAGTGATGTTGGCAGTTTGAAAGGAATGATGTTGAATCAGTAAATTGATTTAGGCAATATGGCCATTTTAATAATATTGAGTCTTCCAGTCCATGAGCATGGAATGTTTTTTTCCATTTATTTGTGTCATCTCCAGTTTCTTTCAGTAGCGTTTTCTAATTCTCCTTGTGGAGATCTTTCATCTCCTTGGTTAGCTGTATTCCTAGGTATTTCATTTTCTTTGTGGCTTTTGTAAATGGGGTTGTGTTCTGACTTTGATTCTCAGCCTGGATGCATTGGTGTATAGAAATGCTACTGATTTTTGTACATTAATTTTGTATCCTTAAACCCTGGTAAAATCATTTATTAGTTCTAGTAGCCTTTTGGCAGAGTCTTTAGGGTTTTCTAAGTATAAAATCAAATCGACAGCAAAGAAAAATAGTTTTATTGCTTCTTTTCCTACTTGGATGCCTTTTATTTCTTTCTCTTGCCTGATTGCTCTGGCTAGGACTTCCAGTACTGTGTTGAATAGGAGTGGTGAGAGTGGGCATCTTTGTCTATTCCAGCTCTCAAGGGGTATGGTTCCAAGTTTTGCCCATTCAGTATGATGTTGGGATGAGTTTGTCATGAATGGCTCTTGTTATTTTGAGGCATTCTCCTTCAATGCCTAGTCTGCTGAGGGTTTTTATCATGAAGGGATGTTGGATTTTATTAAATGCATTTTCTGTATCTATTGAGATGAAAATTTGCTTTTCTAACAGTGATGTGATGCTGGCGATCCCAGGTGAGGATGATATCACACAGAGATCACATTTTCAGATACACTGCTCTCTAAAGCACATATAACATTATCCCCAAATCTTTTTTTCTCCCAGTAATGTTTTATGAGGACATAATAATATATTGAAACACAGAGAATATTGCAGTTACTAAGGAGATACAATCCCTGACTTCACGGAACTTAAATCCTAGAAAAGGTCCAGACAATAAACAAGAAAATAACTAAATAACTGAAATGAAAATTACAGATCATTTAAAGTTTTTATGAAAGGTATATTAATATATACTGAGTGGCGAGACAGTGGGTGGCTAGGAAATACCATTGTAGATCAAGTGGTCAGGGATGAGCTCTAAGAAGGAATTGCATTGAGCAAAGACCTCATGAGTGAGTTGGTGAGTACAGCAAAGGACAGGAGGGATAGATTCAGGGCAGAAGGAAAAGCAAACATAAGTGCCCAGATTCAGGGTGGGCTCGCCACACTCCAAGTAGGATGAAGAGTCCAGGGGATAGATTTCCCTCTCCATCTCCTAGATCCACACTCTATTGGCTGTGTGATTTGGAGAATGGAACTTTTTTTTCCTCTTGGCTTGTTTATTCATCAAGCTTTCCTTATAGGATTCTTTGGAAGATTAAAATTCCATCAAAAACTTAATTCACACTTTTTGCACACAAAAGTTACACTTGCTTGCTGATACCAATTTCTTCACTGGGGAAAGAAAGCAGAACTTGCCAACAGTGAGTGAGACATCCCTCTTCACTGAACCCCATAATGGAGACATAAGATGGATGAGATGTTTTCTCTGCCATCAGAAAACCCCCAGCCACATAGGAAGGAAAACAGCAGGAGGAAAGAGAGAAGACTCAAGAGACAAAGAGAGCAATGATAGCTGCATGGATTTGGACTGGAGAGTAGAACACAGGGGTATCCCAAGGACTGGAGCAGTTCAGGAAGGATCTTGAAAGATGCAGAACTTCAGGCAGGCCTTAAATGAAGAGTTTAAGCCCTTAAATGAAGGGCTATAATAAGAGGATACAGGCAAGGGGACCCTATAATTTTGCCTACATGTTTTATTGAAGAGCTAGATGCATGCATCTGAAGATGACAGTACCAGACAAATGTCAAACACCTTCCAGAGTTTATGGACCTCATTAGTTAGGCCAAATATTTTCACTTCTCATCTCTGTCCTTGACTTCTGCTGTGAACTGAATTGTGTTCCCTCCAAATTCTTATGTTCAAGCCCCAACCCCCAATGTGACTATATTTCAAGACAGGACTTTTAGGAGGTTATTAAGATTAATAATAACCTCATAAGAATTGGGCGTCATGTCCTTATAACAAGAGGAAGAGACACCAGAGCTCTCTCTTTCTCTGTACTTATAACTTGCGCTATATTGGCACAAATACAGTGTGAATGCACACATCTCCAAGCCAGGAAGAGAGCCCTTTGCCGGAATCCAAACCCTGCCATGCATTGATCTTGGACTTTCCAGTTCCCAGAATAGTGAGAAAATACATTTCTATTGTTTAAGCCCCCTAGTCTATAGTATTTGTTGTGGGACCCCAATCTAAGACACTTTCCAGGAAGCATAAAGACGAAATTAATTCCCATTTAGTGTAAATATAGTGGCACAAGTTTTATAAATAATGACTTTCATCTTTCATCCACAAACTTAATGGTATAATATTAACTATTTTTTAAAATTATCTTAAGTAGGAAGTTTTTTGTCTTATTTCCCGCCAGACCTAGATTTGAAAGTTCCACATTTCTGGCTTTGAAAGAAGAATTCTTCAAGTAACTAAGCATTCATTTTCTTATATAAAATGGAGATTATAAAAAATGGCTATTTTTGAGCTTGTTGTATCACATTAGAAAGAAAATGATAGGTGGAAGTGAAGGAATTAGCTCTTAGTATATGGTAAGTGTTCCATAAGTGCTGGTTTCCTCTCCTCCTGCACTATGTGGCTTACCCCGGACTGAACAACACAACTATCCTATATATGATTGGAAAATGACATTCCCACATGAAAGGCTTCGCTGAGGTTCAGACTCTGGCTCCCTCCCATCCCCGACCCCAGTTAAATGTTGCATAAATGATCCCCAGCCCACACACATTTTTTACCCTAGCTGGCCTCTAGGTAAATAACAGCTGCCATTGTCTTCTATTAGGCTTATTAGAGATGTTTTATCATCCAAGCCCCTATAGTTGCACAACTATAAACAAAATAGCCTTACCAGGGGAATCTGTGGCTCTGTCTTCATGGGTCCTGAAACTGATGAGTGAATTGTCAGTGCTTGTGAGCCCTGCAGCCTTGTGTCAGGGGAATCCTCCTCTTCCTGATTTGGATGTTCTCTGGTATTTATTATGTTTGGAATGTCAAAGAATATTCCACAACCCCACTTCCCTTCTTGTCTTTAACTCTCTGTGATCCCAAAAGGAACACCTTTAGCCAACAGCTGTTCATAAGTGAGTAATGAAAAAAATGTATTTAGAGTGCTCTCTTAAAAGCCTAAGAGAACAGAAAGGCAGCCATGAAGCTGGGGTTGTTCTTGAAAGCCTGACCAGTTAGCTCAGTGTATAGGAGTGAGGGTTATTGTAACCCAATTCCGTGAGGATGTGTGAGTATGAGGAGTCCACCCCACTCATGCCCAAGATCCATCTGCAGCCCCCAGACTGATCAGGTTGACCTCACATGTAGAAGCTAGTGCACATCTGAGAAGCTCAGTGACAGCTAGGGTGCAGACGCCAAATTGATACCCAGGTGCTGATCTGAGAACCTTCACTGGGCTAAAATGTTTGAAACGTCTGTACCTAGCTCTCATGGTGCCTACTTCTCAACATCTGTTCCTGGGTCTAACTTCAGGAGCTGGGTCTGTTTCAGGGCTAGCTCTGAATTGGAGCTGTGGGTTTCTGGTGCATCCGGCAGTTAACATCTGTGTCTGGCCACTGTAGGTGCCAGATATAATCTTCTTATGCTCCTCTATGCTGTAGTGCAGCTGATACTTTTGGTACTTGTGTCACATCCTCCTGACCTGCCTCTGATTTCAGCCACAGCTGTGGTGGACAGATCTATTTACTCTGAGAACCTCCACCTTAATTAAAGCACAGGGCAGAGGGTCCAGGTGGATATCTTATCCCAGCCCCAGCTGTACAGCTATAGATACAGAGACAGCAATAGAGATCTTAAAGTGGGGTTTATGGACTAGCATCATAGGTTTTACCTGAGAGATCTCAGATCCGATACCAGACCTACTGGATCATATTCTGCATTGTACAAAGAGCCCTAGAGTCTTTTCAAGCATGCAAAAATTTGAGAAATACTGGTCTGGATTATTTTATGTCTCTGTAAAGTGTCTGACTCATCAAGCCTCTCCCCACTCACCCTTCATTCTGGATAATGATGGTGGCCCTAATATGAAATGGAGTAGACAAGACTCTTTTTTTAAAAGGAAAGGGAGAAACTGCCTCATGCTGTTCCCATGTTGTATTTCATTGTCAAACATCAAGAATCATTCAATTAATTAACTTGGAAAACAAAGTTACTTTAAATTATTGAATGCAGGTTCATTCTGGTGCTTAAACACCAGCAGTGCCAGAAAGAATAATTTCCTGAAAGCTTCCTATTGCCACAGAAAGGAAGTCATTCTTGAGGAAAAAATAACAGCTCTAATATAATCGCTTTTCATTTGCACTCATTCAGGAAGTTGCCAAATGTTTGCACTCACTCATTTGATCAAAAAGTTGCTTTCTTGCTACAATTAAAATGTATGATGGCTGCTCCGTTAGCCACTTCATGACACTGGTCCAGACATTGAGAATTTTCCAGCTAAACTTCTCTGTTATGAATAGGCTTTAGGCTGTTGAAGCTGGGATAGGCATTACGCATGAATCTGGACCAAATCCTTTATTTTATAAGAAATACACACAGTGTGTAGGCAGACACACACACATACCCAGAGGCTTCAAGGTGCTTGAAGGAATTGATCCACTGGAATTCTATTACAAACCCTTCAATTCTGAATACAAGGCTCTTCCTATGTTTTTTAAAAATATATGAATGTTTCTTTGATCAAAAGAAAAATCGACAGCTAAGAAAAACCAGTTCATTCGATCCTTATCTATCTATCTATCAGTGACTGTTTGAAACCAAAGAATATTCATTTGAGCAAATTCAGATATCCTCAGTATATGACTTTTATCTATTGTAATAATTTTCCATGCAAGTTCTGTAAACGATGACTAACATCTGTCTCTCTCTGTCATGGCATTAGGGATTATTCATTCCCTTGAGGTTGGGCTAGTTTTGTTCTTCTGGATTACCTGTAATTATATTCCAAAGATAGTTTGCTAGGCATAATTTATTATCTTTTCTCTGTAAATAAACACTACTTCTGAGTCCTCAGTGACTTCTAGTTCCTGCCTGCCTTTACATATTTTGGGAGCAGCAAAAGGAGACCTTCTAGTTTGGTTCTCAGAAGCCCCAGCAATCACCCTACAGGCCTCTGGCTCTGATTTACTCCAGCTCTTAAAAATCATCCTTTTACAAGGTAGGTTTACAGGAAACTACCTATTGCCAAGTTCACCAAGTTATAAGGGAGGAAATGCATAGGATCACACAGAGGCAAACCCCACAAATTAAAAGAGGGGAGAAGTCACATCTCCTAATACAAGTGATACCTCTTGTATTGGTCTGTGCTCACACTGCTGTAAAGAACTACCTGAGACTGAGTAACTTATGAAGAAAAGAGGTTCGATTGACTCACAGTTCTGTAGGCTTAACAGGAAGCATGACTTGGGGGGCTTCAGGAAACTTACAATCATGGAAAAGGTGAAGGGAAAGCAAGCACCTTTTTTCACATGGTGACAGGAGAGAAAGAGAGTGAAGAGGAACATGCTACATGCTTTTAAACAGTCAGATCTCGTGAGAATTCAATCATGAGCCAGCACTCAAAGGATGGTGCTAAACCATTAGAAACCACCCCCATGATCCAATCACCTCCCACCAAGTCTCTCCCTCAACACATGGGGATTACAATTTGACATGAGATTTGGGCGGGGACACGGAGCCAAACCGTATCACCTCCTTATCTCAACCAAAATATTTTTACAGTATATGCATTGCCAATTCTGACCACCATTACAACCCCATAATATGGGCAAGTCTGACGCATTGAACTCCATTTTATGGAAAAACAAACAAAAACAATAAAAGTTTGAGACTCGGAGAGTGAGAGAGACAGAAGAAGAGAGGACTTGTCTGCCCACAGAGTCACCCTTTCAGTGTCTACTGAGAGCTCTGGTCTGAATGATTCTATGGCTGAGAAAATGTCTGATCCCAAGAAGTACATCAGCCCCCATCTGCTCACCCCCATTCCAGATCTTTCCAGACTGACTGCGCTGAAGAACTGAAATGGTGTGTATATGTAAATGGACCTGAAAGGCAGTGGTTCTTCAATACATGGCATTTCTTATGATACAGCCACCATATGTGGAACATGATTATTTATAACACTAAATTCTGTCTTCTCAGCTGCAGGTTGCTTGTTCTCCCTTTAAAATCACATACATGCAGCTTATTTGACCACTAATACATTGTGATAGCTCAGAGCAAGTCCTCACAAATGGAACTTGCCCTCTAATTATTCAGAAATATAATGAAACCCATCATCAATCTCCAGGTCGGAGATACCCTGGGACCCCAGCAGCAGCCCTGGCATTTACTCTCAAGCCGCAGTCACTTGGATGAGAATTGTGGCAGATGCTCAGGTCCCCACCACAGCTGACCCAGGGCTAAACGAACCCCTCCGGGATATGTCTCTGTCTGTTGCATGCTGGGAAGACAGGGGTTTTCTATCATTGCTATGAGTCCAGGGAACCCCCAACACATACACACATGTTCACATACTCACATCCGTAAGATAAATCAATCCATCTGCTTAAGAATCAGACTAAGAAGGAAGGGCCCTTAAGCTACTATTCCAAACACTGCCACATAATCACAAAAGATAAACTTGTTTGTCTCACCACTTCCAATGAATCATGAGCTCTAATTTGTAGTGATGACTGGAGCTGCTGTGCCTCTTCTTACTCTGTCCTTTACTCTCTTTGTTTTAGTCTCTGCTAAGCCCTGTACTGGGCAGTAGGGTGAATGAGATGGGCATCACTGGCCCCTTCTCAGAAAGAGAGACAAACTGCACACAAACTCCCTTGCATAGACACTAAAAATACCAGGTGGAGATAGCCCCACTCACTGGGAGCTGGGCACCATGCCAAGTTCCTACATCATTCATGGGCCTCACCTAGCCAAGACCTCACCCCAGCCTATGAGGCAGGCTCTGCTGTCATCTCCATTTTGCAAATGAAGAAACCGAGGCTTGGAGATGTTTATGGACTTTGCTTAAGTATAGCCAGAGTCGTCCATGCTCTGGTCATCCTACCATATAGAGGTAACCACAGAGTGTTACAGGGACACGGAGGAGGGGCTCAAGCTGAGAATGATAGAGGTGAAGTAGAGTCTGAATAGGCTCCCTGCAAAAGATAATAAATACATGAGATCAGTGGCTGAAAAATGAGCAGGAATTAGGCAAGGAAAGGAGGGTGGAGACAGCATCGCAGCAGAGAGAGCACGGCATGGGCAAAGGCATGGTAGGGAGAGCAGAGGGAGATCCCAGGTCAGTTCCCAGGCTGCACACCAGTCATCCCTGAGGGAGGGAGAGTGGATGTGGAAGAAAGGGAGGAGGGGAGTGAGAGAGGGTAGAGCAGTCTCAGGAAGGGGCTCACTCAGCCATGGAAGGCAGTGATGTGGTGATGGCAGGTGAGGGGAACTAAGTCCCACAGGAGAGAAATGTGGGGCTGTTTCCGGTATTCTGATGTAATAGGACCCTACCTCCCTTCTATACACACACCCTAAGCAAGTAGTCACAGAGGGCTGGAGATCCAAACAGAGCCACGCGGGCTCAGGAAAGGCAGCCAGATAGATGGGGATGGGGGCTGCAGCATATGGTTCTAAGGGGCACTTCCAGGGTGGAAGAATATTTTTGTTCCAGTTTTCAAAGAGCTGAAGGGCTCATGAGAAACAGCCCACAGAGGCATGTGGAGCAAGAGATGGAGGCTTTTCTTGCAGACCCAGGCTACTCTGGGGCCCGGTGGTCACAAGGACATTGGATGACCAGAATTCTGAATAGGAGAGAGGGTCTGAGACCAGCTCCAGTAGTCCTGGGCAGAGCCTGCAGTTGCTTCTGGGGCTCAGCCCAGTGCACACTCAGAGTCCAAGGCTCTGTTTTAGTCTCTGCTAAGCCCTGTATCGGGCAGTAGGTAACTGAGACGAGCATCACTGGCCCCTTCTCAGAAAGAGAGACGAACTGCACACAAACTCCCTTGCATAGACACTAAAGACAGACATCCAGATACCCTTTTCTCTGGGTCAATGAAAGGCAGGAGGGCCCAGACCAGATACTGCTCAGATGCTTTCTCTAAGTGGAACCTCTCTGCACAAGATGCCTGTAATGCCCTCTAAGTGAGCATGAAAGAAGGAGCTGACAGTTCTGGGTCACTAGCACTGTCCCCAGATGTAGATACAGGCAATGTGTGACAAGGGAGGACTGGAGGAGGAGGTGAGGTCCTGGGGAGGGCTGGGGAAGGGGGATTCTCCCCATGAGGGTCATTCCCTCAGTGATGCGGTAAAGATGGTAGTAGTAGCAGAAGGTCGTGGAGAGGGAGATGGGGTGCAGCCTCCTCTTCACCTGGGAAAGCTCCGGAAAGACAGCCAGGGAGCCCAGTGTGCACCTGAGGTGGGCCTGTTCTTGAGGGAATAGAAGAATACTACAAAATGAGAACAAGGAAAGAGCTGAGGAGGCAGGACAGGGCTCAGAGGCACAGCAGCAGCCCAGTCACCCTGAGCCCTTCTGAGCGAAATGTAGACGATTGCAGAAATCAGAGTGTAGAGCAGACAGATTTCATCTCCCATGAACGACTGAGTGCATTATTTCTTTAAGGCCAGAGCGCACTGTACCTGGAGTGAACCTCCGAGCTCTAGCCCTCTCCCTCCTCCTATAATGGGGGCCCCAATCTCATGCCTTCTCTGTTGATCTCTCAAGCTTCGATGGCACCCATAATGAGCTCTGACAACACTAAGCCGGTGAATCCCACCTCCCTGATTGAGAGCAAGACGTTCTCTGCACCCCAATGTCCTGGAACTGTCTGGTCTAGGAACCGCAATGGGGTAGTAATGCCAAGGTTCACCTGAAGCCATGATGACACTGTCTCAAATCCCCTGGCGCTAATCCCCTCTGTGTATGGATGCTGGCTGGATATAGCCACTCTCTTCCATGGACAGCAGATTTTCTGCCTTGGGACCCAAACCTGGCACCCAGTCATAGCCAAGCCCTTGTCCCAACTAAGCCTCCTTTCCTCCCTCTCCCCACCAGACTCTGCAGTGTCACACAGGTGTGGATGGCCCACATCTGTCCTCCTTCTCTCTCTAGCACATGGTTCTAGCATGCGGTATGCTATTGTACTGTCCAGATGGGCCACTCGTAGGCAAAGCTTGCACCTTCTGGGTCCTTCTCCTCATCACTGATAGAAATATTGACCTGGCAGGGCTGACCAGAGGTCAAATTCACTTTCCATGAGACCGTTTTCAGAGACCACCTCCATCTCTCACCCTGGGACTTCTCTCCATAGGAAGTCAATTCATGAGAGACTGCTCCACAAAGCTTGCTGGGGAGAGAAGAAGCGAACAGATTCAGGAGGCAGAAGAGTAGAGTGGTAAGTGCCCCCCACTTCAGAGTGAAATAGCTGATGAGTCAGAATTCTGCCTCTAATGTTTACTGTCGTGAGATTCTAACAGGTTTTGTAGGGAAGATAATAACTCCATGAGAGTTGTAGAAATAGATATGTTGTTATCATGGTACAGGATGACCTGCTGTGTGTGCAGCCAGATATGAGCACTATGTAGATTTGATGCCCCTTTGATCCTTGCATCTGCCTGGGAACTAGGAAGTATTCCCATCTCACAGATGGGGGAGTCAGGCTCAGAGAATGGAGCCCTGAGCACAATCATGCAATACTGCATGATTCAATAATGCACGACTCGACTCCGGGGCCAGCATTTGGACCTTGGCCTGAATGGCTCCAAAGCCCACCCTCTTTCTCCTCTGTCTCCAGCCCACAGTGCCCTCCCTCCTTGCCTGCTTCTCTCACCCATGTTGGGAGGAAATGGCAAGTATAATTCCTGAATCTTAAGCTAGGAAAGTCAGGCCAAGAAGTGCAGCAAATATAGTACACATGACATATCTGGTGGGAAGCTAAAAAATGTCAAGTTTTGAAACCATGAATTATTTTCCTTCTGTTTCCTCAAATCAGCACAAGCCCATCTGCGTGTGGTTTTCCTCAGGCAATATGCCGAGAACAAGTTTCACCCAGGTCTGCCCCACTCCCTTAAGCCTTCCATAACACTGTCTGAAGAAGCATAGAAATCACTAGAGTTAGAGCAATGGTGAGTGCTTTTGGGGTAAATTTTGTAAGCCCTGAGAAGACCTTGAATCCCTCTTCTAAATACCCCAGGCTGATTGCAGATATCTCTGCTTCATTTAATAAGAAAATATACCTTCATTTCTCGATCAGAAAAAAATAGAGTCTGTTAAGATATTAAGACAATGTGCTCTAAACTTCTTACTAAGGTGTGAGTGACTGATGTTAGAAAGAAGATCAGGAGAATGTATGTTCAGCACCTTACATACATTCTCCCATTAATCTTCATAGTAACTAATCATGCAGAGTGTGTGCCATTATTACCACTGAGCGGGTTATTTTTTCAAGGCCAGAGCTCACTATGCCTAGAGTGAGCCTCCAAGGCCTAGTCCCCCTCCTTCCTCCTACAGAGGGGACCCCAATTTCATGCCTTCTCTATTGATCCCTCCAGCTTCAATGGAGCCCATCATGAGCTCTGACAATACTAAGCCTTGCCAATCCCACCTTCACCAGGACAGCAAGATATTGTCTGCACCTCTATACCCTGGAACCTGTGCTGGTCCATTCTACAGATGAGGCTCAGCCAGGTACAATGCTCCCAGGGAAGGAGGCAGCCCATGAGTGACTGACATGTGGGTACAAAACCTCGAGCCCCCTGCTTCACGCTGGAGCAACTCTGGCATCCTTCCTAGTCTAGAGCTCCCTATGAGATCAGATTAACACAAGTCTCCAGCTGAGAGAACATCCTGCCGTAGCTTATTTTCTTTTGCTGTATTCTACTCCCTTTAGTCTCTCTCTCTCTCTTTTTTTTTGTAAGGAAAAAAAAAAAAAGGCTGGGCACGGTGGCTTATGCCTGTAATCCCAGCACTTTGGGAGGCCAAGGCAGGTGGATCACCTGAGGTCGGGAGTTCGAGACCAGCCTGACCAACATGGAGAAACCTCGTCTCTACTAAAAATACAAAATTAGCCGGGCGTGGTGGTGCATGCCTGTAATCCCAGCTATTCAGGAGGCTGAGGCAGGAGAATCACTTGAACCCGGGAGGTGGAGGTTGTGGTGAGCTGAGATCACGCCATTGCACTCCAGCCTGGGCAACAAGAGCGAAACTCCATTAAAAATAAATAAATAAATAAATAAATAAATAAATAAATAAATAAATAAAAAATAAAACACTCTCCCAATAAATCACTTGCAAAGGAACCATCCCTGCCTCAGGCTCTGCTTTTAAAGAACTCATCCTAAGACAGTGTCTAAGGAAGGAGGCAGAAATGCTACATGGGCAAAAATCATCCAGAGCGGGCACTAGAGTCCTTGCCTCCTGACAGTTCCCTAGAATATTTTATAGGATCTCCAGGCAAGACCTCAAAGCTGTTTAAATGCAACAGAACCTTGAAGACATCTGGGCAACCCTTTCATTTTAGAGGTGGGATGGCCAACACCCAGTGAGGGGAAGCAACTTACCCAGATCACACAGAATTTAACACAAATCTATTCCCACAAATAATACAGTCAGACCAAAGACAAGGCATGTCCCCTGCCTACCACGGAGTTTACATCACCAGTGCCAGTCTAGAAGGGATGCTTTCTCTGAGGTGGAAGAAGGTAGGTGTTTGTGCTCAGAGGTTTCAGAAAATCTGATCTGGTTACTCTCCTGCTTAGAAACCGTTGCTCACAGAAGGAAAGTCATGCTCCATGGTGCAGTGCTTAGGGACTTACACATGATAATGTTCTCCAGCCTTGGAATTTGACATCCGATGCTCCCCAAGGCACTGTGAATTCCATACACCCCTGAACTTTCCCAAAGCCAAAGCATGCTATGCTGTTGCTGGTTCACACTGGTATACATGTAATGTTACCAAATAAATACAGTGCTCAGTTAAATATGGAATTTGAGACAAACAACAAGTACAGCTTAGCATAAGTGTGACGTAAAAACTGCATGGGACATACTTATACTAAAATAGCATTTGTGTGTTATCTAATCTGGCATGTTGTTTACTTCTGCTGCCTGAAATGCCCTGTTTTTTTGTTGGTTTGTTTTGCGTTGCGTTGTGTTTTTTTTTTTTTTTTTTTTTTTTTTTTTTGAGATGCAGTCTCGCTCTGTCGCCAAGCTGGAATGCAATGGCATGATCTTGGTTCACTGCAACCTCCGCCTCCTGGGTTCAAGCGATTCTCCTGCCTGAGCCTCCCAAGTAGCTGGGACCACAGGTGCATGCCACCACACCCAGCCAATTTTTTGTATTTTTAGTAGAGACAGGGTTTCACTGTGTTAGCCAGGATGGTCTCGATCTCCTGACCTCGTGATGCACCCACCTCGGCCTCCCAAAGTGCTGGGATTACAAGCATGAGCCACCACATCCTGAAATGCCCTGTTCTACAGAGTCCTGGCAAACTCCTCATCCTCCAAAACCAGATCAAATTGAAGCTTTTATGAAGAGCCTTGTCTAATTTCTGAAATAGTCCCTCCCTGGTCAGGACCAGAGTGCTCCGGGCTCTGCTCAGCTGAAACTGTTACGGTATTATAATGTGTTATCAGGAATGGCTTCAATACTGGAATGCCGGGCTCCCCAGTAGTCATATGGGGAGTGGGAGGATTGTCTGAGCCTCCATTGACAAATGTGTTCATGTATGCATAAATTCATTCAATAAATATGTACTCGACATCTCTGTGTATAGCATGTATGAGGTGTAGGGTCCACACGCATCAATAGAAAAAACTTGCATGGTGCCTGTTCTCAGGGGGCTTTCAACCCAGGAGAGGGAAAGGTGTTGTACAAGTCAATAAATAAATAGATGATTTTCAAGTATTATCTGTGCTACAGAAGGAACAAACTAGGTGCTCCAATAAAGAATAATGATGATGGATAGTAGCAAGAATTGTTCTAGGAGGTCTTTCAGGGAGGTAACTTTTTAAACTAGGATCTGAGGGATAAGTAGCATCCAGTTGCATGAAGGGAGGGGGTTTCAATAAGAAAGAGCAGCTTGTGAGAAGGCCCTGAGGCCAGAAAGAGCTTGTCATGTTTGAACTTCTTATAGGAACTGGGTAGTGAAGAAGCACAATAAGTATGAGTTAAATATGGAGCCACAAGCAGGGGCCAGATCATACAGGATCTTACCAACTATATTTAGGAGATTATTTGAAATATAGCTGGAGATTGTAAAGGATCTTAAGCAGAGAAATGGTGCAATATTTTTCATGTGCAATCTTTACTCCTGTGTCTTATTAATCTTTGAACCCCCAGCATTCACTTTCAATGCACTTAATATTTGTGGAATAAATGATTCTGTCCCTTTATTTGATCCTTGTACCCCCATCTGTAATAGAACCATTGGGA
Source organism: Homo sapiens (assembly GCF_000001405.40). NCBI lineage: Eukaryota > Metazoa > Chordata > Mammalia > Primates > Hominidae > Homo > Homo sapiens. The sequence continues at coordinate 65,628,358 of NC_000016.10, forward strand.
CTTCTATCTTAACACACTTTGACTCAGGTAGAATGGCATCTCAATATTTATGTGTCCCCCAGCTGTTAAAATGTCATCAGAAAGGTATTTCAAACTCATAGAACCCCATTCCTTTTTGGAAGTGGTTCTATCTGCAAGAACAGCTGAGATGTAACTTTACAAACTTTTACTAAGTAGCATCTTGGCTTTTAAATTAAATGTCAGCATTGGTTTTTCACTGGGAATCTGGCCCAGCCTTCTGCAAGGCAAGATCTGGTTGACGACACAGGCCAGACCCTCAGAATGGGGCACAAGAGAAACTGCTTTCAAGGGACACAAGGAGATGGCAGGGTGCCCACTCCCAACACGCTGATGCTGGGGCACAGGTGGTCCAGCCCAGGGAAGTGTGCATGTGTAACTGAGGGGAGGGAACTGGCAGGGAACAGGGGGAGATCTGTCCATTGTCATGATAGAGAAAGTGGTAGAGGGAGAATGTGCTCTCCACACTCCCTGCCCCACAGTCAGCCTCCTTCATCCAGGGAAGACCCAATGCTGAAGTCTCACAGGGATCCTCTGGTGAGGACTTGAACCCTAGGTACCAAGAAGGTTGAAAAGTCTCAATCCTGGAGGAAGGAAACAAAGAAGGGTGGGTGGAGGTGCCATTCCTCTTTCTTCTTGGCTGGGAGTTTTCTAGACTTCCGTAAAGTCTGTATCTCTTGTCTCAAGACCCTAGGGTTTCCAAAATTATCCCTAATTTCTCTAAAGTTTTATAACTTACTACTCTGCCTCTCTTCCTCAACCCACTTCACCCCCAACATACTTTACACTGTAGTCAAACTAGAATACCCTTCACTCAAAAACTCCCTTCCTCATTTTTTGTTTGCAGCTCCCAATGTCAAAATTCTTAGCACGCTCCCAGGCCCCTAGGTCTTCCAGCCCCAACCCATCCTTCCTCTGCACCAATGGGAAGGTGTGCACACCCTCTCCTGATTACCCACTGACCCGCATCTAGTCCTTCCTCACTCCTCGGCTATTGACAGCCTCACCCTATGGTCAATTCCTTCCCTTCTTGAAAATTCGTCCCTTTGAGAGTCAAGAATGCTAGCTTTCCCTCTGTGAATTCTCTGCAGAATCAACCCTGTTATTGGAAGAAGAGCAAGACCTACTAGCCAGCATTTCCACAAGCATCTCATTTCTTTTTCACAATGACCCTATATGATAGGTTCTACTATCCATATTTTTAGATGAGGAATTTGAGTTCAGAGAGATTAAGCAAAAACCCTAATCATCTAGGTATTAAGTGACAAAGTCTAAATTTAAATCCATGCTCATTTAACTCCAACACTGATACCTCCCCCATATAAGGCTGCTCCAAACAGAGCTACTTAACTTTTTAAGAATATTCATTTCCCTTTCTTTTCTGCAACACACTCTTCTCCCTACTTACTGCAAAGATCATTGGAACCCACATCTCACACCTTTCCCCCAGCCCTTCCCTGAAATCTGGCGTTTAATGGAAGTGAGCTTGCTAAGCTTCCTGCAAACACTACAGGAATATGGGACTATTTGGATTCCAAGGGACCAGATTGGACCAGAGGCACCAGAGCAGACTACATCTGCCACGAGTGCGCTGAGACATTTTAGTCTTCACTCGTTTGAAGATCTCATCTGGAACATTCACAGTCTCAGAGACAGCAAACGTCATAGCCACCAGCAAGGATGTATTTTTGTTTCTCTCCTTCTCCACAGGTCAGAAGTGGTTAACTATAGCAAGAAGTCTCCTTCTGGGTTTCCCATTGCCAAAAAAATAAAATTTCCTTTGTGAGGCTGGGACAATCTTCATGATTGGGCCCCTAGTATCTTCCTACAGCTCTGGTCTCTTCCTCTACCGTGTCAGACTACACAGGGGTGGGCTCTGATTATACACAGGGCTGAGACCACCTCCTTTTCAGGTCCTTGGCATGCATTCAAGCCTCCATACCTCAGGTGGTGCTGTTTACCTTTACCTAAAATCTACTTCCCTCTGTGTTTCTTTGAGAACTTCTTATCTTCCAAAACCCATCTCATGACAGCACTCTCTTGAACTTTCTCTGAATCTATGTGACTTTGGTGGCAAAATGAATCACTTTGAATGTGATGAGAATATAGCATCTTTTTTTGAGATGGAGTTTCGCTCTTGTCACCCAGGCTGGAGTGCAATAGCGTGATCTTGGCTCACTGCAACCTCTGCCTCCCAGGTTCAAGCGATTCTCCTGTCTCAGCCTCCTGAATAGCTGGGATTACAGGTGCACACCACCACACCTGGCTAATTTTTGTGTTTTTAGTAGAGTCGGGGTTTCACCATGTTGGCCAGGCCGGTCTCAAACTCCTGACTTCAGGTGATCCGCCCGCCTTAGCCTCCCAAAGTGCTAGGATTACAGGCATGAGCCACCGTGCCCTGCCAATCCTGTACAAGCCTCTAATCGTCATTCATTCACAACATATTTATGCATCAATTACTATGTACCGGGCCCTGTGTCAGGTCCTGAGGATGCAACAGTGAATCAAAACTGCGAAACCCCTTCCTTCATGAGATTTTATGTTCTGGAGCAGGGACTGTCCTATCATGTAAAGCCCGGTTAAAACACCCAGTTTCTCCAGTGCAGTGTTTGTGCCTCTAGCAAACATTTAATTTCCATGTTTGTTTCACCAGGGCACACTATGCTCCCCGGCATTTGGTAGACATTCAATCCCTGTGCTTATATTCAATTGAGGAGGGACATATGTCTTGATTAACACTCACCAGGAAGCCGGGACACCTGGCTCTGCCACAAACAACATGTATGTTCTCACCAAAACCAGTTCCCAGTCTCAGACAATTTTTTTCTTGATAAAATAGAGCACTAGGGAGTAGATGCTTTCAGGGGTTACTAACAGCAATATGATTCGAATAAACTATGTATTCCACTGTGTATTTTCATGGCGGGGAGTGAGGAAGGGGATGAAAAGCTCTGGAAAGATGCAACTGGATTTAGACTCAGAGTTACCAGAAAGCCCCAAAGGCTCAGCCAGATTCTTCTGATCCTAAGAACAGGGCCCACTGGCAACCTGATAGCTCATCTTCAGATCAATCCCATTGATCTTGCATTGTAACAAAGCCACTTCCCCTCAGACTGTAGCTTAGCGGTGCTTCCCAGGGTTTCCTGCCATCTTGCGTGGCTGCATCTTCATCTTTATGCAGCGACTGAGGGCATGTGAGGCACGGCTTGGCTGTGAAGGTTTGTCTCTCTGTTTTAATGGTGTGACAGGAACCTTTCTTCCTGCCACAAAACAGCTTTACACCGGGTATGAATGAAAACCTCAATCATCCATCCTCCCAGTGCATATCGTTTGTCTCATGAAGCAGGCAAGACAAGGGCATCTTAGTGGTTTTGTGAACAGGATGGGAGAAACCCTTAGGGTCTTTTCTCCTCACCTAGAGATGTCGATCGATTACAACGTAAAGATGGTTAATGACCAGAGGAATAGAACCATGCATTCGTAAGGAACATCAGATTCTTCCTTAGTAAACTCCTACAACTTCCAAGGGTGAAAAGAGAAGGAACGCCCATGGTAGAAGAAGTGACTGGACCTCACAGGGTGACACTGATACCTACCCTCCTTGAAGAGGCTGCTCACCAATTCCCGCTGCCAACTGTGCACTGGCCTCAGGGGATGCTCTCACCCCATAAACTCGCTGGCTGGAATGTGGACAAAGGACCCTCCTCTTAATTTTGTGGCACAATGGAAATAGAGCTGGAACCTTCAACTCAGATTGATTAAAGACTTAGGAATAGCAAAAGAGAAATAAAGTCAGAGGATCATGTAGAAGTTGAAAATCAGATCGCCTGACTTAGAAGCGAGGACTTGATGTCTGGAGTTTACAGGGTGCCTCCACACCAGCACTGGATGTGCCCCTGTGAGCTGAGCACCTTTGAAATCACACTGCCCAAGAGCCCACAACTCAATGTTTGTGCTCTCGGAAGTCCAGAGAGAAGAGAATGAATTTCAGAAACACAAGAATTCCCTTCCTGTGCTCTGTCAAGTGCTCATTTAGCAAGATGCAATTTTCTCTCTGAGGGATGGAATCTTCCATTGTGGTGCCTGTCTCCTGTAAGTGAGACTCCAATCCTATCTCATCCCTTTATGGTGTCAACATGATGATCAGATCAAGATTTAGCCCAATAAGGCCAATAGCCCCCTTCCTAACAAGTGATGGGTTCATTCGGTTTCAGAAGAATTGTGTGTTACAGTTTTGCCCATCCAGCTGCTTATTGGCTCTTCCACTAACTCCTTAAACTCAACCCCTGATCACCCTCCTCCTGGACCCCACACCTGCTCCTCCTCTAGCATTCCCCATTTCAAAGCACCACTGAACACTCAGGTGCCAAATATATAAGCTTGCTCTATCCTTTTGTTCAAGCTTGCCTTGCCCCCTTATTTATCAAGTCTTGGTGACATTATCCTTGCAATATCACAGCCATCCCTACTCTCCACCATCATAGTTTGCCCTCCTTCACACCACTGTCGCCTCTTCACCAACTGCTAGAACATTCTCCTAGCTGCTCCCTTTGGGCCCTGTATCTTCTTTTTCAACCACCTGGAACTTGCTGAACATTTCCATGAAGATCAGCTCAGGTTTTATCCCTCTGCTACTTCAAAAATTCTAGAAGCTTCCCGTTGCCATAAAATCAAAGATTTTATTCCCGAGGGTTTTATCAAGCATTCCACAGGCTAAGTGTAATGCAGAAAGAGGTTCTATGAAAAAAAAAAAATCAGGGAAACTAGATTAACACTCTTGAGATTTTTGTTTTTATTTTTTTGCTGCAGGACTTTTCAGTGCCTTTGATAAGATATTGATAAGTAATGTGTATTGTGAAGTTCCACACGTGTAATATATTGGCAGCATTCCAAAAATTCTTTTATCAAAAACTATCTTAGCAGTATTTTAGAGGACTCATGTCACATGGAATCTGCATCTGAAAATTCTGCTGTAGAATATAAAACATAAAATCTAATTTCTGGCATTCAATGAACTCCATAATTTAATTCTACTTTTGTTTTCTTATTCAATTTTATTCATAAACAATGCTTAGTTTATTGGGTTTTTAATTACAAAAGAGATACTTGATATTGTTATGAAATTAGACAAGAGTATACAGGATAAAATGATTTTTCTTTAAATCAGTCCCCTAATACAATAAACATACAACATTTTTATCATTCTGTTTATCTTACTAGCTATGTTTACAGATGCACATACATATATAGGCTTCTTTTTTTCTTTCTTTTCTTCCCATTTTCACACACACACACACACACACACACACACATAATAGTAACATTATACACACATTATTCTGCAAGTTCTTTGATTTCATCAACTGCAATCTTTATGTTTATCTGAACATCTTTCCAGATTTATGCACATTGACCTTTCTCATTTATTTAAGTAGCTGCATGATGTACTACAGGGCAGATGCCCCAAAATACCACAATTTATTCAATTATTCCCTATTGATGTAATTCTAGTTATTGCCAGAGTTTTTATTTTTATTTTTTGATGGTTTAATACATGGAATACTGCAACATGTATAACAAAATCCTTTTATTTTATTCCTGAAGTAGAGTATTTCAAAAGTTGACCTAGTCCATTTTTCATGAGAAACTCATGCTATTTGCTATTTGTAGTTCTTGGGTGAAATGAAAACCTACCTGAAGTAGGTAGGACAGATGCTGAATGCTGGTGCCCATTATTTTAAACAAAGACAGGAAAACGACCTCTGCCCTTTTGAAGTCAGCCCTTGGGATGCCTCTCTGAACACAGCAGGCAGATGGTGGGCCGCCAGGTCCCCCACAGGACACTCCTCCCCAGCCATCCCTGTCCTGCCTTTAACTCATACCCCATGATGATCCCTCCTGATCTGGGGCTTTTGGTGATGCCTGTATTTAGAGAAAAGCCCCAAAACCTCACCACATAATAGTAACGAGGGAAGGAGGAAGACAGGGCACAGAAAGTGTGTGGCTCAGATGCTGCTGTGGGCACAAAAGTCGCTTGATAAGGGTTCAGAGCTGAACAGAGCTGACAGGAGAGCAAGGGCAGCCACCGCCCACTCATCCTCCAGGGGGACCACTGCATTGCACAACCAGACTGCCCAGAAACTGGCTTCCTGTGGACCGCATTCACCAAGTCACTTCTGGGAGCTATCACCCTTCCTTCTCCACTTCCTCACTGCCTGCCTCCTTGACAAGTCATCCCTCTGAGCAAGCTGCAAGGGATCCTACTATACCTGCTATGGGAATCAGAATAGCAGGCAAGTCTCAAGCACAGACTCGGAACCAAACTGCCAGGCTCAGATCCTAGCTCTTTTCCCTACCAGCTGCATCATCAAACAAGTGACTTACATTTTGATCTTTTGACCTAAGTTTCATCATCAATAAAATGGGAATAATGGTAATACTTCATAGGGATGTGACTTTTAAATAAATATAATTTCTTTCTCCCCAAACTGGTGCCCATATGTGTGTGTCTGCACATGTCCATAAAATATATAATACTATATATTAATGATAATAACATTAATATGGAATACTATATTATACTATATTATATTATATTAGTTTATTATGTTATAGTATATAATAGTCATTAATATAACACAATTTTTAATATAATATTATATAATTCTATATTATTATTCTATTAACATTAATATAAAATATATGATATTATAAACATATACTGTATTATATAATTATAATTATATATTATATAATAAATATTATATACGCACATATATATATTTTATACATATAAGGTGCTTAAAGAAGTGGCTCACAGCAATCTCCCAGGAACCCTTAGCTCTTTTATTGGTGGCCACACACCCATTCTTATCAGGCCCAGCCTCCCTGCAGTGCTCTAGCCTGAGACAGGCTGGGCCATCTCTGTCCCCTGCACATGGCGTGATGCCAAACCTCTTCACCTTTGCCTATGCTGCTCCCTTTTCCAGGCTGACCTTCCTCAAATCCTATGCCTGCTTGCCCAAATCCTTCTCTTCTACAAAGGCTCAGTTCAAAGGGTGCCCTCTCATCAAGCCTTCTAGTATTCCCACCTACCCTGTGTTCCCCCTGGAGCCTTCTCTCTCCCTGCTTGGCTCTATAGCAGCCCACTTCCTTGGACTTATCACTTTCTGCCTTACATTATAGTCATGCATGCCCTTGACCTTCTGTCATTCAGACTGCATGTTTCTTGGCAGCATGGATGAAATCCCTCTGTCCCCTTTGGTGTCTGCCACGAGGACTGACATATAGTGGTACCAAATGCATGTTGGCTGAATGAACCAGGTCATATTAGGAACCCTTTGCAGTGACACTGTCCCTTCCCATTTTTGAAGTTTGCTCCATTGTTGCATGAAAATCGAAGCATTCTCTCAACGGGTAGAAAAGTGGCTAGACTCCCTGCACTCTCAGGGTCACGGCAGTGCCTGGAGGAAGGCAAGATGGTCATGGCTTTATGAGAAGTCAGGGTCTCAGGCTGGGTGGTGTTAATGAACACAGGGTTGATCATGCCATCTTAGAGGGCACCTGAAGCTACAGCCCCCTCTCAACATGTGCCACATACCTCCCCAGCTCCTCATCACCTGTCTCAGAGCCCAAGTTTTAATTTGAAGTGCAGTGTCTGACCCAACTGAAATGGAATGCAGGGAAGGTCGAATCCTATTAAGTCACCAGATCATAAAGCAGAAAGGTATAAAGTTGACAAATTGCTTCTCCCAGTGGCAGCAGCTGTGAGGCACTCAGCGAGCCTGGGCTCTGACCCAGGAAAGGGCCAACAGATATCCCCTTCTATTTCCTTGGAACTGGTCTCAATGTGCAACTAACTCCCTTTCCAGAGTGAAAGGGCTTAATTGTTTAACAGGTAAATGTTTCATATCCTTCCCTGTATTTTATTTTCCAATTGAAATAGAGCCTGGGGGTACCAGGTCATGCCAGCCTGGGCATATGGATAATAAGTCCACAGTAACCCTTAAAAAAGGGAATTCTGCTCATTGTGCACCAACTTAAAATTGCACAAATCTCAGCATCCTGCCCTTTTTCCCCACAGACAGTCCTGGGAGGAGCTGAGGCTGTCAATCATGGGTCCCTGCAAAGAGTTGCCTTTGCTCCATTGGGGTATGCACCATGAACCTCTTCTCATGCTCTGTGAGCCAAGGTGATGTTTCCAGGAGGAGAGAAATTGAAGAAGGGAGGCACACACTTTGCACATTTCACCTACGTTATCCCACAGAATCCTCCCTGCCATGTAATGTCAATATCATGGTCTCCATTGTAAAAACAAGCCAAGAAATGTCCAGCAAGGATAATTACTCACCCAAGGTCAAACTGCTAGTATCAGGTTAAGTTAGGATACAGTGTTCAGAGTCTTCCTGATTAAAGATCATATTTAGTCCATTATACAACACACTTTCCCTTGTTGCCTCCAAAGCCCTCATTCTAGCCCAGAATTGCCTCACTGAAATATAACAAGCAGCATCCTCCATCTGACGTGTACTTTCCTTGTCCTCACAATAAAATCATCCATTCCATTCCTTTTAATGAACCTTTAAACTTTCTAGAAACACACTCCTAAGAGTATTGTCAAGAAAGCTATGCTATCGGTCCCTAGGTTTCAGTATTGGTCTGGAGCCCATTTGACTAAGGGAGCTCTTACTCTCGGCTTCACTGTGATGCTGACTGTCCCCCACCATTACTACCCCACCTCAGCTCCTGCACATGTTCCCCAGTTCTCATCTCAGGCCCCTTGGTCTGATAAGCTATTCGGAAAAGCTTCTTCCACTGAACTGCAAACTTTGCTAAATAAAATTTTGAAATGGTACTCCCAGGCTCACATACCACAGCTAAGGGATACTTTTTCCACCTAAGCCCACTAGTGAAGCTTGGTAAACCTGTGTTTCCTCACCTGTCAAAGGGGCAGTAAGCATACCTCCCTCCATGGGATGTTTTATAGGTTCAATGTCGGTCATGTCTTAGGCATATAAAATGCTCAGTAGTAACTAGTACAGAATAAAAGCTCAATATGTTAGGCCCCATCTTCCTCCTCATCAGCTGCTCTCCCTGGTCTGAAGTTGCTCATGTTGAGCATCTCCACTTCTTGCTGCAGTGGAAGATTAAAGGATCGGTTTGGGCAGGAGGTTGGGGGACATACACAGGGTTAAGTAGCCCTGGGCTCCCCTCATGTTTGTCAGAAACTAAGATAACCCTCTCATTCAGACCAGAGAAAGGACCCAACATCAGCCACATAAACTCAGTGCTGCTCACATTGAAGGAGACGAATGTGCCCAACTCTCTTACTTTGAGGCTCCAATCTTTCTAGGGAAGACTTTCAAGATGACCCATCCCTCTGGCCCTCCAGATACTGGAATCCACTGGGGAAACCTTGTCTTCTCAAAGAAAATAGAGACAGAATTGGGGCCACTGCTCTACTGACCAGCTCTTTCTCCCTTCCTAATTTCCCTATTGTAGTTAATTACCATAGGCGAGAATATCCATTCTTTCATCCATACTTATTAGCTCATTATTCAAATAGATTGTTTAACTCTACCCAGGAGATTCTAAGTTCTGAGTTCTTTTAGAATTATTTTGTAATGTTTTAAAACAGAAACTTCATAAGAAAAAGTAATATTCCAACTCTGTTAGATATGTTGGATAAAAGCTGATGTTTCTATCCATTCTACTGCAGTCTTTGCATTCCTTTATGCCATAAGAATCTACCATGGCCTTATATACCAGGCAATTTTCTAGGAGTAAAGGATAGAGGCAGTTATGCAAATAAATTCAGTGCAGATCCCAGAATCAGAATGGAAGTATTTGCGTGGTGTGGAAAAAGCACGGGGAAGGGTGAGATCAAGTCCTCCTGAAGGAAGAATAACTCCAAGTCATTCTACTCTTAGAAAATATCTTCCTCTTTCAAGTTGTGGCTCATGAATCACCTTCACTGGGAAGCCTTTCCCATTAACAATTTAAAGTTTTAGAAAAGTACAGTAAATTCCAGAGACTGGGAACAGGGTCACTGAATTTCATCTGAATTTCTTCTTGACAGATTTGGAAACACAGTTGCCTTGAGCATGAGGAAGAAGAATCTAGGAAACCCTTCAACAGCATAACAAATATAAACAAGAAACTCCCCAACTCTTTGGGAGTTTCGATGGTCTTGGAAATTTACAGGCAGACCACATTCTGATGCTCCTCCACTTCTACTGTAAGTGGTAGTCGGGGGTTCTTTGCTGGGGAAAACTCAGAAAGCTTGGTCATTTGTGGCCTATCAAGTCATTATGACATTCAGCTAGTCACTCAAGATGAGAATAACTACCAACCATTTTAGCCAGGGGCTGCTTTTCTTCAGAGAGCAACAAGGAGCTTCTCAATGTTTATAAACACTCCTTTTCTTAATTTTTATAATCATTCACTATTAGTGCTTCATTTAATGCCAGAAGACATCAAGAAAAATCCCATTTCCCTTCTCATCTACACCATTCACGTGACCACACGGGCTCAAGAATTCAGATGCAGAATGAAGGAAGACACTCATGTCTGCTTAGTCAAGCTTTCACAGGTCCTAATTGGATGTAGGAAGATGTGATTATTTTCACTAGCCTGTTCTCTCTACTGAATGTAAAAGGAAAGACCCAAGACTTGTCTCTCACAAAGCACAGAATGAGGCTTTTCTCTGAAGTTCCCTTACCCACCTGGAAACCAGACCCTCAAAGAGGAAGACAGCTGTCTTCCATCTTCCCCCAGAAATTTCAATATCTATCACAGAAAAGAAGACAGAGAGCCTCAACCACACCTAGGTGGACTTTCTCACAAGAAAATGTGCGCTCCTCAGGATCATTCAAATTCCAAAGGGAAACATTTACAATTAAATTTCTGTCTGTGGGTTTACTCACTTCCCCTGAAAATCATGTACTCCTATGCCCCCTACTTTCCTCTTCCCAATGGATAGCATGTTTAAGTGTCAACCATCTAGTTTTTTTCTGGAGTTTTCATATTTTGTATGACTCCCATGCACATGTATATATGTAACAAATGTTATGTTTTTCTCTTGCTGACCTGCCTTTTGTTATCAGAGTTTCAGCTATGACTTTTTATTACGGGAAGGAAAGTAATCACCCCCTTACCACTTGTACACAACCAAACTCCACATCCTAAAATTCAATTATCACTGAACTTCACAATGCAGCAAGGCCCAGTCTTATCATCTCTCCCCTCCAATATCTTCCTCCCTGTGTCTCTTATATTGGTAAAGATTGCCATTTTTCTTCAACAACCAGCATGCCATTTTACAGCTCTCCCTCACATCATCCCCAGTTTTCTTGGATACATCTTCTTAAGATCAATAATACTGTACCTACCACATTTTGTCTACCCTCACTGCTACAACATGGTCCAACTCCTTAACACTTTATGCATAAATTCCTTGACTAGATTTTCCAAAGCATTCTCCCATCATAAGCTTTATCTGCTCCTCCCAATCTTTCCCAGTTGTCATAATAAACTTTCTCCAATGTAAATCTAAGCCACTAAAATCTTTTTTTTTTTTTTTTCATTTTGAGACAGAGTCTCACTCTGTCACCCAGGCTGGAGTGTAGTGGCACAATCTCAGCTCACTGCAACATCCACCTCCCAGGTTCAAGCGATTCTCCTGCCTCAGCCTCCCAAGTAGCTGGGATTACAGGTGCCCGCCACCACACCTGACTAGTTTTCATATTTTTAGTAGAGATGAGATTCCACCATGTTGGCCAGGTTGGTCTCGAACTCCTGACCTCAAGTGATCCACCTGCCTTGGCCTCTCATAGTGCCTAAATTACAGGCGTGAGCCACCACACCTGGCCTCACTAAAATGTTTATATTTATATCACCCATTTCCCTTTACATTGCCCATTTCCCTTCAGGATAAATCCAGGCTTCTTACACTCCCTAAAGACCCCTGCATAATCTGAACCTGGTCCTACTCTCTGCCCCCTCCCCAAATGTACTCTAGCCTCTGACGTATGGAAATATGTACACCCCTTTACCATCAACCTTCTTTTGCTATTTTGGTTTTATGTTTCTGTGGCAAATGCCTTACAGCAGGATTGGGTTTTATCTCTAAAGGTGAGAATCGCTGTCTTCTAAGTGAAATTAACTCATTCATAGTATAAGTATTTTGACTTACTGAAACCAACATTCTCTATTTGCCACTCTTTCTGGTCATTTTCTTATCCTTTGCTCCTTCCTTAAGTTCTATTGCCTGGGGTTCCTCTGCTTTTCTTCCTTAGGCCTAGGTCTTTAGTGGTCTGGGGGTTTGTAGTCTTGATCTGTTTTTCTAATTTTTAACCTTACGTATTTTAATAAAAATACTTAAATGTAGGCAAATCTGAACAATTTTAGAGATGATCAGCATCTATATTCTCCACATAACAAAACAAATCTCAGCATGCTGTAAATTCCATCTGCCTCCTTTACCCATCCCCAACTTATTGTATATTGAAATCAGCAGAGATACTTTAGTCAGAAAATTAATTTTTAAAAACTCAAGACATTTAAAATTAAGAATTTTTTTCTGGTTTGTTTGTTCACCATTGTTTCCTTTATCTGACTTCTTTCTCTTAGGTTTATTTTTTCCCCTTGTTGTTAATTAGTTTCAAGGAGATCTGCTCATGGTAAATTTTCCAAATCTTTGCATATCAGAAAATCTGTTGATTTTACTCTCAAACTTAAATCATGCTTTTACTGGGTATAGTGATCCAGATTCAACATTAATTATCTCCCTGACATTTGAAAATATTGCTCCATTATCTGCTGTATTCATCGCTGCTGCTGAGAAGTCTGTTGTCAACCTGATTCACATCACTTTATAAGTAATTTGTCCACCTACTCCACCATACCTCACTCCAGAAGCTTTCAGAATTTTCTTTAGTGACTTAAGATTTTATCACAGTGTCTTGCATGGATTTAATTATCCATTTATTCTTTTCTACATGACATGAAAGAATATTTTTCAGCCTAGTAACTTATTGGATTGTTAAATTCTATGAATTTGCTTTCCATTATGTGTTTGAATTATTGCTGGGTCCATTCTGCTATCCAATTCATGTGCTGGTGTTTCTTGTTTCAACAAACCAATTTTTAATACCTTGGATCTCTACTTATTCAGGCTGTGTTTATTAGGGGCTGCCAAACTGAGCTCTAAAAGGCATTCTCATTAAATGGAAAAGTTATACTAAAATGAGCTGTTATCTGAGATGAGTAGGTCTGAAACGAATGTGTATAATTTAATGCATCTAGTTTACACTATGCAAGGTTGTGAAAGGCCTGGGCAATTCATGGTTTTAAGTCCTCAGATAGAGCAAGGGAAGGCGGGGAAACTGTAGATCTGGTTGAATTTCTGACCATGTTCTTCTGTGCTGACCATTCAAAGACTCCTCCCTTTCAAACCTTTGAAGTCAAGGTACAACTGGTCATACGTATACAAACCTCTGAGAAAAGTGAATGACAAATCTATAGTGGTGAGGTTTCATTAACTTGTAAAGAGAGTGCAGTGTTGACTTTAGCTCCTGTTTATTCTAACAAATGTGTCATCTTTATGTCAAAGTTCCTTTGTTCTTTCTGTAGCATTCTACCCCTCCCTCCACTGCCTGGCTTTATTTAGGTCTACAGAGAAGATAAGTGGATGACCTGCCACGAGCAACCATACACCGCAAAGAGCACCTTACTGTAAAAATATGCTAGATATATTTAGTGCTGCTTAATTAGAATTAGCTATCTTGAATTCATTTCCCTTTCTTTATGATGAGGTTTTAAATAAAAACCCAAACACTCTATGTTTGTATTTATTGCAGGGCTTGAATTAGGTTGAAATCTGGATTCTCTCACCTTGAGCAAGATGTGTTACTACTCAGCCTCAGTTTTCTTATCTGCAATCTCAAGAAAATAATGTTTTCCTCACAAGGATGCTGGAAGGATTGTAAAGACACGAAGATAGTTGGGCTGTAGACTTCAATACACTCTAACAAAACAAAAAAGGCTATGTTTCCATAGCAAGTTCAATGCATCCACACTCATACGCTTAATAATTGAACTAGCACTTCCCAGGGGCATACAGTGCATATGAGCCAGGGAGAGTACCCACATGGCTTCATTTTTGGAATTCTATGACTTTTGGGTATTCACGTTCTCAACCAAACCATTATGTCACCCTAGGATTTGCATTTAATACCTAGTCTCATACTGAACTGGTAAATGACTTTGAACTCCTTAAAAAAGCAATGAGCTCCAAATAACAAAAGCAATGTGTTAGAAGATGTTATTATTAACTCCCTAGCCATTTTTCAGAGTGTCAGACTCCATCCTCCCAAGGAGCAGGGAGTCTAATATTGGTACAAATTCCCTGGATCTTGACATTTAGTTTCAGAGTTTTAATTGACTCCAGACTCACACATCATGTGTCTCATGAAAGACAACAGTCATCTGCACGATCTCATCACCATCTGCCCCCTAAACCATCTGAAACTCTGGGGACTCCAAGGGAAAAGTAGAGAGAGAATTTGTCAAATCATTAGCACCCTATTTTCAGAGGCCCTCTAAAAGGTGCAAGTGGCAATATTTGCCTGAGTCTGTGATCAAGTCCCTCAGCAGCCAAGAGCATGTATTCTCTAAAGTTTATTCTAAAAAATAATTTTAAAAGTTTATATGCTAATAATTCTGGCCTTCACTACCCTTTCTGGTCAAGGTATTATCCCTCACCTGACAAAACAGGAAAAATTGAAAACGAAGCACAGATAGCTGTAGTCTTCTAATATAAAAGAAATGGAAAGAAACGGATATTAATTTAGCAAATCTAATGCTTACCACTTGCTTTTACTGGCACAAAAGCCACACACACCTACACACTCACACACTACAGATATAGAAAGATCTAGACAGAGACACAGACATAGATGTGGATGTACATTTTCCCCTCAATATAATCATTTGAGGTAGATGCAATCATCTCATTAATAGGTGTGCAAACAGGCACAGAGCAAGACAAACCTAAAACCCCCATGTTCATCCTTAGCCCTTAGCTAAGTAATCATGCATTCTTAGCTATTGATTCTCCATTTCATGGTTGGAAACTATACTGTTTTGTTCATTCCTGTATCCCTCTGCCTGGCAGAGAGTCTGGCAATAGTACATGGTCAATGAAATTTTGTGGAACGAATAAAGAGCAGGCTATAATATGGTACCAACACAACAAGTTATAGAGACAGGCTTTATAGACAGGAGCTCAAATTTATTGACCACCTACTATCTTCCAGACCCTCTGCTGGGCAGAAAGATACAGAGATGAATGGAACAGATATAGTTCCTGACCATCTAACGGGAGAAGTAATAACTAAGACTATACTATTGCTTGGCTGAAGGATATGGAAGAAAGGAAAAGGCCACCATGAGGGAGATGATACAGAACTGAGAGAAGGGATGGGTAGGTGCTATCCAGCCCCAAATTAGATATCAGAGTTTGGGAAATCCTATCTCTCAGGAGGTCATTCTGACCTGTTGTCACACTGACTACCTTGAACGTTATGCTCAAGATTTTGTTTCCTCTGGGACACAAACATACACACACGTACATGTTGCATTTCCTAGAGTCTGGGGTCACCGGATTTAGCAAATAAAAATGCAGGATTTCCAATTAAATTTGAATTTCAGATAAACAAATTTTTAGTATAAGTATGTCTTAATATATGAGACGTACTTACACTAAAAAAATTATATGTCTGAATATATGAGACACACATATACTAAAAAATTATCCTTTGTTTATCTGAAATTCAAAACTGGTTGGACAAATTTTATTTTGGGAATCATTCAATAATTTTAAAGTGAAATAGGATAAAATGCAGACTTTATTAATATAGAGATTGTAGGCCTAAGTTTTACTGAATGTTAATTAGACATGTTAATTTTTGAGAAGAGCTAACTTTCAAAGATGAGAACAGTATCTTCCCAACCTCTGTCTGTCATGGTTAATCCATGAAGATCACAGAACGCCAAGTCTAGTATGTAAAAAGCACTCAGTATCAATATGGTTGTTTACTTAATTTCATTATTGCCAGTGGTGTCCTCATTAACGGATTCATTACACCAATATCTAGTGAACCTTTCTGTTTTCTAGGCACTGTGCTAAAGTTTTTTACATACATCATCTCTCTCAATCCTTCCAGCATCCCTGTGAGGAAAACATTATTTTCTTGAGATTACAGATGAGAAAACTGAGGCTGAGTAGTAACACATCTTGCTCAAGGTGAGAGAATCCAGATTTCATCCTAATTCAAGCCGTGTAATAAATACAAACATAGAGTGTTTGAGTTTTTATTTAAAACCTCATCATAAAGAAAGGGAAATGAATTCAATGAATTAGCTAATTCTAATTAAGTGGCACTAAATATATCTAGCATATTTTTACAGTAAGATGCTCTTTGTGGTGTATGGTTGCTCGTGACAGGTCACCCACTTATCTTCTCTGTAGACCTAAATAAAGCCAGGCAGTGGAGGGAGGGGTAGAATGCTACAGAAAGAACAAAGGAACTTTGACATAAAGATGGCACATTTGTTAGAATAAACAGCAGCTAAAGTCAACAATGCGTTCCAGGCCTCAGAGTGTGCTCTAGGGTCCCAAGACCAGAAAGAGGATAAACAGAAGGAATAAAAGACAGTTGTCATCCAATAGCATTGCCCTTAGGTGCAGGAAAAAGACACCACCCCAAGGCATAAATGGACTCCAGTTCTCTGGCACATCCTTTAAGCTACTTGCCCTCCAGTGTGATATTGATCCAGCAGCTAAACACGAAAGGATCTTAAAGAGGGACAGACAAAGTCTGTAAAGTGCTGGGTTGTTCTTTCAGTATTTGAGTTTCTGGACTGGGAAAACATGTTGCATGGGGCAGGAGACACAGCTGCAACAGCCTGCAAAGCTCTTCTGGTTAAGTGTGGATAATAAAAACAACAACAAAATCTACATCCCCAGTGTATAATTTCCAAAGCTCCCTGTAGTGTAAGTATGATATTCATAATTACACTCATTTTGCTGCTGAGGTCCCAGAAGACCTGAGCGATTGGTTATGCAACTCCTCCAAAGTTTCACAGAAGCAGGTCGACAGGAGAGCCGTAGACAGAAGACAGGTACAGGGAGGTGCTGGATGTCAGGCCATTGGGTCCAGTCCCCTGCCCAAAGTGTCAAAGGCCTTGTAAAGAACACTTGCATGCATCTGTCTTTATTTTCTGTTCCCTCTCTCCTTATTGCAGAAGAGCCTACCCAAGGCCAATTTCTCCACTGCTGCACCCAAAGTCCATACTCCTTCACTTATCCATACACATCACCCCAAATATTAACTCTCCCAGCATCATCCATTGCACCTTCGCTATTTGATCATCTCCATCAGCATATAAACATGCTGCTATATTTACAATCACACACACACACACACACACAGAGTGGGTGAACCTTCTTCTGACCCCCATCTTCCTCCAGTTCTGCCCTACTTGCCTATTCCTCTAATATAGAAAAGATGGGTCTCTGTATGGATAGAGGATTAGATAGATAGATATGTGAGAAAACAAATCTATTAAAAGATTAATGATATAATCTAAATAGTGTGTATGTGGGTATACACTGTGTACTTCTTTCTTTCAAGCTTTCTGTGTGTTTGAAATTTTTCTAAGTGAAATATTGGGGGAAAAGCTGTCTCTATTTCCTCTCACCCTTTTCTTTCTATTCTCTCTAGAAACTACTCCAATATGTCTTTCATCCTCATTTCTTGTCAAAGTCTCCAATGACTTTTGTGTTGCTAATGCAGTGGCCACTCTCCCAAGCCTCATACTGATACATGGGCAGGCATTTGACACAGGTGGTTACTTCCTTCTCCTCCACTCAACCGCACTCAACTTCTGGGAGGTCACTCTGTCTTGGTCTCCCTCCTAGGGAGACCAAACATCTCCCTCCCCAAAACCTCCCCTAACATCTAGACTATAGTGAGCCACAGGACTCATTCCCAGACCCCTTTTCTATTCACACTCCCATGCTGAGCTCACCCAGTCTCATGACTTTAAATGTATCTTTGCAGATGACCTCCAAATATATACCTTTAACCCAGACTTCTCCCCTGAACTCTGAACTCTAATATCTAACTGCCTATTCTACATCCTCACTTCAAGGTCAAACAGGCATCCCAATCTTAAGATGTTCAAAGTCAAACTCTTTGTTTTATATCAGCCCCTCCACCCTCACCCAAATCTACTTATCCCCACAGAGACCTCCATGTAAATATGTCCAAGCTGGCCCGCTTGAAGGATGGTAGGCCATGCAGAAGAAAACCAAGGCACCCAGAAGGACATCCTGCCAACTGCGAGATGTTTGAGTGAGACCATTCTGTCAGCCAGTCACCAGCCAGCCAACCAGCTAATGACAGATGCATGCATAGGCTCCAGAGAGATCAGCTGAGTTGTCCCAGACTACAAGAACCAGCCAACCCGCAGAATTACAAGAACAATAAAAGGTTGTTTTCTTAAGCCACTAAGATTTAGGATGGTTTGTTTCTTAAAAAAAAAAAAAAAAATGAAGAACACCTGAAATATTCTAGAAACTATGTGTAATTTTAAGGTGAAAGAGTCACTCATAAAGAAAGATAATTACCTAACTCTTTAAATGCATGCATTGGGAGCTGGCCTTGTCACAGTTCCTTGAATATATCCCTTATTTACTTGAATATAGGCTTTTAAACTGCCCCCATTTTCTCACCCAGGAAACTTCTCATGGTAGGACAGCTTCTTCCAACTATCTTGAAAACTCTTGAGTAGAGCTTTTTGCACGCTCTAAGTTGTTGAGATGTCTAAGTTGATACATTCCTTTCTTACATAAACTTCAGACAAGGAAAAGAGACAGATCTGCACAAATGTGCCCTCTGTTTTCATGTTTAATGATGCCATGTGATATCTCCTGGATTGTAAGTCTGATTAGTGTGGTTCACGTGGCTAACACCCCTCTATCATGTATTGATTCACTTTTGAGATTGGATCAAAGTATGCTGAATTATTAAAGACTTAATTTTTGACTCTGGGTTGGATGCAAATATGTTTTCAAAGTGCATTATATTTTAAAAATTCTTCCAGAACTTCATTAGGAAGCCACTGAAATGTACCAATTTTTGATTTGATCTGTCAGAGTAGCCTGAGGATGTAGCAACTACATAGGCCCCAGATCCTGACCCAGAGCAGTTAAACTTAACAAAATCTTGCTAGTGAATCAGCTGCCTGCTCTGATTGCTAGAGTAAAATTAACAATTCTCAAGGGCCTAGAGAAACCCTGAAGATAGCTACATCCATTTCTTTTTCCTCTTCGTATTTGCTTACCTCCCTCCTATCACACTCTGCTCTCATGGAAGGAGCCAGGCCTGTGGAAACCCCTGCTCGAACTCCTCCCAGCTAGCCTCAAGTACATGATTCTCACCTGTGCCCCCAAACTTTTCTGTATGACACCTGGTTAATTCTTAATATATGGCATTGCCATTGTAAGTTTATCAGCCATCTGCCCTACTAGCCTGGTATTCTGTAAGGTCAAGTACCGAGTCTTATTTACATCTGCACACCCTATACCCAGCAAGGGGTTCTGCACAACGTGGGTGCTCCAAATAGGCTTATTGATTGAATGAAATCAACAGACTCATGTCTCATTATCGAATATAGATCTCCCCCAAGAAGCTTGTGAACTGATGAAAATTATACAAGTGTTTGTTACCATCGTCATCATCATCATCATCACCACTGACTTCATTTCAGTAGCTGTGTTTCCTGGATTTAATTTGTTTCCCCAATCTTCATTATCTAGTTAGCAGTGGGAGGCTGGGCAGAAATCCAGGCCTCCTGGCTCCAAGTCTGTTCATGTTCCCTCATAACATTTTAACCATTAGCCTGATAGAGACCTGCAGCGGTCAACATAGCAAGAGCACAGAGAGGATTCTAGGATCACACAGCCAGGCCATGGCCCCAAGTAATGTGTGGGAAGAAAGTTATCACTCAGAAAACAATTACCCTGTCCCATGGCCGGGGCGGTGGCTGATGCCTATAATCCCAGCACTTTGGGAGGCTGAGGCTGACAGATCACTTGAGGTTAGGAGTTCGAGACCAGTCTGGCCAACATGGCAAAACCCCATCTCTACTAAAAAAAAATACAAAAATCAGCCCAGCATGGTGGCTCACGCCTGTAATCCCAGCTACTTGGGAGGCTGAAGCACGAATCACTTGAACCTGGGAGGCGGAGTTTGCAGGGAGCCAAGATGGTGCCTCTGCACTACAGCCTGGGCCACAGAGCAAGACACTGTCTCAAAAAAAAAAAAAAAAAAAAAAAAAAATTACCCTGTCCCATCACTCTGCTCATCACTCTATTATTTTACCTTTTTAAAATTCTCACAAAAACATTGTGAGGCAGGTAATAATTTTTCAGATGAGGAAATAATGGCAGTGAATTTTCTATGGCAGGCAGCAAATCAGTGGCTTGACCACGCAACACCATTCAGCCAACTCGCTATCCTAGATGTCTAAAGATGTCTCTACCTAGCTCAAGAAGACTTTCTCAAAGCCCTACTTCCAGGCACAATAGAAAACATGATATCTATTTACAAGGCCAACGTTACTGGAGGCTGAGGAAAGAAGAGGCTGGTATTAGGAAAAATAGACAAAAAAAAATTCAGTTTTTTAGGACCAAGCAGTTCTTCAAAACAAAAGGGAAACTCAAGTAGATATATTTCGTGAATATGAATCTGTCATTATTCAAAGTGTCTGAGCCTTTTAACGTGAGAAGTTTTAATGCTGTGTGTGACTCTGCTCCTGGACCGAGCATTTCATAGACAAACACCTGGAGAGTGTGGCTAACATGGGAGGAAGATATCTCCTCAAGGTGGCATGGGGCATCCAAATATTGCATGGAATATACTTATACTAAAAAATTATTTTTCATTTATCTGAAATTACAATGTAACCTAGTATCCTGCATTTTTATGTTCTAAATCTGGCAACCCTACATAGGTATATTTTTGACAGTGAGGACGCTCTACCAGAAGACGGGTGCTCCTGTGTCATTGATCAGAACTGAGACCCATGTCCATGCTGGCTCCAACCTTCAGCAAGGGGGTGGAGCCTGCATAGTGACTTGGATCACTATGGATCATCCCTTTGGGCCTCCTGGAGAACACGGACATGAGTTAAAATGAAGGGCTTAGGAGACATAGAAGGGGAAATGGGAGTCGGAAATGCAATCAGCCCCATTACCATCATCATTACAGGGGCTCCAGAGCTGACACCCTCCTTTCCAGCCCACGTATCTTAGTTCTTGGTCTGACCTTGCTATGGAGGGAGTTGGATACATGAAGTGGGATGACTGCCAGGCTGCATCTCTCTTTACTTCTTGGCATGTCCTTCAGCAATGACTGCTTCACATCCTTCATGTTTTTCAGGATGATGCCTCAATGGTCCTGCTGTGGAAGGAAAGCTGCTCTGCAGGAGTCAGAAGACATTATTCTCTGAGTGGTGGATTCAGCTCTGGATCACGTATACCCGTGGGCAAGCAAGCTTGGCTTTCGAGTCCTCTCTCAACTCCCCTGCAAAAGGGAGTGTTCCTTGTAAAGAACTTAAAGTCCCTTTTCACTCCAGCTATCTTTCAGCAGAGTCACGTCCTGGCTCTTCCCACCTGAATCGAGCTTTGACATTGCTTAGGAGCCTCTCATTTTTTGGATATTTTAAATCAAAATTCTAAAAAATGTCAAATATATCCTGGGCACTGTTTGGTAGGCATTGCTGATAAAAGATGCACAAAGTGTGCTGAGCACACAGTCCAAGAGAAGTGATAGACATACAAACAGCCAAGTACCACTCAGTGTGGGGCATGCCATTGTAGAATTACAGAGAACGTACTGGAGGATCTCTGAAAAAGGAGGTAGCAAATTTCTCTGTCCCAAGGAACCCGGGAGGAAGTCAGAGAGGAGGTGATTCCTGAGCTGGGTCTTTAAAGATGAGCAGGGTTTCACCAGTCAGCAAAGAGCCTGGTGTGTTAGGATAGCAAAGGGAGGCTCCATGTGAACAGAAAGAAGGTTCTGATAATGAAGAGAGGTAAACAGCCTACTTGCCTAACCATAGGGACAAAAGAACAGGATGGGCTGAGCACAGTGGCTCATGTCTGTAATCCCAGCACTTTGGGAGGCCAATGTGGGCAGATCACCTGAGGTGAGGAGTTCAAGACCAGCCTGGCCAACATGGTAAAACCCCATCTCTACTAAAAATACAAAAATTAGCAGGGTGTGGTAGTTCAGGCCTGTAATCCCAGCTACTCAGGAGGCTGAGGCAGGAGAATCACTTGAACCCAGGAGGCGGAGGTTGCAGTGAGCCAAGATTGTGCCATGCACTGCAGCCTGGAGGACAAGAGCAAAACTCTGTCTCAAAACAAAAACAAAAACAAAAACAAAAAAAGAAAACAACAACAACAAAAAAGAGCAGGATGCATCCAGCGAGTTTTGTGCACACTACAAGACAATTATTTTTAATACATTAATTCTTAAAATGCCTTTGCTGGCAGCATTAATTCACTTAGGTGATACTGAAGCTTCTTAACAAATAGCATTGCCAGCGATGCATTTCATAGTGATGTGACTCAGTATCCTAGAACAGTGCTTAAACACAATGAGAATGTGTCAACCCATACGCACTTAATTCATTCACAGTGTGGATCCCAGCAGAATGGCCAAGTTCCACAAGCAGCATTCACCCTGCCTTTCCATCTCACAGTGTTTTATAACATCGTCAACCTGAATGAGGTGCCTAGAAGGACAAGTGGTGGTTTTCAGGTTGAAAATAAGTGTCCATTCCTTCCCATGGGAAGCTGACATCTCATTTTTTAAGGGTGACATGCCATTACAAAGACGCATTGAAAGGTGAAAATTGGAGCACACTCTTGAACATCCTAAGTGGTACACGAGCTAGAAAGAAACTCTCATTAGGTGTAATGACTCTTCTACCTTGAAATGCAGGGGAAGGACGTATGCTACAAGAAAATAGAACACATGTTGGGTAAATATAAGCATGCTCTCAAAGAAACCAGAATGGACAAGGTTTCATTCGCTTCACATCTACAATAAAACAAGCCAAAATATGGAGCCATATGTAGGTGAGCTTAGGTTTAGTTAGGAGCTTTCTTTCAAAAATGACCATGGCACAGTGCAAAAAGTGCCTACATTGGAGGGAGGGGGGCATTCTGATTTTTAGCAAGTGCCATTTAGTTATCATTGTCCTCATCATTGGCAGGGTCTGGGAATGACATTCGCCTGCCTTGAGCAAGCTAAGAGCTTTCTTTGAAAAAGCATCCCCAAGTGAAGGGGCTTTATAATCTCCACACTGAGGTCAGGAAACTGAGAAAGATGGCAAGACATCGTACCTAGGATTACACAGCTAGAGCTTGATTGCACCTCAGTAAGTCCAGGTTTCCCTGAAACCAAATGGAGCATCTTTCCATGGAAACCTAGAAAAAGTAACATATTTTCTCAAGTTCACCAGACCCTGGAGGGGTTGCAACTTGAACCAGGAACCCCATTTTTCTGGCTGAGTTCAGATTCTTCCCTTTCAGTTTGCTGGGAATAGCTCCCTCTCTTAAACCTCCTGACCATTTTAAACTTTTGGTCAACTTTCCTTCAACAACTCTAGTCTCTGGTATTTCTGCTTTCTATGTGAAAGGGAATAACTTGATAACCTTTAAAATCCTTCTTTAGAGAAGAAAGAACTAGCCATTTATATTCCTGCTGCAATCCTCATGGCTCTGCCTGCCTCTGAACTGGCTTTCTTGGCTCCGTGATCCTTAGGCTTTGTTAACAACCTCTCTTTGAGGTTAGGGTGAGGAATAGTAATTCAGCTATTCACAGGGGCTGCTGGAGGCAAGCCTGAAAGGTGTCCAGAGAGCCAGCAGGCACGGGCCATGCTTTCAATGGACAAGGGCAAGAGTCAAGAGTCATTTCCCCATGTGGTATGTATGTGAGTGTGAGAAAGAAAGAGAGAGAGATGAGAGAGACAGAAGAGAGATTATGGGAGGGGCAGGAAAACATCAATATATGCCCTTCCAAAATAAATTTAACTTCTAGGTAGAATCTTAGTTTCCAAATAGGCTTATGGAATCCTCACTTTTTCCAATTTCAAAGCTTCCTGTTGCATCCAGCGTTTCTAGAAACACTCCTTTGTAGAACAGCAGCACTGTAAGAACAAAGGGACACCATAAAATAGAAATTGGGACACAACGCATTCTTTTCCAAACAGCAATATATCAAAGGCTTGGTTCTCATCCCACAAGGGGAGAGGCTCCTAAGGTTAGGCATGGTTTGAGTATTGCCTTCCCACCTGCATGCTATGATCTGAGAAAATATAAAAACCCAGCACAGAATTGCCAGCACTCTGAATGTGTAAGGAAGACTAAGACCAAAACTCCAAGAGTCGTCCCTGTGGGTGGCTGGCATGTCAGAACTCAGTGACCCCATGCTCTGACTCTAGCTTTTTATTTTCCCTTTGGGGCAACCCAATTTGCTTCACATTGACACCATTACAACAGACTCTAGGCTGTGGTGTCTTGTTTTCTATTTAAGATCTCTGTCCAGGCATTCATCTCTTCCTTTGTTCCTTTTCATATAGTTAAGACAGGCTCTCTTTTCCAGAAGACTTTATTGAACCCTAAAAGATGAAGAATGGAACATAAACTCAGTGAACATAAAGGCCATTAAAGTGAGCATGGGTTTGGGGGGAAAGGGAATCTGTTTTTACCTGCATGTTTCTCTCTTGTGAAACTCCTTTAAGCAGTGACACAAAAGAAGACCTTATGCCAAGTTCCAACTTGAAGCTCATCAGTTAAGGCTTGGATGCATAATGTATACATACCATGGAATATTATTCAGCCTTAAAAAAGGAAGGAAATTCTGATATATTCTACAACATGGATGAACCTTGAGGACATTATGCTGAGTAAAAATAATGCACTCAGAAAAAAAACAAATAGTGTATGATTCCACTTAAATGAGGTACTTAGAGCAGTCAAATTCATAGAGACAGAGAGGAGAATGATGGCTGCTAGGGGCTGGGGGAGAGGGAGAAATTGGGAATTACTATTGAATAGGTACAGTTTCACTGAAGTCACTTTAAAACAATTATGGGTTAACCATCTTAACACTGAAAAAGTGGCTAAGATTGTAAATTTTATCCTATATGTATTTTACCACAATTAATTTTTTTAATTGAAAATGTTGAGTGTATTTCAACAATGATTTCGACTTTTCAGCCTGGTTCCATTGCCTTCATTGATGTTGGAATCTTCAGATCCCACCAATAGGGATCTAAACTACAAGTTATTTTCTCGACCTTGTTAGAGACAAATGAGATTCTTTATTAAATGATTTAAACTGATTTTTTTTCAACTAACTTTTAGGTTTAAACAATCAAACTCACTACTCCAGTGAGTGTTTGTCATTCAAATTAAGAATTAGCCAGGCATGGTGGCTCATGCCTATAATCCTAGCACTTTGGGAGGCCAAGGCAGGTGGATCACCTGAGGTCAGGAGTTTGAGACCAGCCTGGCCAATGTGGTGAAACCCTGTCTCCACTAAAAATACAAAAATTATTGGGGCATGGTGGTGGGCGCCTGTAATCCCAGCTATTCAGGAGGCTGAGGCAGGAGAATCACTTGAACCCGGGAGGCAGAGGTTGCAGTGAGCTGAAGTAGCGCCATCGCACTCCAGCCTGGGCAAAAAGAGCAAAACTCCATTAAAAAAAAAAAAAAAAAAAATTAAGGATGCCTGTCAGGGTAAGCACAAAACAGAACTGAGGCACTGTGGCATGAATGACTTTCAAGAAGGTAACACCAAATGAAGAGCTGGAAAGAAGATCTGCCTTCCTTTCTATGAGTTAATTATCTTGTCCGTTTCTTTTTCTAGTCATTTAATAAATAATATTTTGCTTATCGACCTTTTTTAAAATCTTGGAACAATAAGAGAGATACTTTCATTTCTTCATCCAATTTCAAAGTCTGGAGAAAAAAAGACATGCATGCACAACTAAGTAATCAACGTTAGATTCTGCTGACATTTATTAAGCTCCTACAGTAGGCTAGGAAACAGGCACATAAAACTACATGGCCATGAGTTTCTAATTTAATTCTGTTTCCTAACCAAACTGAATCAAAAGGCTATTGTTTTTCCCACATCTTCAACAATTCATTTAATTCCTGTATTAATCTATGTTTCGAAACACCCACCCTGGTCATCCCTTATCCTGTCTCACCAAAATTATTACTCCTGCTCTGTTGCAGCCACACATTTTTGTGGACTTCCATGGACAGGTTAGGGGGAAGAGATTTGGATGTCATCATGATCAGTAGATGACTGCTCAAGAATATAGATACTAAGACCACAGGAGGGGTGAGGAAGGAGCCTTGAAGATCCCCAGAACCCAAAGAAGTGGGCAGAGAAATAGAAGGACCAGAAGAGAGAGGAGGGAATTACCAAATTCAAAGTACAAGTTTGGAGAGAAAATGATGAGCAACAACATCTAATGTTGCCAAGTAAGATGAGGAGTAATGAGTCCTTCAGCTGTGATACTTGGGAGGTTCCTTGGATTTTAGAAAATCACTGCCTTAGACTCGGGGTGGTGAAAGTGATAGTGACACATGAGTAGAATGCAGTACAATGAAGCAAATAAATGTGGATAGTTCTCTTAAGACAATTGACCCGGAAATGAATGAGGCATCTCAAAGAAGAGTAGTCTCAAAGGGAGATGAATGGATCCAACGTTTGGAGGTGCTTCTTGTGGCATCTGTTGTTGAAAGAGACTTTTGTAAATGGAGTAATTTTGAGAGAGAGCAAGAGAGAGGAAGAGAAAGAGAGAATGAGAATGAGGATATATTCAAGACTCAGGAATTAAAAATGTGGTCAGAGGAGGGAAGATTCCTAGGGTGGTGATGGGTGAAAGCCAGAACCAGGCACACACCGAATAGGAGAAAAACGCTTTTACATAGAAAAAGTGCACCAGGCTCAATTCTCCTTCTTCCATAGAGCCCTCCATCTAGACCTCAGCTCGCCTAATGCCAATCCCCTTTCTTACCGTTGCAGAGCCATGTGCAGGGTGAGTGTAGAGCAATTATTTGTAGAGAATAAGAACAGAGAGATGATGCTCTGCATGGCTCAGAAACAACTTCTGCATGAACTCCTCTTTGGAGGCCTGGGTGTGTTGAGCCAGTTCACTCCAGCGTGGGCAGCAGACACTCCAGCCCCAGCTATGTCTGCCACTCTCTGAGTCTCCTTCCTTGCCTCTCTCCTTCCCGTTTAATTTCAAACTCTCACATTTCTTGTGCATTTCTCCTCTTAAGGACAGAGACACTGGGTCATTCTGTAATGTGCTGGAAAAATCCACAATCCTTAATAAAAAGGCAGGCAGAACCTTTCTTCCCCACAGCAGGGGTAGCTGAGCAGTGCTTGGCCAGGCAGAGGGAGGGCCATCTCTTTATCCCCTCCCCTTCCCTTGTCCCCCAGGGGGTACGTTCCTGGAAGCACTAATGGTTCTTAAGTTTAGGCAGTGTCCAGCTGTGAAGTGAGGCTCCATTCTTCAAAGAAGTCAGCAGCCACCTGCTCTGCAGGAGACAGGGGAGAAATCGAACCCTCAACTAGAGAGACAGTGGGTGGTACACTCTGGCTGCTGGCTGCAGCCACCTGCCTCCCATCCGTGCAGCTGGGACTGATGGACCCAACCAAGAGGTTCAGCCCAGCCCCTGGAAGAAAAGCTGGCCCCTCCCAGAGGGCATGACTTCCTACTTGTCAACCTAGAACTTCACCATTGTCATTGACCCTGATCCCAAGCCTCCTCCTGAGAACTCAGTTTCTTCCTCGTGCCAATGACAGCTGCAGCCTATGTCCTAAAAAACTGAGTCCCTAGACATCTGCCGACCTAGAGATAAAGCCCTTTGTCCCCCTTGCCTTCACTGTCCCCTGTGTAGGAAATGCATCCCACCCCTACTCATGGGCCCTATTCAGGAGTCCCTGTTCCTGCTGCCTAAGCTCCCCAGTCCAAGTCACAGACAGCAGTCTCCTCCTGCAGTCTCCTTGCCTGACAACCTGCCCTGACACCACCCTAACACCGAGGGGGCCTCCTGAAGCTGACTGCTCACCTGAGCCCCACTACCTATGACCAGGCTTCCTAATTCCTCAGGTACCTCAGTGGTCCTGTCCACAGGGTGGCTGGGAGGCTGCAGTGAGATGGAGAGGTAGAGCGATGCCTCAATGCCCACACATGTCCATGGTGGGGACCATTGTTGTTGCTGGTGTTTTGCTCTTGTTGAGGGCAGATTTGGCAGCCGTGTATCCCTCACCCCCAGCTCCCACTTCAATCCTGGAGCACACAATGTGCCCCTAAGACATTGCCCAGCTGGAGACAGGCAGACAAGCCTAGATTTGAGTCCAGACAGACTTGAGTTTGAATCTAAGCTCGCTTATTATCTGTGTGACTTAGAGCAAAATCACTTAACCCCTGGAGCCTCCGTTTGTTCCTCTATAAAGCCTCCCCTGTGGGTTTCGTGGGATAATGAAATGAGATGACATAGGAAACAAACCTGGCACTTTTAGGCATTGAAAAGAACCCTGTACTCGTGCCTGTCCTGTCTTCTGGAAAAGTAGGCAGAGCCACCTGGCTTTGATCCAAGACCACCCCAGGGATTTCCCCAGGAAAAGACTTCAGATGCTTTCCCCAAAGGGAACCACAAATGCCGGCAACACACCCGAATCTGCCTCCTTCACAGGCCTGGGGATGTGTTTGATGTAATCAACAATTGCCTATGCCTGTGAGCTGAATCCCGACACATAGGCTCACTTCCGACAACGTGCATATGTTCCTCCAAATTAAATGGGAGCCTGGGGAGCAAATGACTTTTATCAGGATGTGGGGTCAAGAACTGCCCTCCTGCTCTCCTACAATGGGTTATTTACAACTGTGTGTTTCTCCCAGTGCTGCTTGTCAGCTGCTAATAGCATCCTATTAAGAAAGAACTGGAAGGAAGGACAGCAGAGGCCTCCACCAGCCCCTGCCCACTGAGAAGGGGCTGAGACAAAGTGCAGGGTGAAGTGGAAAAATTCAGGCTCTGAGGTCTGACTGCTGGGGCTTGATTTCCAGCTTACTAGTTTGGGACTCTGGGCAAGTAACTTTATCTCTTTTGAGCCTCTGTTTCTTCATCTGTAAAATGGCCATTATAACATTATGAGAGACAGCAGTGCGGCAAAGTGAATGGCATGGTGCTGACATTCCACAATGCTGAGCAACATTAAAATTAGCTGGAGTTGAATGAGCAGTACATGAGCTCTGGGGTGTTCTGTAATGGAAAGAGATGGAAGGCAATGGCAAGAGAAAGCACCTACTCTGTGCTACTTTTACATATGCTATTGTATTTAATCCTCAAAACAAGCCAAAGATGTGGGTACATTATTGCCATTCTTTTTTTCCCTCTTGAGATGGAGACTTGCTCTGTCTCCCAGGCTGGAGTGCAGTGGTGAGATCTCAGCTCACGGCAACCTCCACCTCGCAGGTTCAAGCGATTCTCCTGCCTCCACCTCCCGAGTAGCTGGGATTACAGGCACATGCCACCACACCTGGCTAATTTTTTGTATTTTTAGTAAAGACGGGGTTTCACCATGTTGGCCAGGCTGGTCTCGAACTCCTGACCTCATGATCCTCCTGCATCAGCCTCCCAAAGTGCTGGGATTATAGGCGTGAACCACCACTCCCAGCCATTATTGCCATTCTAAGGGAGATGACTGAAAGGCTCAGAGAGGTTAAGTGACAGATTGAAATCTGCATCAATAGCAAGGGATGTGCAGCCACATGCTTATGCCTCCTGAGCACCTCTTTTTGCCAGCATACTGGGGGTGCTGCAGGAGGACTGGGAATTCACAGGTGGGCTGGGCTGCTGCCTGGACAACCTTCAAAGGAGACAGGAAATGAGAAAATGGGGCTGACTCACTAAGTCAGGACACCCGTCCAGGACAAACCCGGAAGACTCATGAGCAGGCCCGCAGGCAGTTCCTCATTACCACATCCCACTGCTTGGAGCAGACAACAGCAAGGGAAGCCATCTGGAGGTTAGGTCAATGCAGCTAGGTCTGCCAGAATGATCCAGATCAAAAAGCCTGCACATTCCAGCTCAGCCTTTTTCCAGGGTCTAGCCAAGTCTCCAGCCCTTCCTGCATTCCATTCCCTGTGCCTGGAACACTCGACTTCCTTTGGTTTGGCCAGTTCCTACCTGTACTGCAGGTCTCTTGTGTAACATGCACTTCCCTGAATCCTTACTGGAATATCCAGTGTGGATGAGCTACTTGGTCCTGGGCTCTCACAGCATCCTGCATTCTGCCTGTCCTACAGACCTACTCTCTATCTGACTGGCTGCCTTCTGTCCGGGCTCTAAGCTCCAAGAGGAGAAGGACTGTGTCTGTTTTGCTACCATACAGTGTTGTTAATATCAGTATCCAATGATTTCATCATTAAAGGAGATGATGTGTGAAATCCTTAGGACACTGCATGATGATGTGTACATGGGTAAGGAGTGATGATGGAGGTGGCCCAGCTGCAGTTCTTTGCAGTATTGTAGGATATAAGCTGTTTATGGACATGCTTCTGAATTGATTCATTTGTGCATTTTTGGCACCAGGCACTGCTATACACACAAAAAATCCAACAAGTGCCAGATGATACCACAAGTGGCAGGTGATTCACTGGTGAGACAGGGTGCCCCGGGAACTCAAAGGCAAAGTGTGGATCTTTTTACCTGGAACCAGCAGGAAAGGCTTGTCTGACAAACATAAGGTGGGACTTTCTGGACATTGGAGAATCATTATAAAAGAGGCACAGGGGAGCAGTTAGTGAAATTTAAAGCAGTTCAGTTCAAGAATTATAGCATATTCACACATTTTACCAAAGCCCCAAGAACACCAACATCTTGACCATGGAGAAGGTGCAGAGGGATGGACTCAAAACTTCATCCCTGCCCTGTTTCCTTCTTGGTTGGGAGTCTAGGTTGGCTGCACTGCAACCTCTGCCTAGTGTTTAAATCCTGAGTTTTGGTGAGTATTGTTATCATTGACAGTTTCTGAGACAACTGCAGCCCTCTGCTTCCTGCTGTGGCTGAAACATGACAAATAGAGAACTTCCCTGGGGAGGGGGTTGCTTCAGGGAACCCGTCCCAGGCTGAGACTGTCTTCCTCAAACCGCCCATCTCCCCCCAGAATGCCCTTCCTTCTTATTCAGGTATGATTTTTAAAATGACCAGGCTTTGAGCTAAAAATACAAATGCTTTATGTTCCTCCATGGGGGGAAAAATAAGACAAGAGAATCTATGAAAGTAACAAGGAATTTCATCCTTCAGTGGACTTTAGAATGGATATTTTAGACTCAGCCATCCATAAACATCGGGTAATATCATACTCTTGTAGTGCAGAATGAATTCCACAGAACGGGCCACAAATCTGCATTAGACCAGCAAGGGGGGCTCTCTGCGAGCGAGCGTTCAAAGATCTAAGGGATGACTGGAACCCTCTGTGCCCAGCTAAACAGATTTCACAGGCAAGAGCCCATCAACCAAATAGCACCAACCCTGGGCAACATTCTGCTAGGCCTGTGTAGAGGGGAGAACGCAGGCCATTAGCTCGGGCAGCTGGAGTCAGCTGGGGACTTAGAGCCGAAATCCTGCTCATGTCAGACCCTGCTTGTGACCTGCCCTGGATCCCAGTGACTACACGGCTTGCAAGGCCCTGGATGACCTGGTACCAGCTGCTGCCTCTGCATGATCCTACCACCCCGCTTCAATTCTGGGATTGTGGCATCCTGTCCTCCTCTCTCCATCCTCCAGAAGCCCCAGGATACCTCACTTGCCATTCGCTGGGCCTGCCTCAGTCCTTCCCCAGGCTTTCAGTGCTGAGCTTCATCATCACACCCTCTAGGAAGCTCCCTTGATCCCCAGTATGGATTAGCTGCCTTTTCTGCAGTGACATGTTGATTCCAGGCAATAAATGCCAAGCCTTTCACATGCTCGGTGCCACCTTTCTCTCCAGCCTCGTCCTCGCCCAGGCATCCTCCCCTGCTGCATTAGCCAAGCTCCCTGATACATACTCACATCTGGGGCTTCTGCCAAACTGATGAGTCCCTCTTCCCTGAGCCTGCCAAGATCCTTCTCTTGTCTGAGCCACTGTCCATGCAACGCCCCTCGGGACATCCTCACCTTTGTCAAACTGAATTAAAGAATTAAAGCCTCCTCCTCAGCCTCCTTCAAAAATCAGCTCAAATATCACTTCTTCCCAGAAGCCTCCCCTTACCAGGACCTGCAGAACTGTTCTCCCCTACCTGTGCCCCTCCCCTTGGCCCCTGATGCCCCTCACATCTCCTCCTTGCCTCAGCAGCAGTTTACCCCCAAGCATGTCCCCAAGTGAACAGATAAGCATCTATCTCAGCTGGGCCTAAACCACCCTTAATATCTCTGGTATCTGCATAGCTCCCAACACACGGAAACTTACCACACTCTGAAATGAACAATAAAATAAAAGGGCTTCCTTCTCCTGCTTTTCTGAGCTAGTAACTTTATCAAGAAGAAGAGGCTTGCTGTGGCTGAAGGTACCATAGCCTTTACTTCTACCCCTGCACTCTCTTTAGGATCAAAGAGCAAGGCAAATACTGCCCCAAATTGATTGCGTCCAAATGCAACCATCTCCTGCCATTTTAGATTTGGGAAAAGGAGGTACAGTATGTTTCATAAAGCCAGCATCATGCTGGATTTGCAATATCTACCAAGCCCCCCTGCTAATTGTTCTACTTTCCTTATCTCTTTTACGCCTCACAACAACCTGATGAGCTAAGTTCAATTGCTCTCATCTACAGAGCAGGAAACAGACAATGAGAGTTTAGGTCTCTGCCTGGCCAGGTCACGAGAATGCTTGATCATCAAGCTGGCTTGCAGGCTTTGAGCTCCAGGGGCCTAGGTCCAGAGCTGGAGTTTGGGACTGCCACACTATCCCCACCTCTCTCCATTGGGATTTCTTCGGCACGTATTTGGATTCTGTTGGAGCTCAGAGAGATTGCACAGCCTGTACACACTTAGATCAACTTGTCAGTGGCAGGGCTCGCTCACAACAGATCTTTTTCATCCCTCCTCCCTCGACTCATGAGGCTGACAGAGTGGTATATTGGATTTCCAAAGGCATCTTTCAGTAGAAAAAATATTTTCTTTTGATCACCCTCTCTCTTCCCAAAGTTGCAAAGGTGGGAGATCAAGTTGCCAACTGGAATTCCATTCATCAAGGAGATAAATATCAGCTATCTACTCCCCCAGTGCCACCATCAAAGAGCACATGTCAGCGGGTTGGCAGCTAGTGGCTGGCAGGACAAGGAGGCCTGAGACCGAGACTGGGGAGGGGCCTGTGTTTGAATCCAGTCTCTGCTACTACCCTCCCATGTGACCTTCGGCAAGCCACATCTCCTCTTTTGGCTTTTGTTTCTCCGTCTGGAAAGCAAATGTGGGTTCCATGAACAACTAAGTTGACCAAATAAATGAACTGATGAATGAATGAATGAATGATACAGTACAATGAGCCATTTTTCTGCTCTAAGAAACTATGACTCTAAAATATTTTTCTAAAGCAGAGTTCATTCTGTTGGCCAAGCCAGAACCCCAATCATCTGCAGTAGGACCAGCATCTAAGTTTCACATTATACCCACAATCTCTCTTTAATTGAGAGGGTGATTTAAAGCACCAGGACTTTAGACCCAAAGAGCAATGTGAGGTCTGTGAATGGTAAGCCTCTCCTTTCTCTCTTCCCATTTAAACCCAGCTCCAGCTCCATTCACCCACAGGCAGCCAGCATGGTGCAAGGGGCTTTCTGCAGCTGGGGCAGTTGACTTGAGCACAGCTGACCTCTCAAGGTCTCCCCTGGCTCCAGATCCTCTGATTCAATAATAGTCCCTGTGAATAACAGATCTGCTCCCTGACACTGTGCATGATAAAGTGACCTGATACAAAGTCCTATTAAGATAAATCACATTTACGTTTAGGAAATTATATGTTTGAATCCTGTAATTTAATGTCACTGTGACGCCTGAGAGGAAGGAGAGAGAACTCAATTAGAGGCTAATTAGACCAGGCGACTCAGGAGGCCTCGGTTGGCTGTCTGCCTCTGCTGAAGGGAACTTAAGCAAAGCTACCCAAAATTCCTGCCCCTCTGCCTCAGTTTCCCCACCTTAAGATGGGGATAGTCCTTGTAAGGGAAGTAAAGGACCTTGAATAAGACAGAAAAGGTGCCAGGCACAGTGGCTCATGCCTGTAATCCCAGCACTTTGGGAGGCCGAGGCAGGCAGATCACCTGAGGTCAGAAGTTCCAGACCAGCCTGGCCAACATGGCAAAACCCCAATCCAGGCCGAGCGCAGTGGCTCATGCCTGTAATCCCGGCACTTTGGGAGGCCAAGGCGGGCGGATCACGAGGTCAGGAGATTGAGACCATCCTAACACGGTGAAACCCCGTCTCTACTAAAAAAAATGCAAAGAATCGGCCGGGTGTGGTGGCGGGCGCCTGTGGTCCCACCTACTCGGGAGGCTGAAGCAGGAGAATGGCGTGAACCCGGGAGGTGGAGCTTGCAGTGACCCGAGATCGTGCCACCGCACTCCAGCCTGGGCGACAGAGCGAGACTCCGTCTCAAAAAAAAAAAAAAAATCCAAAAATTAGCCGGGTATGGTGGCATGCGCAGGTCATCCCAGCTACTCGAGAGGCTGAGGTAGGAGAATTGCTTTAACCCGGGAAGCGGAGGTGGCAGTGAGGGGAGATCGCACCACTACACTACACTCCAGCCTGGGAGATAGAGCGAGACTCCATCTCAAAAAAAAAAAAAAAAAAAAAAAAAATCTGCTGGGGTCCATGGGTGGGCTTCAGAGGGTCTGTGAACCCTGCACCACAAAATGCAAAATCTATGTGGGAGTTATATTTACAGAGGAGTAGATCCCTCAGAGTTTCATCAGATGTTCAGAGGTAGGCAGAGCTAAAAACGCTACAAACTACTGCTTCTCTCAATCCTCCCCTTCAGCGGAAACTATTCTAACATCTCTCCTTCTCCAACCAACAGCCTTTGCTCCTTCCTGTTGTGGCCCCTCTTGCTAAAATGGCTGGTCATTGTCACCATCCTACTTCCTCCCTCCTCAAAATCCTGCCATCGCCACCATCCCCCTAAAACTCCCTTCCCAGGGTAACTGTTGGCCTTCTAAGATCCACCTATTTTTCTTAGCATCTTTCCAGCATCAGCCCCTGTTTGCAACTGCACTGAATCCCTGATCCCTTTGGCTTCTGTAATCCGTGATGTTGCCCTTCCAGACCACTGCCAGGCAAGCACTCCTTGCATCTCTCCTGGGCTCAGTCCTCTTCCTGCCCCACTCATATGGCATGGTGTTCCCAGGCCACCCCTCCAGCCCCTCTAGACTGAGGGTACTTGTGTTTAACACCCGCTTGGAATTCTTCTTGATGACTCAGACCCATGTAGGCAACTACCTCCTGGATTTCACAGAGATCCCTGAAATTCAACATTCAAGAACAAACTCAGTCATTTCCTACCCCATCTCATGCAGCTGAAATAACTATAAACCTAGTTGCCACCGCAGGAAACTTTCTCCTGAACTTCTCCCTCCATCCCTGATATCCTACAGGACCACACATTCTGAGGCTTGGAGATTTCCTGCTGAGTGGAGGTGACTGGAGAGAGGAAAAGTCTATCAGGGCAATCCTGAGGTCAAGGTGCCCTTGGAGAAGCAATGTTTTGGAGGGAACTCTGTATTGGAGTGGAGGTTCCGCAATGCACAAGGAACATAAAAGGGTGTGAGGGGAGGGGTTGTTTAGGTCACAGGAAGGACATGAAAGCTGTGGGTCCAAGAAGACTTGCCCTTTAAGTGGTGGTGGTGATGAGTTGGGCCAAGGGCAGACTGGGATGTGGAGAAGGATGTAGATGGGATAAAATGAAGTCCAGGGTCAAAGTGGAATGTGGGTGCAAGGTGTCTGTAGTGCTGCCACGGTGGTATTGCTCCTCCCCCAACAATTCCCAACCCCTGGTTTCCTGCCAAAGTCTAAATCTCAGTGGGTGAGCTAGTAGGGGGATGAGAAAATGACACTTGTCAAGGGATGCAATCCCATAATAGCACAGCAACCACCAGAGCTTAAAGAAGGGCCCTTTGGGACAGAGCGAAGACAGAAGGCAGTCGCAGGGGAGGAATGACAGGAACAGGATAGAGTTTCTTGATCTATAGCAGTTAATATCTGTTGAAGAAGGTCTTCCTTTATGACTGCATTGATCAAATGATGATGAGATAATGGCTACTGTGATAAAAAATCAAAGGAGAAGACTTCTTTATGTAGCACTTGCTTAGGCTCAGTGTAGCTTTAAGCTCTAATAACTTCAGAGAGATAAATGCCATAAATAAACAAAAACAGTATTTGAAATTATATTTCTTTTTTTTTTAACATTGATTTGGTTCTGTGAATTTTAAAAAACAAGTCTTTAAATTTTTTTCAGCCCCTCTGACTGAGCATAGCAAATATTGACTGAAACAAAAAGAACTCTTTTTTATTTTTTGAGGTGGATTTTCGCTCTTGTCACTCAGGCTGAAGTTCAATGGCACGAACTTGGCTCACTGCAACTTCTGCCTCCCGGGCTCAAGCTATTCTCCTGTCTCAGTCTCCCAAGTAGTTGGCATTACAGGCACGTGCCACCACACCCGGCAATTTGTGTGTGTGTGTGTGTGTGTTTTTAATAGAGATGGGGTTTCACCATGTCGGTCAGGCTGGTCTCAAACTCCTGACCTCAGGTGACCCACCCACCTCAGCCTCCCAAAGTGCTGGGATTACAGGCGTGGGCCTCTGTGCCCAGCGTGAAACAAAAATTAAAATGAAAGATTTATAAATGCACAAAACGAAAGATTTTTAGAAAAGGGTAATACTTCAACTTTCAAATGATGTGTTTTTGTTAAGTGTATAGCATGGGTGCTTCTGAAATTATTAAAAATCAAAATTACACTCAAGCTTTGGGAAGACTTTTTATTTAAAAAAAAATCATAATATTCAATCTTCATAGTAGCTCCCTAAAGGTAGGTATTACTATAACCCTCTTTTACAGACAAAAATCCAGAGTTTGAGTGAGGTTAGGAGACCTGCCAAAGTTGCTTAGGGAGGGATTCTGGAGCTGAGTTACCGCCTCTTGTGACCAAAATGTAATGTAGCCTAACGAGAGATTTGGGAATGATGCCTCCAGCTCATGGGCTGGCCAAGTAGTTGCCTTATAAAATAGTGAGGAGTCTTCCTGACAGAACACGTGTGGACAGAATGCAAACTAGAGGAAAGTAGCAAGTTGGCCTGGGGGAAGATTATCTCACAGAGGACCCCTCCAGGGTGCAGCCAGAGACAGTGGTGGGCCAGGATGGGAGGGGACTGAGCTGGGTTGTTTATCTTTGTCCATATGGGCTGCTGGTGATGTTTACATAGACTGCATGGAGCTCTTTGGGTCAGCTTTAACTGGGGGTATGCAGACTAGATGGGGAAGAACGAAGGGAGGGTACAAAGAAACCCGAAGGGAGATCTGGGCATTGCAGGAGCACAAATGGATGAGAAATGTGAGACCGGGTGAGATGCAAGCTATGCGTAGCTGCTCAAATATTAATCAACAATATATTTTAATGACATCAAACACCAGTGAGCATTTGAAGAAACATGAAGGGCTTTGGATACTTGAATAATGGCATTGTCACTTTGAGATTTTATGGTCTCATCTTTGGCAAGAGCTACAGCAAAACCCTAAGCAAATAGTCAGGGTGCTGGGCGTGAGCTTTGGAATGTGAGTCAGCAGCGGCTCAACAGGTCCCTCATAATAACAAAGCATCTGCCTCTCCCAAAGTCACCTGGTTTCTTAGGATCATAGCACATCTGCAAAGCCCACAGCTAAATGGCCTCTTCTGTCGGTACAGGGTCAGGCCTGGGCTCAGAGAGCCCCATGGAGCTCTGCTCATACATTAGCTGCTGTGTGACCTTGGGCTCAGGACAGAACCACTGGAACTCAGTTTTGAAATCTGTAAAGTGGGATGGCTCTAGGTTCATGGTAAATGTCAAGGAGGTACGAGTGATAGAGCCCACACAGGCCCAGGCACCTGGTGAGCTGGGGTAAAGCAGCTCTAGAACATTATTACCGTGCCCAGCTATTGCTCATCTTGGCCACCTGCGGCTGCGGCTCAAGAAGAACAGCGAGGCATCCAGCCACACAGTTCACCGTAGGTGGGCTGGCCTGTAGCCCAGGTCTCAGAGAGTCAGACCAGTTGTTTTTCCCTCAGCTGTAAGCAGAATTCTCCCAGAAGGACCAGCCAGCCCTGGGTTGAGCAGAGGAGACTTGGCTTATTCCTTGTACGATCTGGGAGGATTACTCCTCATCCTAGGAAGATAAAAAAGGCATGAAATGCCTTTACTAGACTATTTACTAGACTCAGGGTATAGTAAAGCTGTTAACATCGAGATGAACAGAAACAAGAGTTAGGCGGCTGCCTTCTAAAGCTGACCCAAGACAGCAAGCGTGGCCACAGGTAATTAAAAGAAAGAAATACATCGCCCTTTACACACCCACAGTGTTCAGAGGGCTTTTATCAGCAATGCTTTTGTCCTCCAAGAAGAGGCCCTAAGGAGAGGCTAAGAACTGTAAGTAAGTTCATCACACAGAGTCACTAGGCCCCTCAGTGGCCACTGTGAGATAAGCAAGCCAAGACTTGCTGTGCCTAACTCCCAGGGCCTCATCTGTGCTCTACAGAGCTACCTCTATGGCGATTATCAGGTCAGAGAGACACAAAGACCCCAGCCCAGGGCACCTGAAGGCCATTTCCAGTCTAACCTTCCTGATAGGAGAAAGTCAGTGAGCAGCACACCTGGGAGGAAAGGAATGGCAGGTCAGGGAGGCTCGTGGCTTCTGGCCTCCATTTCCACATCAGAAAGCCTGAGGTAGCAATGATCGCTGCCTAATAGGCAGGGCCGACATGGACAGTTGCTCAAGCAGTGCACTGCACCTGTCCTCCTGGAGGTGCCACATGTGCCAGGCACCCCTGGAGCTGAACAGTGTTTGACCTGTCAAACAGTGGTTCGACCAATCTCAGTAAGAATCTCATGAGATTTTGTTAAACCACTTTGGAAAAAGTCAAAAACTATGCAACGATTAGCCATCATCACAATAGTTACCAAAAAAAAAGTTTTACAATTACCCTCTCTACACTGACCATCTCTTTGTGGGGCCTTAACCTCTGTAGCACTTTCTCTACTGTCCAACTGGCAATAGCAACAAGAAAAAACACACACGATATTTAAACACAAATATTAATCACTGCCCCCCAAGACTCTTCTGTTATAATTCAGTATTTCTCAAATTTCCATGTATATGTGAATCATCTGAATTTTTTTTAATGGGATTCTGATGAAGAGAGGTAGATTTAGGAAGTAAAAGAGGGGTGCTGAGATGCTGCATTTCTGACAGGTGCCATGGGCCTTGCTATGGTGAGGCTGTTGCTGCTGCTCTGTGGACCACACTTGGAGAAGAA
Organism: Homo sapiens; assembly: GCF_000001405.40. Lineage (NCBI taxonomy): Eukaryota > Metazoa > Chordata > Mammalia > Primates > Hominidae > Homo > Homo sapiens. Next base: position 65,668,072 of record NC_000016.10, read on the forward strand.
AGCCTGTGACTCCCGCAGCACCTAATGTTAGCATAAGGGATGTTTGTTTTTCCTTGGTTTTTTGAGGACCAGTAGAAATGAAGGGCCAACAAACTAAAGCCTGCAGCCCAAATCCAGCCTGCTGCCTCACTTAGTAAATAAAATTTTATCAGAACACAGCCACACCTACTATTTACATATTGTCTCTGGCTGTTTTGTTGCTGTCATAACGGGGTCGAGTGGTTGTGACAGAGACTGTGTTGCCTACAAAGCTGGAGATATTTACTACCTAGTCCTTTAAGAAGAGGCTAGATGACCAAGCAGTTAAGGTGAGACCAACTTGTATTGAGTGGGGGTAGGAGTCAGAGGGAGAGAGACAGGAAAGAGAAACACATTGAATCTGAAATCAAACACACTTCATCAAACACACTTCATCACATGGTGCTTTCAACCTCAACACCCTGCCAACTGACTTTCAGCTTGGCTATCAGGGAGGCTTCATTTCTGAGGAGAGTTCATTGGTTTATTTGTTTGTTTTAATTTGTATAGATTTAGAGGGTAAAACTGCAGTTTCTTACATGGATATATTGAATAGTGTGAGGTCTGGGCTTTTAGTGTAGCAATCACCCAAATAGTGTACATTGTATCTATTAAGTAATTTCTCATCCCTTATTCCCATCCCACCCTTCTGAGTCTCCAATGTGCATTATTCCACAATGTATGTTCCTGTGTACACATTGTTTAAAGTGAAAACATGTAGTATTTGATTTCCTAAGTTATTTCACTTAAGACAGTGGTCTCCAGGTCCATCTCTGTTATTGCAAAATACATGATTTTATTCTTTTATGGCTGAATAGTGTTTCATTTTGTGTGTGTGTGTGTGTGTACCACATTTTCTTTATCCAATCATCTGTTGATGGACACTTAGACTGATTTCACATCTTTGCTATTGTGAATAGTGCTGTGATAAACATGAGTGCAAGTATCTTTTTAATATAATGATTTCTTTTCCTTTGGGTAGACACCCAGTAGTGGAGTTGCTGAATCAAACGATAGTTCTATGTTTAGCTCTTTGAGAAATCTCGATACCGTTTTCCATAGAGTTTTACTAATTGTGCTAATTTACATTTCCACCAACAATGTATAAGCGTTTCCTTTTCTCTGCATCTTCACCAACATTTGTTATTCTTTGACTTCTTAATACTAGCCATTCTGACTGATTTAAGATGGTATCTCACTGTGTTTTAATTTGCTTTTCCCTGATTATTAGTGATATCGAGCATTTTTTCATATGCTTGTTGGTGACTTGTATGTCTTCTTTTGAATAAAGGTCTGTTCCTGTCTTTTGCCCACTTTTTAATGAGGTTATTTGTGTTTTGTTGTTGAGTTGTTTAAGTTCCTTGTAGATTCTGGAGAGCTTATTTTTGTTAGTCATCTTTGCAGAGAGATGGTAGATTAGACCTCCTTAGGTTTCTCTGTTGGCAGAAAAAACAGATATATTCCAGAAAGCCATGTAGAGTCCATCTTGGCCTCCAATATAGAGATGTGTCATAATTGGCAGAAGCCAGCATCTTCGCAGGTAACATGATAGGATTCAGATTATTCAGTCCAAGATGTTCTGAGAAATGCAGCTGGCCCAAGCTGAGTCCAGACATGTGGCCAAGAAGTCCCTCAGAGATCCAGTTCATTCTGACACCTGGCTACCAAGTGAAGGATCCAATGTTAAGAAGTTGGCCATCAATAACTACAAAAACCACTTGTGGTTATTTCAGTATTCCTAAAATACGTGGGTTTTTTTGTTTGTTGGTTTTTTTTTTGACCCTGTAGGCTCCCAGAGCCAGGCTATAAGTTAAAGGTCATCCACTCTGCTCCCACCATGCTCCCAACTATCAACAACAGTTGCCTCAACCATGGTTTTGACCGGGTGATTTCAGCCTCCACTTGAATACTCCTCATAATAAGGAGCTCACTACCTGTCTTAATCTGTTTGTGTGGCTATAAAAGAATACTTGAGACTGGATCATTTACGAAGAAAAGAGGTTTATTTAGCGTATAGTTCTGCAGGCTGACAAGATCGAGGGCGTGGCCATGGCTCCTGGCTTTCGTGCTGCATCACAACATGGTGGAGAGGGTCAAAAGGGAACAAACCCATGCACAAAGGGGAGAAATCTGAGGGGCATCCTTGTTGTATAACCCACTGTCGTGGGAGCTAGTCCATTCCCAGAGAACTAATCCAGTCTCATCAGCATGAACTCAATACCATGAGAACAGCACTCAGCCCTTCAGGAGGAATCCACACCCCATGATCAAAACACCTCCCACCAGGCCCCACCTTCCAACACCACCACACTAGGGATCACATTTCTACATGAGTTTTGGTGGCGACAAACAAACCATATCTGAGCCATAGCATTCCTGCACACACAAATGCTTGTGTGACTCCATTTGCAACAAAGTTCCTCTTTGAACTGAGTTCAAACCCGCTTCCATGCAGTGTCCATCCACTGGTCCAAGTGCCACGTTACAGAGTCAAAGAAAATGAGTCTAACCCTTGTCATCCCCCACAGAACTTCAAATCTCTTTTCTGGGGTGACTTTGGATAGGTTGCTGTATCTCTTGGGGCCCCTGTTTCCTCACATCTAAACTGGGGGGGTCCCAACTGGACACACAGAATGTTTGTGGGGGTCAAAGAGGTAGGGGTGGCCAAACTTTCATCCCCAGTATCTCACATAATGCTCATGCCAGCTCTGTGAAGTGGAAATTGGTTATTCTCATTTTTAAAATAAGGAAACTGAAGTTCCGAAGGGGAAGCGGCTCAGCTGGTGAGGGCAGGGGAAGGCTTCAAATCCACGCACATCTAAAGCAACCTCAGTGCTCTGTGGAACTCATCATTTGCCTCTTAGGAAAGTAGGGGACCAGTTTTGGGACAAAGGAACCCTCGGGTTATTCAGATTCAGATTCTGGACCTGGAAATTCCAAAATGAGCCCTTGAAAGCTGGAAATAAATCAGGTCAATCCCAAACTCCCTTTGTTTAGAAAAATGAAATGTTTTTATCAACTTCTTCAACAGGAAATCTGATTTCCATCCTTGTTGCCACTTTATCATTTCCTCCCAGCTGTTATCGAGATCACAGCTTCAAAGATGGTTAAATGTTTGTCACATTTAATATTCTTGTTCCCATTTTTCACATACGGGAAGCTGGCTGGTGCTCATTGGAAGTGCTGGGCTGAAAACGCAGCTGCTTGTGCAACTGTGTGTGCAGGGGCGGAAGTCCAGAGAGCTGCCCAGTTGTCTGCCTTGGTGACAGTGGCATCAGATGGGGTCTTTGAGCCCTTGGGGACAGGACCAGGACATACAAGAGCTGAGGCTGGATACCAGGAGACAGGGGGCCACAGAGCCCTCCTGTGCATGCATCTCCCTAGTGTTCCATCGGCCCAGCTCTTGCCACCCACCACCCTTCTTTGTGAAGGCATCAGCATCTCTCACCTGAGTATATCAAGCTCTTCCTTCAAACCAGTGTCTGTGGCTCCAAGCAGACCTTCTACAAACCTTTTCCCACCTTCTCCACACAGCCACTAGAGTGATTTTTCAAAACCCCAAATCTGATCATGTTACATCCATGCTCAAATACCTTCAGTATGTCCCCACTGTCCTCTCAGGATAAATTTCAGACTCAATAACATATCTCAATAAGGTCTGGTCTGCTTGACTTCTGCCTCTTCTGAAGCCTTGCCCATTACCATGGCACCTGCTGTCTAAGCTCCAGCCTCTGAGGCCTCACTTCTGCTCCTCTGCCTGAAACCCTCTTTCCAACTCTCCAAAATGGCAGATTAGAGATGGTCACAAATTCATTGACATTTCTCCATCAATAAGTGGGAATATGTGTCCCCTCCCCTTGACTCTGGACAGGCTCTGTGACCAGTGGGGTCCAGGGGACATAACACTGTGGTGGTTTGTGGCCCTTGGGCCTTAAGAGACTGGTAGCTACCATCTTCTCTTTCTCTCTCTCTCTCTGTCTCTGCCTGGAGCTGCCATGTAAGAAGCCTGACTGCTTTGCTAAAGAGATAAGAGGGGATGTGAAGAGAGTCCCTGAGACTACTTAGAAAAAGGGGGCCCACTGAGCCCAGCCTCTCAACAGTCCCCACCAAGGCAATATGACCAAATGACCACAATTGACAATTGACACCCATAGACCAGAAGAATCACCAAGCTGAACCCAATCCAAACTCCTAGCCCAAAGAATTGTAAGAAATAACAAAATCATTGTTGTTTTAAACTTCTAAGTTTTGGCAACTAGTTATGTAGTAACAGACCACCTGACCCCTTTTTCTCCCTAATTTTGGGTAACTAACTCCTATGCATCTTTTGGCTGAGATGTCATTTCCTTTGGAAAGCCTTTTCTGATGGCACAAGGCCATTCTTGTTGCCCATAGAAATCTATTCCTCTCCCATCTCAATGTGCCTGGTTGCTAGCTTTTCTCTCCCACTATCTTTGGAAGTCCCCAGAGGGCAGAGTACCATGCTGGTCTGCCTAGCATTGTGTCTTCATCAGGGAGCACAGTCATTGCTAAATAAACATTTCCCAAGTGAGTGACCAAATGAACAGATAGATGAAATCACCTGGGACAACTAAAAGGGATTCTAATTAATGGTAAGAGTTAAGCCAAGGACAGGAAACAAGTTTCTAAAATAGTCCCACCAAATAACTCTCTGTGGTCATTGTGAAGGAAGATGCATACATTATATCCAGCTTGAGGAGGTTGGGTTTATAGATATTCCAACAAAAACTATGCAGCCATTAAACATCAATCAATATCTCAATATGTGAAAATCAATTATGGGATAAGGCAATTGCCAACAAAGCTTAATTTATTTGTTCATTCTTTATTTCATGCATTTATTTTCTCAAGAAGCATTTGTCAAGTGTCTCCTACATGCCAGATACTTTGTCAGTTGCTGGAGATATAAAGCCAAAAGACACAAGGTCGCAGGGTCCATGATAGGCAGATGGGGAGCACCAGAACAGACTCGGTGTCAATCAGGGAAAGCTGTCACCAGCAGGTGACATGAGATAAGTTTTCAAGAAAGATAAGCATTGCAGAGAGGAGTTGGGTAGGAGGAAGTTGCTGCCAAGACCTGCATCGTTTGCCCCTGAGTCACCAAGGATCACAATGCTCATGGCTGATAATTATGAAATTAAAAGCAGCAGGGGATTGGGGATTTTAGGAAAAGGAGGTATCCTCAGTGGTGGTACAGGAGCAGATGCTGCTTAGAGAAGAGAAAGCAAACAGAGGCAAAGCCCTCCTGGGCCCAGTGCCTGCAGTGTGGTGGAAGACTGAGATCTGTTAAAGAGGGGGAAAAGAAAACTTTAAAAGCTGGAGGCAAGACTCAGAGTGAAGGCTTAATTGAGGAAGCAGGCATTTTGGGTTCACACAAATAAGCAAATAGAATCCCCTTGGCCCCTCCTGGTCATCTGTGAGTTTTGACAGGGTTCATGCAAAGACAATGATGAGTACATCATAACACCGCATGGCCAACAGTAATTATAAGACAACATCAATTATACAGCTCAGCCTAATTTTGAGATATTAATGAATGAAAAACTGTGCATCTTGAAATTGATGAATGGTAGTACTTTATGGAATTGTTCTTAGAATGAAAGCATGACTTTCTTGAAAAGCCTCTAGGGTAGTACCTTGCATATGGTGGAAACTAGAATTACGGTTTTTCTTTTCTTTTTCTTTTCTCCCAGCCTGTAAATGTTATCTCTGATAGTAAGTCTCCTGACTACAATGAGTAGCTGATGGATGGGAAGGGGGGTTCCAATACACAGAATGAGCATCTAATGGGGAATGGGAAAAAACTAGAGGTCATATGAAGCCCTGTGTTTCTCAGTATACATCTACAGTGACCACATAACTTATTATCCAAACCAGGACAATTTTGAAAGTAAAAGAAGTTGCTTTTAATAATTTAACTGGAACCAGGGACATAAACTGGGGCCAACCCAGATGAGCCATATATAAAAACCTACAAAAGTCCATCTTCCATCTGGCAAGTACAACTGAAATCAGATGCAAATTTCTCTATGCTTAGACTTGGAGTGTCTTCGTCCAAAACCTGGAAGGCCATGAGACAAATGATGGGCACGCAGGTACTCTTGGCTCCCATCCCAAGAAGGCTTAACAAACACTATATTCCAAAATTGGTTAAAGTTCGATGCCACCGTGTTGTGGGAGATGTTCCCCTTCCTCAGCTGTTATTTATGGTGCAGAGAAAAGGAACCACATTGATGATGGATCTGCTTTTATCAGATAAAAATGGGAGGAACAATGAAAGATCATGGTGAGATATTGTGCAGGATTTCAGTAGGACACTTTAAAAATATATATTAGAGAAAATGAATTTTTCACTGGCTAAAACGTATCCATTTACAGTCGGAGCATCCATATATTTATGAGTGTTTTAGCCCTCAAAATAGTAACCCAGGACAGAATAACAAACAGTCTCTTAATAGCCCTAATTTATCAGGCTCAGCAGTTTAAGAAAAATAAATAAAAAGAAACAGGAATGCAAGTGGGGGGGGGCCGAAATGAAAGCTGGAACCTGAAATACTGGAAATGGTACTGCCCAAAAGGTTATTCCAAGTCTGTCTTAAGAGAATGCATCCTTAGCCCAGAGAAAGCCTTTCGAAAGTGGCTTTAAAAGCATCTGAGGTTGGACCCTGAGTGGGTGAGGAAAGGTAAGGATAAACAAACCAGCCTGGCCAGGCACGGTGGCTCACGCCTATAATGCCAGCACTTTGGGAGGCTGAGGCGGGCAGATCACCTAACATCAGGAGTTCAAGACCAGCCTGGCCAACATGGTAAAACCCCATCTCTACTAAAAATACAAAATTGCTGAGTGTGGTGGTGCGTGCCTGTAATCTCAGCTACTTGGGCGGATGAGGCAAGAGAATCGCTGGAACCCAGGAGGCGGAGGTTGCAGTGAGCTGAGATCGTGCCATTGCGCTCCAGCCTGGGCAACAAGAGCAAAACTCCATCTCAAAAAAATCAAAAAACAAAAAAAAGAAAGCAGCTTGACCCTTGTGAAGGTTTGTTTTATTTGGTTAAACGTTATTCTGGGTGTTTCTGGATGAGATTAACATTTGAATTGGTAGACTGAGTAGAGCAGTTTATCCTCTGTAATGGGGGTGGGCTGGAATGGAACAAAAAGCTGAGTAAGGGAGAAGTCACTCTCTCTGCCTGAATGTCTTCAAGCTGGGACATTTGTCTCCTCCTGCCTTTAGACTTGGACTCAAACTGGAACTCTTCCATCAGCTCTCTTGGGTTTCTAGCTTGCTGACTGTAGATCTTAGGTTTCTCAGTCTACATAGTCACATGAGCCAAATTCCTTATAATAAATCTATATTTAGGAGATCTCTCTCTCTCTCTCTCTCTTTGTAATATCTATCTTTTTGAGAAAGAGAGAGAAAGATCTCCTATTGGCTCTGTCTCTCTAGAGAACCCAGACTAATACATATTTTAGTACTAGGAGTAGTTCTAGAGGAAGAGAATTTTAAGCATGTGAGTTTTCTGAATTGGATCTGGGGTTTCTAGAATTGGTTCTCTAATCTAATTAAATTTCAAGATGCTAAGAGCTCTATTTCCAGTAGTAAAGAGAGCATAAATAGTCCATGGCATGATCTGGCAATAGAGGTACCCAAAATATTTCACTAGTGCAACCCTGTAACACCATCGCCCTTTTATGAATGAAGGCCTTTGCTTTCACTTCTTCACCTTCATTTCTTTCAATTTGAGGACTCCAAATCCCAGTCTCCTAATTGTTTTCTTCATTCTCCTGTCTCTTTCCTTGTCTGATGTCTTCTGTGACCTGCAACTGATTTATTTCAGCAGAACTGGTCTGATCATTGCCTTTCTCTGGGACACAAAGATGCCACACAGTAGAAAGAACACAGAAGTTGGAGATAGATGGACATGGGTTGAAATCTCACTTCCGACACTTTTTGCTGTGTGACCCATGGCAAGTTATTGGACCTCTCTGAGTCTTGGTTTACCTTTCCAAGAAATTGGGTTGTTTACAAGGCCACCAACCCCATCCTCATATAACTTTCACTCATTATTAGAAATTTCTTTTTAACAATGGGCTGAAGTCTTCCTTCCTATAAGCTCCACCATCAACTAAAAATATCACTCATGGTGTTTTCAACTCATGATTTCAGCCTAGCAAAAAACATTATTTGCAATGTAAGTATTAGTTTCCTTAATACATAAATGCTTCTAAGAAATGAATATCAAAAACATAGCCCAATTAAAATGACAATAATAATAATATTAGTCAAATGTCATGATCAAGAAATGGACAAAAGTAGAAACAAAAATGACCAACCAAAAATGAATATTTACAAAAAGATGATAACCTAAAGGGATAATTAAAGAAATTGAAATTAAAACAATGCATGTGAAATTTTAAAAGGTCAAAACATAGTTGTTCATGGGGATGGGGAGACTTTGAAATTAGTAAAACTTTTCTAGATGGCAGTTTAGAATATCTATCTTAAATATATAGAAACATTTTCACTCTGAAATTTCACTCAAGAAACTTTTATCTCAAGGATGATATTTTAAAGTGCACAAAGATTTCTGTATAACGATGTTTATCATGTTATTTAAATTTCAGAAAATGTTAAAGCATTCCAAATACCCAACAACAAAAGATGGATGATGTAAAGAAAGATAAAATGTAATTCTTTGCAGACATTTAATATTATGCTTTGAAGAAAATGTAGTAACAGGCAAATGTGCATAAAACAATTACTAGAAGCAAATACACAGTAGTTATCTCAGGATGGTGGGATTACAGGTCATTACAGAAATATTTGAATATTTCCATATTTTGAAATTTTCATTTTCAAGGATGAAAGGAGGGAAGAACAGAAGTTGGAAGGAGAAAGGGAGAGTAGACTCTGGCAAAGCAAAGTTTTGTTTCCACCATGCTTCTCTGGTGAATGCCAACTCAAATATTAGAAATAGTCACAAAAAAGGGGCAGAATTGGATGACTGGCTCACTCACTGGCTTGCTGTGTAAGTTTCTGCTCTATCCTTAACCTCCCTGCACCTCGGTTTCCTTCCTTGTCAGATAAGGATAAAAATTGCCAGCCGGGCATGTGAATTGGGTTGCCGAGATGATCAGAAGGGATACCATGCATGAAAGTGCTCATAAAACTGCAAAGTGCTCTACAAGTCCTGGATGGTGTAATTATTGCCTTCGTTAGTGTGATCATTCTCTCTTACTCTATTATCCTTGGCTGGAGAGCTGCTCGTCAGACTATGAAGTGTACTCGGTATTTCTACATACACAAAGTGAAGTGCATGCGGCTTCCCAGACCTATTTGAACAGATCTGGCATCAAGAGAGAGCCAAACAGACAACGAAGACCTCTGTGGCCAAGTGGCAGGAGCACATGTGGTTCTGAGAGAACCAACTTGACACTGGATGACCTAGGCCAGAGTCCAACTTGCCCATGGTGCACTCAGACACCTCACTCTACCCCGCTGAGTCCCATGCATTCATCTGTCACATAGAGAGAGTGATGCCAGTCTTGATTCTATCACATGATTATTTGGGAGGATACATCCACAGCATGTGTGTGAGTACTAACAACCACCAACCCATACAAATAGACCCAGCATTGAGACCGTTATGTCATCTCAACCACAGTCCAGAAAATGCAGACATACAGAATGTAGTTCTTGAAGTTACTAAGCAATATGGAGCAGATAGGCTCTATGGACAAAGCTTTTCAGAATCACTGGATTTTAGATCATAAAATTATTATTATTCTATAGTATTAATATGCCTGTAAGACTTCTCAAAAGTTTTAATATTCTCTTGTATATATGAATTTCCAAGAACTGTTTACATTTCCCAAACACCTTTGGACCATGGAACCCTCTTTTAATGAAGCATCCAGCTCATGATCCTTGGCACAAACCTGGTAAATGTTGACATGAGACAAAATTTACTACAAAGCCAGGGCAGCTGAGTCTCAGCCTTGTTTCTCTGCTGCCTGGCACTCCGGGGCCCTTTCATTCTAAATGAGATATAGCACCTTATTCCCTTGAAAGCAACTATTACTCTTACCCATTTATGCACATTAATGCCAACATGCCTTAGCCTCTCACCTATCACCTTCACATTAATGATTTGATTTGAATTAATTCATCCATCTCTCTTTCCATTCATCCATGCATCAATCTATTCATCCATACATTTATTGCCATTTAACAGACTGAAAAACTGAGGATCAGGAATATAAGGTATTTTGTCTCAGGTTAAGTAGAGCTTAGATTCCAACCTAGATAGATCTGGTTCCAAAGTCTACTGTCTCTTCATTGTATCACAACCCTCCACTTCCCCGCCACTACCACTAGGCCCCATAGCAGAGAGAGTCAGGAAATCAAAGAAGAAGGAGAGGAGAAGAAAGCCACATCAAGACAATGATATCCAAGAGCGTCTGAGTCCCAGAGTAGTAGAGAGAAATCTGGCAAGTGGAGGGAAGCTAACAGTCCCCTTAACACTGAAGGTGAGAGCTGACCTTGGGAAATGATGCTCGTCACTCTACCATACCAGAATGATCATTAGACATTGACCTTTGGAGCCAACAAGATTTAAGTTTAGATCTGAGATCGAAAATGTACTAGCCACATACCATCACTGAGCCTGGTTTTCTTCTCAATAAATTCTGATAATACCAGAAGGCTTTGAGCGTTCGATGAACTAATAATGTGTCCTTTATAGGCCTTAGTGAAGCTCCTGGCCAAATGTTCAGTAAACGGTACCTTGTTTGATGCATTCTATCCCCAAGCTGATGTTGTCTGGAGAAATACCCATTCCCACTCATTGAGTCACCATGAATGGGGGGCTCACCATGGCCAAGGGTGCTTTCTGGAAAAATAAAAAGGAGGAGGAGATCAGAGTCTATTTGATCTCGTTTACGTTTCTACTTCTCTTAGCAGAACTTGGTGCAGTAGGAGACTTTTTTAAGCACTCTGCAAAATCAGCTGAAATTTCCAAGGCTCGCCCATGTCTGAAGAAGACTGTAAAGACTGTGAATTTCTTCAGACTTGGTTGTTCTTTCCACAGAGATGAGTTTGTGGAAAGAAAAACCAAGTCTGAACAAATTTTACCATGACTAATGATACCAGTAACAACAATGGTAGCAGCAACCACTGCTTTGACCAAAACCACGTTATATGCTTCCTAATGTTATATTTTCTCAAATCTGCTTTTTATTTGTTACTGATACCAGATCAGCAGCCTTTCTGAGGCAGCCCTGGAAGATCCTGCACATGTTTCCCTTTTGTCTCTTTGTCCTTTAAAAAAAAGAAGAAAGTGTTCCTTGTCATAGCTTGTCCTGCACTGCAAAGGGCACTGTACATAAAGACTGTGTTTTAGTTGAGGACACGGGGAGCAGAAAAGCTTGACTAATTATGTTACTAATCACTTGAAGCATCTTCCATGTGACAATGTAATTATGTCAGAGTAAGGTGAAATGTCTCAACTACTTAGGAAAAATAAAGGAGAAGCCCCCTCCTCACCACTGCTCCCCCTTTCTGTTATCCTGGCCTCATTTTGAAACTTTCTTTCAACTCAGAGGTCATTTACAAAAAATGAGGCCACAGCTCTCTCTCTCTCTCTTAAGCCATGAAGGGCCATCTAATAACTGTTAGATTCCTCCGCCCACCCCCAATGGCAGGATTTTGGTGAATAAATGAAGTTTGCTCAAAAGAAATAGACCTTTCAAGTGTTTACCTGCTCACTCTATTGTCCTTGGTTAAGGTTCAGTTCTCAGAGGGGTGTGACCTCCAGCAGGATCTTTAAGGATGTCACAGAAGGCTCAGACATGTGAAAGCAAATAATAGTTCTTTCTTGTGGTCAGAGCCTGAACACACCAGATTTGGAGTAGACATCCGTTCTGAGATGCCTGAGATTAATCAGCCTGGTAGATGGAAGACTAACACGAAAGCAAGGAAGTCGACAGACATTTATAGAAAGATGTGCAGAAAGATGAGCCAGGTTAATAGAATCTTCACTCCAAGCGACTTGCACAGCTGATGGTGAAACAGCCCTCACTCTCTTTCCCTTGACCTCTTGGAACCACAGTTTCCTAAATGGTAAAACAACCGGTCAGATGAACATCTTGATAGAGTGGATGGTCTAGAGACCAGCCACATCGGCATCACCTGGAAGCTTATTAAAACCGCAGAATCTCAGGTCCCTCCCAGACCTACTGCATTTTAGAAAGATCCCCCCAAGGCAATTCATGTACACATTAAAGTTTGAGAAGCCCAGAAACAGCCTATATTCCTGACATACTTTCTTTGTTCCTTTCTCTAAAGACAGTTTCAAATTAACAGGGACCACTGGTAGCCTCATATTCTGCTCCAAAATACTCACCAACATCCTTCTCATCTTAACTATCACCCAAGAAACCACATTCTAGCCAGGTGCAGTGGCTCATGCCTATAATCCCAGCACTTTGGGAGGCCAAGGAGGGAAGATCGTTTGAGCTCAGCAGTTCAAAACCAGCCTAGGCAACACAGTGAGACCCTGTCTCTACTAAAATTAAAAAAAAAAAGAAAAAGAAAAAGAAAAAAGAAAATTAGCTAGGCATAGTGGTGCAGGCCTATAGTCCCAGATACTTGGGGGGCTGAGTGGGGAGGAGGATCCCTTGAGCCTGGGAGGTAGAGGCTGCCATGGGTAGAGATTGCACCTCTGCACTCCAGCCTGGGAAACAGAGTGAGACCCTGTCTGAAAAAAAAAAAAGAGAGAGAGAAAGAAAAAAGAAACCACATTCCCCCAGGCCCTTGCTTCCATCCATTTCTAGAAAGACTCTGACAGACCAAGTTTCCAGCAGGTGTGGCAAATGCATGTCATCTTGGATTGACTGGCTCTGCCTACCCAGAGTGCTGTTTGGATAAAGGATCATTAGGCAGCATCAAGATCCAGCAGGAAAGAGTTCTGTGATCAATTAGTGATGTCTGCTATAGGTGCAGGCTGGGAATCTCAGATGTGTTCAATTATATCTTGCTGAATTAACATTTTAAAAACAGGACTTGGAGGCAGAGCAGTGATGAGGAAAACCCTGAGAATCAACCAACCAGGGCTCGTAGACTCCATTCTCGATTTCAGACCTTACTTTCTTCATCTTTAAAATAAACGTGTTGAACATGGACCACAAAAAGCCCTTCCTGCCCTAAGGTTCTCTGATCCCATGGGTCTGTGATCACATGTGTATATGTCACATCCCACATGTACATGTTCCCAGGACAGCAGATTTTGTTCCTATGTCACAACAATCCTAGCTTCCCTTAAATCAGAGCACTCCTCTTAAATAATAATCTGGTGGTGTTTGTGGGGTAGGGAGGAGAAGAGGGGAGGTTAAGAGATATGGGAGGAGAAGCTGCCAAGCATGCTGACCTGAAGCAGGGCCCCAGCCCTCTACCTCTGCCAGGCATCTGTTTCCAATGAAACTAAGGAAATTCCTGACCCACTCCCGCATGCTCTCGTTGCTGCCCTGCTCTCGCCTCTACATTGGCCTCTCCCCTCTGTAGGCTCTGAGCCAAGTCCAAAATCCCCATGGGCTCTCAGGGGCCAGGAAACAGGACAAAACCTAGAGCCGTGACTCCTCTGGTGGTGGCTAGCTGCCAGCTTTGATTATCTGAGGTTGTCTAAGGGTACCTAAGAGGAAACTTTGCCCTTGAAGTGTGTCTGAAGTCTACCAGAGGTGATCCAGGACTCTAAACATGGCTGTGTGCTGAGAAGAGAATTCCGAACTGAACCAGATCTCAGTGATGTGGCTTTTCTGGAGAAATCCACCCACCTGTATCAAAAATGTATGTTACTGCCCAATACTGCAAAACAGAAGGTGGAAATTCACCTAGAAATTCATAAGTGAAAGGCTGTGGGTCTCAACTGGGGGTAATTTTGCTCCTCTGGGGACATTTGGCAATGTCAGGGGATGGTTTGGGTTGTCACAAGTAGAGAGGGGGGTGCTACTGGCATCTAGTTGGCAAAGAGTAGCAAGAGATGGCAAGAGATGCTGATAAACTTCCTACAACATACAGGGAGCTCCCCACAACAAAGAATTATCCAATCCCAAATGTCAATAGCTTGAGAAATTCTGATGGTAAGATAAGTTTGGATGACCAAGTACATGCCCCTAGTTTACAGATTAGGAAGCTTCAGTCCAGAGAAGGATAGAGACTTGCTACTGGTAGCACAGTGAGCTAAATCAGGTTCTCTGGCTCCATCCACCCAGCTGTATGCTTAGGGAAGGTAGAAAAGGAAAAAGAAAACTGGCCCCAAGGATAGGCCCAGCTCTAGCTTATAGCAAGTGACTGAAGAGACTGAATAGAATATGGGAGTGATGAGCTTTAAATAGTCACCATACCCACTAGCAAAACATGTTTCAATGATGCTCCTGGGCTCATCCAGTTTATGACTACTTCCTCCTCATTGGTAATAAAGAAAGGAGTGGGGCCAGGTGTGGTGGCTCATGCCTGGAATCCCAGCACTTTGAGAGGCTGAGGCAGGTGGATCACTTGTGGTCAGGAGTTCAAGACCAGCCTGGCCAAAATGGTGAAACTTCATCTCTACTAAAAATACAAAAATTAGCCAGGCATGGCGGCAGGTGCCTGTAATCCCAGCTGCTCAGGAGGCTGAGTTGGGGGAATCTCTCAAACCCAGGAGGGATCTTGGGAGGCAGTGGTTCCAGTGAGCCAAGATCGTGCCACTGCACTGCAGCCTGGGTGACAGAGGGAAATTCTGTCTCAATAAATAAATAAATAATAAATGGAGTGGGAAGGTGGGAACAGGGGATAAGCATTAAGCATGGAGGGAGGGGGCTAAGGGGACATCTTCCCACCTATACTTACTGTTGACCACAAAGAAGCTCGAACAACATGTTTGAGCTTGGCAGAGGAACTACCCTATTTGTTCCTCTAAAAAGTGTCTCCTGGAACACTGTTTTGAGACGTGTAGGGCACATCATTTGCTGGTCTCAGGAAGTAAGTACACTGTCATTCTGCCTCTAATTTGCAATCTCCATCATGAAGAGTGGAGATCTGGCCCACATTAATCCCAATTCAGAAAAGCAGTACTGAAGTCTGAAGGCTGGGTCAGAGGCATTTCCTTATGGTCTTTCTTCAAAGTTATTCTGATGACTCACCTGTCAGGACAGCAGTACCTTCCAAAATAGATGAAGTAGACGGAAGCATTGACATGAGCCTCTGTCCCATAATCTCCATTTGGTTAAGACTGTCCCTAGTCCATAAAATCTAACCGAGTATCTCATGTCATCCAAGGGGACTTTTTTTTTTATCACAACCTGCCTCAGCTTTACATACACAGATGCACTTGAAATGTCCATCTCTAAATGGCCCCAAATTATGTCAAGGTCAGGGTTTACTCTGCAGGGACTTTCTGAAGCCTGTAGCCTCAACATCTCTTTCATGGTTCTGCCAACCAAATCTTTACCACTGACATTCCTACAGCATATACAGAAGTCAGTCTCATTCTTTAAATCAATATATATTCTGATTTTAAAAGCACTGTCCTTAAAATGCAGAATATATACACACAAAAGTTACCTGAAATAACCCCACAAAGAAATGACCAGTGTTAAATAGTAGCATATATTCCTTCACATTTTTTCAATATATGTGTGTGCATTCATCTATATCTACCACTAGATAGCATACACAAACACAAATAGTTTAAGTTTAGTCTCATTGCCTACAGAATTTCATCATCTGTTATTTTATTAAACTATGTATCACAAGTTTCTTTTCCTGTCATTAAGTTCTTTTATATATCATTGCTCCATGGCATTCTATTGTATCAATTTACCATAATTCCTATCTTACAATTAGATGACTTTTTCCTATTAATACTCTAAAAAACACTGTAATGAACATCTTTCTTGAGGATCTCAAATCTGTTAGGAGAAACAGAATTGTGAACAAGCATTTATCACAATGATGCAATAAGTACTATACTATTGGTATATTATGACTTTGAGTGCATCTGTGGTTTACTAAGGTGAATTATTTCAAGAGAAACTTCTGGGACAGAAGTGCATGTTCCATTTTTATGACTTTTGAGATGTGCCTTCAAGTTGAAAGGTAAATTTTTTAAAAAATATTGAGAGCCTCTGTTTCAGAATGCAGGCACATGAGCACTCACATTGGAAAACTAAATGAAATAGCTCCTTTTGCCAAGAATTTGGTAAGTAAAGGTCTAATTCTAGTCCCAAATCCTTGTAGCTAACTTCTCATTGCTTTTATACCTGCAATTCAGTAAGTGACCACCAGTAGCCACTCTTTGGAGGATGACTGAAAACAGTCACAGAGGTATTCAACAACTGTAAATACACCAGTATTATAGTACTTATTGCATCATTATGATAAATGCTTGTTCACAATTCTGTTTCTCCAGTCAGATTTGGGATCCTCAAGAAAAGGAGTCACATATCCTGAATCTCAGAAAACCTGAAAATAATCAAATTGTCTTCCATAGAATGCCTATTTATTTTTGGAGTTGAAAAGTTGTCACCAATATCTAAACAAAAGCCACAATAAAATCTACATAATGAGGATTCCAGAAAGGCCATAGTGAAATTTTGCTGAATAAAATAGTAGACACCATCTTTAGTGTGGATCCTAGTGTCAGCGTAGAAATAAGTGTACTTTTTAATTCTCCCATAGAGAGGAATATATTTAAATGAAACTATTTCTTAGAAGAGAATATATAATTTATAATAAAGAAAAAACTTAAAAATATAAAAATGTTGTTAGTGATATCTTAGGGTAACCAGCCAAAGGATGACATTTCTTTCCTGGTTTCCAATGCATACTTCTCAGAACAGATTAGGCTGCAAATGGAAATAAAAGTGTATATCATTCCAGGTCCTAGAAAACAGACGGTGAGAGGCAAGTTCGTTCATTTCAAAAACAGAGGGGCTGACTTTGAACTGCTTGATGGTGAACAAACCAACCTTCCCTGTGATGTCTGGCTAAGGATTCTTTCTACATTGAGTGCCAAGGACATTTAATGTATGATATTTGATTTGCTGGGTGCAAAGCTCAGATGGGGCTTGGAAAATCCATCTGTACTCTCAAAGCTTTTCAAAGGGAAACAAGGTTACTAACATTTATGCAGGCTTTAATATCGTGTATCAGGCAATGGGAGTGAAAGAACTCATTGAGTCAATGGGATGGATCTGGCTGATAGGCTCTCAGAACAATAAAGATAGTGGTGAATTTTGGCCAGGACTCCAAGGTACATTAGAATCATACTCTTTAAGAGGCAGAAAATAAGCCTCACAGAAGGAAAGTAACACACCCAAGATCACACAGCTTGTTAGAAACCGAGCCAAAACAAAGAAATGAAAATACATGGTTAATTGACTTGCAGGTTAGCATTCTTTCTCTCTTCTCAATTCTGTTTTGCTCTTTTATCTCCCATGTGTTTCATTTCATTGAAACATGAATGTCGGTGATAAAGTAAAGCCTTCATGTCTGACTTGGGATCATCCTCTGTAGGCTGAATGACATGCTAGAAGGGGTGTTAAAAGATCAATGATATTTGAGACCTAGTGGACATTATTCCAAAAGGTGGCAATGTTATAATGACAAAAAAAAATACATTTTGGGGTAAGAGGACAAGGCCTTGCAATTCTGAGTAGGATTTTTATTAAGAATATCTCCAAGCCTTCTCCTCTTCTTTAATCCTGTGGCTTTCACATCTTTTACCTGTACAACTTCAATGGACTGCTCTCTCAGTCAATGTCCAGGTAGAATTATAGAAATGATTCTAAGTATTTACACAGGAGGAATTGAATACAGAATTTAGGTTACACTAGTGAAGGAAGAGCTGAGAATCCAAATAAGTGAGAGAATATAGAGATTCACAGCATCAGAAAGCTGTGAACCTCCTTAGATTTCAAAGGCAATGGGATGAGTTGGCATTACTAGAGTCTAGGATCTGGAATCATCTAGTGGAAGCTAAAGCCATGGTAGATCTATTTAGAGAGGAATGGAAGGGGAGGAGGGAAAGAAAGAGTGAAAAAATAGAAAGAGAAATAAAACAAGTACCCTGGCTTCTCCCTGAAGCTCTGGAGCAAAGATCAAAGAAAAAGCAAAGGATGGGCCTGAGTGCCAACAGATCCAAACCCAATTCACTCCTAAATTGTTTCATTGCCTCTGTTTCTACCTTGCACCATCTGTCCACTAGAACACTCCTTGAGTGATCTAACATGCAAGTCCAATATTGTCATCTCAGGCTTTAAATTCTTTTGTGGCTCCTATTGCACTTTGGGAAAATGACCCTCACCCCAGCACAACATACAAGATTAACCTGTAAGTGAATTCATTTAATTATTCCTTTTTAATTGATATATAATCATTGTATATATTCATGGAGGACATAGTAATGTCTCAATATATACAGCGTGATAAGATCAGCATATTCACAGTCAGACCAAAGCTACTGCAATGTTTTTACTCTGAAATTGCCCATCTATCAGCTTCAGGAGGGAGACGGCGTATTGTGAGTTGCACCAGGCTGACACATGATGATGAAAGATGTGAGTAGAGACCATTCCAGCTGGAAGAAGATGATCATGGCAAAGAGGTGAGGGTGCACAGCGTGAGAGCTCAGAGAAAGCTAGAGCTGGTCTTCAGACCATAGGCACCGTGGTTCCAAAACCTACCCTTGAGAAAATGAAGGTATATGGTCTCAGGAAGAGGAAACTCTTTCTTTACACCTCCCATGTGGATGTATCAAGCACCTTGCACACGCTAGGCATGTGACAGAGACAGTGTAAGGGCAAGCTAAATATGCAACTAAGGCCAAAGGACCTTGAGTACCATGCCTAGGAGCCTGAATTTCATTTGTGGGTAGGTGACGCAAGACCATCTAGGTAGTGAAACCCATTCTCACTCCACTGGGAAGCAAGATCTGGAGGGAAGGAAGTTGGAGGAAGACCTTCTGTGGGAACGGCTACAGCCCCCACCCAGCCCAACAGAGCACATTCTCTTCCAGCTCCAACTCAAGTTGTGCCCACACTCCCCGCACAGAGAGCTGTACTTTGTGCTCTTCAGAGGCAGAAAAGTCAATAAATTCACTTTTTCACAGAAAGAATATGTCATCTAGAAGGCCCTGGGGAGTTTGTCTGCAAAGTTTAATTTCTATTGAAGGATCCTGAGTAGGTAAAGAATACAGAAGGAGAGGGGAGTATGAGAACAAAAAAATTGAAGGAACTAACATTTGTTTACTGATAACTTACCTGGCACCAGAACTCTTACGTCCATAATCTCATTCAGTGCTTGCAACGGTGGAGAGATAATGAAGCCATGAGTAGAAATTGTAAGGGATCAGGGAGGTCCCTCTGATCTCTAATTCTTAATTAATTCAACAAATAATCATTCAGTGACTCTGGATACTCGACATTGAGTCAGTGGCTGGGAAGCCAGCATGGACATGACATCGTCCCTTTCCAGGAGAACCTTTCAGTCTGTGTTGGAAGCAGACATGTTCACAAGCCCACAAAGCCCTTTTCCAGTGTGTTGACCTCCATCCACAGTCTGCCTGATCACTCCGGGAACAAGGAGCCTTGGCGTCCCACAGAATTTACCAAACGTTCTTAAATGTATGACAACATTTGTTTTCCATTTTTATGATGTTTTGGAAATCTGGATGCATCTTGTAATCAATGCAGAAATTTAATGTAGTTAATTATTTTTCCTAAGAAAACAAATAAATCAAACCAAAACAAAAATCCATAGTGTTGTTCAATCAATGGTGTGGATCAATACAGTCTTAAATCTGAGTAAGCATGGAAATTGTTTATAATCAAGATATTAATACCTCCCATTTGGGAGGCACTCTATGGAGTGTTTAGGGAGGAGGCAATGGGGGTAAAACTAATATCCCCTCTCTCTCGAATGATGCATTGATGCATGACTGTTTCATAACCATGATTTTTGCTATATGCTCACTGTCCCATGTGAGTCCATTAATGTCCCCATCAAAACCATGCAAAAAAGGAAATCTTCTCCTTATTGTTACTTAATCTAAACATGCAACAAATCCTTTACAGTCTTTGAAGGAGAGAGGTTGCAGATTAGCTCAGACTGGAATCTGTGACCAATGGCTCAGTCAAGATAGGAACATGGATACAAATAAGAAACTCTATCAATGTTTCTCTCGGCAATGGAACAACAGGGACCATGACAAAATATGCTATTTTCTCATTTACAAAGCCACAATCATGCCTGAAAACATTTCAACTTTTTCTTTGTTGAACCAACACTCAGTTCTGTGTAACTTACACAAATTCCCCAAATCTCCTTGAGTCTAAAGATTGAGAACCATGTAGGCTTAAAAAGGATGAAGAAATTGTTTCAATTCCCCTTTTAAGTGGTTTTAAATTAAGTGCAATGGAGGAAACTTAGATGAAATGCATTTTGCATACATTTGTAAGAGGTTACCTACAAGGCTGGATGCATGCTTGGAGATGTGGTGTCTTCAGAAACAAAGTGGGTTCATCAGAAAGTGAACTCACCTGGGCCAGTAACAGGAGAGCCCTGGGCTTGGAGGGTTCCTGGCAGAACTTCCTTTCTCCTCTTCGAAATGGGGTAATAGAAAATGTAACAAAAGAAAAAAAAATTCTCTTCAGCTCTGGGAGTCTCCAGGGGATGTTTGTTTTGAAGAGATTTTGAGCCTGATTTTCAAGAATAAGGAGGTGCCAACTGTTTGTAAAAGATCCTAAAACAGCATGATCTCTGGCCCTCAGGAGATTTATCTTTTATTTATACAGAGTATTTTTGAATGCCTGTTACTGAGACAAAGAAGTGACTGAGAGGCTTCATGTAAAAGGCAACACAATGTTTTTAGAGCCCACATCTAAAGAAAATATGTACATAATATTATAATGCAAATGAGTTGAAGGATAAATAGGTTTTAGTTGTTCATTTAAACATAACTTTAATTCAGCACTATTAGGCATAGGGGAGATGAATCCAAACACAAGACTTGTTTCCTGTTACAGGGAAATGTACAGTCTAAAGAAGGAAACTGACTTGTAAAAATACAAACTTCAGTTTTAAGTGACATATGGTAGGAGAAAGGAGCCAGGACACAGAGGAAGAAGGAACAACTCCCTCCCTGATAGATGCCATTAAGGCCTTCCTGAGGAGGTCGCTAGAGTTTGGTCCAAAAAAAGTGCATCCTCTTGATATAGCAATTATACTAATATTTTATTTTAACTATTGCTATATGATAAAGTATTGTGGAACTTAGTAGCATAAAATAGAAATAGACATTTATTATCACATATTGTTTCTTTGGGTGCAATTTTTCTAATTGATTCTGGTTCATGGATTCTCACAAAGTTATAATCAAGATTCGGGTCTGGGCTGCAATTCTCTAGGGGCTTGACTGGATTGGAGAATCTGCTTCCAAGGTAGCTCACTTGTATGGCTTGCAAGTTGGTGCTGGTTGCTGGTGGGAGGTCTCAGTACCACCCCATGTGG
Organism: Homo sapiens; assembly: GCF_000001405.40. Lineage (NCBI taxonomy): Eukaryota > Metazoa > Chordata > Mammalia > Primates > Hominidae > Homo > Homo sapiens. The sequence continues at coordinate 65,689,650 of NC_000016.10, forward strand.
AACTGTCCATAGCATTGCTTGATTATCCTTACAACATGGCAGCTGGCTTCCCTGGAGCTAGTGATTCAAGAAAGAGCTTACCAGGAACTGCAATGATTTTTGGGACTTAGCCTCATCAAAAGTCATTCTCTATCATATCCCCAGTATCTGCAGTGTGCAATTTACTACACAAGTCAGCCCTATTCAGTGTGGGAAGGAACAAGGGTAGAATACCAGGAGGTAAGAATCACTGGGAGACATCTTGAAGGCTAGTTACCACAACTAATGATAACACCTAAAATGGTGGTATTATTACTGTTGAGTAATGTGGCGGTTTAGTTCTGTGGTTAGTTAACATCAGACTTTAGAATTACATAAGCCTTAGATGGCCGAATAGGAACAGCTCCGGTCTACAGCTCCCAGCGTGAGCGACGCAGAAGACGGGTGATTTCTGCATTTCCATCTGAGGTACCGGGTTCATCTCACTAGGGAGTGCCAGACAGTGGGTGCAGGCCAGTGTGTGTGCGCACCGTGCGCAAGCCGAAGCAGGGCAAGGCATTGCCTCACCTGGGAAGGGCAAGGGGTCAGGGAGTTCCCTTTCCGAGTCAAAGAAAGGGGTGACGGACGCACCTGGAAAATCGGGTCACTCCCACCCGAATATTGCGCTTTTCAGACCGGCTTAAGAAACGGCGCACCACGAGACTATATCCCACACCTGGCTCAGAGGGTCCTACGCCCACGGAATCTCGCTGATTGCTAGCACAGCAGTCTGAGATCAAACTGCAAGGCGGCAACGAGGCTGGGGGAGGGGCGCCCGCCATTGCCCAGGCTTGCTTAGGTAAACAAAGCAGCCAGGAAGCTCGAACTGGGTGGAGCCCACCACAGCTCAAGGAGGCCTGCCTGCCTCTGTAGGCTCCACCTCTGGGGGCAGGGCACAGACAAACAAAAAGACAGCAGTAACCTCTGCAGACTTAAGTATCCCTGTCTGACAGCTTTGAAGAGAGCAGTGGTTCTCCCAGCACGCAGCTGGAGATCTGAGAACGGGCAGACTGCCTCCTCAAGTGGGTCCCTGACCCCTGATCCCCGAGCAGCCTAACTGGGAGGCACCCCCCAGCAGGGGCACACTGACACCTCACACGGCAGGGTATTCCAACAGACCTGCAGCTGAGGGTCCTGTCTGTTAGAAGGAAAACTAACAACCAGAAAGGACATCTACACCTAAAACCCATCTGTACATCACCATCATCAAAGACCAAAAGTAGATAAAACCACAAAGATGGGGAAAAAACAGAACAGAAAAACTGGAAACTCTAAAACGCAGAGCGCCTCTCCTCCTCCAAAGGAACGCAGTTCCTCACCAGCAACAGAACAAAGCTGGATGGAGAATGATTTTGATGAGCTGAGAGAAGAAGGCTTCAGACGATCAAATTACTCTGAGCTACGGGAGGACATTCAAACCAAAGGCAAAGAAGTTGAAAACTTTGAAAAAAATTTAGAAGAATGTATAACTAGAATAACCAATACAGAGAAGTGCTTAAAGGAGCTGATGGAGCTGAAAACCAAGGCTCGAGAACTACGTGAAGAATGCAGAAGCCTCAGGAGCCGATGCGATCAACTGGAAGAAAGGGTATCAGTGATGGAAGATGAAGTGAATGAAATGAAGCGAGAAGGGAAGTTTAGAGAAAAAAGAAGCAAGCAAAGCCTCCAAGAAATATGGGACTATGTGAAAAGACCAAATCTACATCTCATTGGTGTACCTGAAAGTGATGGGGAGAATGGAACCAAGTTGGAAAACACTCTGCAGAATATTATCCGGGAGAACTTCCCCAATCTAGCAAGGCAGGCCAACATTCAGATTCAGGAAATACAGAGAACACCACAAAGATACTCCTCGAGAAGAGCAAATCCAAGACACATAATTGTCAGATTCACCAAAGTGGAAATGAAGGAAAAAATGTTAAGGGCAGCCAGAGAGAAAGGTCGGGTTACCCACAAAGGGAAGCCCATCAGACTAACAGCGGATCTCTCAGCAGAAACTCTACAAGCCAGAAGACAGTGGGGACCAATATTCAACATTCTTAAAGAAAAGAATTTTCAACCCAGAATTTCATATCCAGCCAAACTAAGCTTCATAAGTGAAGGAGAAATAAAATACTTTACAGACAAGCAAATGCTGAGAGATTTTGTCACCACAAGGCCTGCCCTAAAAGAGCTCCTGAAGGAAGCGCTAAACATGGAAAGGAGCAACCAATACCAGCTGCTGCAAAATCATGCCAAAATGTAAAGACCATCGAGACTAGGAAGAAACTGCATGAACTAACGAGCAAAATAACCAGCTAACATCATAATGACAGGATCAAATTCACACATAACAATATTAACTTTAAATGTAAATGGACTAAATGCTCCAATTAAAAGGCACAGACTGGCAAGTTGGATAAAGAGTCAAGACCCATCTGTGTGCTGTATTCAGGAAACCCATCTCACGTGCAGAGACACACATAGGCTCAAAATAAAAGGATGGAGGAAGATATACCAAGCAAATGGAAAACAAAAAAAGGCAGGGGTTGCAATCCTAGTCTCTGATAAAACAGACTTTAAACCAACAAAGATCAAAAGAGACAAAGAAGGCCATTACATAATGGTAAAGGGATCAATTCAACAAGAGGAGCTAACTATCCTAAATATATATGCACCCAATACAGGAGCACCCAGATTCATAAAGCAAGTCCTCAGTGACCTACAAAGAGACTTAGACTCCCACACATTAATAATGGGAGACTTTAACACCCCACTGTCAACATTAGACAGATCAACGAGACAGAAAGTCAACAAGGATACCCAGGAATTGAACTCAGCTCTGCACCAAGCAGACCTAATAGACATCTACAGAACTCTCCACCCCAAATCAACAGAATATACATTTTTTTCAGCACCACACCACACCTATTCCAAAATTGACCACATAGTTGGAAGTAAAGCTCTCCTCAGCAAATGTAAAAGAACAGAAATTATAACAAACTATCTCTCAGACCACAGTGCAATCAAACTAGAACTCAGGATTAAGAATCTCACTCAAAGCCGCTCAACTACATGGAAACTGAACAACCTGCTCCTGAATGACTACTGGGTACATAACGAAATCAAGGCAGAAATAAAGATGTTCTTTGAAACCAACGAGAACAAAGACACCACATACCAGAATCTCTGGGATGCATTCAAAGCAGTGTGTAGAGGGAAATTTATAGCACTAAATGCCTACAAGAGAAAGCAGGAAAGATCCAAAATTGACACCCTAACATCACAATTAAAAGAACTAGAAAAGCAAGAGCAAACACATTCAAAAGCTAGCAGAAGGCAAGAAATAACTAAAATCAGAGCAGAACTGAAGGAAATAGAGACACAAAAAACCCTTCAAAAAATCAATGAATCCAGGAGCTGGTTTTTTGAAAGGATCAACAAAATTGATAGACCGCTAGCAAGACTAATAAAGAAAAAAAGAGAGAAGAATCAAATAGACACAATAAAAAATGATAAAGGGGATATCACCACCGATCCCACAGAAATACAAACTACCATCAGAGAATACTACAAACACCTCTACGCAAATAAACTAGAAAATCTAGAAGAAATGGATACATTCCTCGACACATACACTCTCCCAAGACTAAAGCAGGAAGAAGTTGAATCTCTGAATAGACCAATAACAGGCTCTGAAATTGTGGCAATAATCAATAGTTTACCAACCAAAAAGAGTCCAGGACCAGATGGATTCACAGCCGAATTCTACCAGAGGTACAAGGAGGAACTGGTACCATTCCTTCTGAAACTATTCCAATCAATAGAAAAAGAGGGAATCCTCCCTAACTCATTTTATGAGGCCAGCATCATTCTGATACCAAAGCCGGGCAGAGACACAACCAAAAAAGAGAATTTTAGACCAATATCCTTGATGAACATTGATGCAAAAATCCTCAATAAAATACTGGCAAACCGAATCCAGCAGCACATCAAAAAGCTTATCCACCATGATCAAGTGGGCTTCATCCCTGGGATGCAAGGCTGGTTCAATATACGCAAATCAATAAATGTAATCCAGCATATAAACAGAGGCAAAGACAAAAACCACATGATTATCTCAATAGATGCAGAAAAAGCCTTTGACAAAATTCAACAACCCTTCATGCTAAAAACTCTCAATAAATTAGGTATTGATGGGACGTATTTCAAAATAATAAGAGCTATCTATGACAAACCCACAGCCAATATCATACTGAATGGGCAAAAACTGGAAGCATTCCCTTTGAAAACTGGCACAAGACAGGGATGCCCTCTCTCACCACTCCTATTCAACATAGTGTTGGAAGTTCTGGCCAGGGCAATCAGGCAGGAGAAGGAAATAAAGGGTATTCAATTAGGAAAAGAGGAAGTCAAATTGTCCCTGTTTGCAGACGACATGATTGTATATCTAGAAAACCCCATCGTCTCAGCCCAAAATCTCCTTAAGCTGATAAGCAACTTCAGCAAAGTCTCAGGATACAAAATCAATGTGCAAAAATCACAAGCATTCTTATACACCAACAACAGACAAACAGAGAGCCAAATCATGGGTGAACTCCCATTCACAATTGTTTCAAAGAGAATAAAATACCTAGGAATCCAACTTACAAGGGATGTGAAGGACCTCTTCAAGGAGAACTACAAACCACTGCTCAAGGAAATAAAAGAGGACACAAACAAATGGAAGAACATTCCATGCTCATGGGTAGGAAGAATCAATATCTTGAAAATGGCCATACTGCCCAAGGTAATTTACAGATTCAATGCCATCCCCATCAAGCTACCAATGACTTTCTTCACAGAATTGGAAAAAACTACTTTAAAGTTCATATGGAACCAAAAAAGAGCCCGCATCGCCAAGTCAATCCTAAGCCAAAAGAACAAAGCTGGAGGCATCACACTACCTGACTTCAAACTATACTACAAGGCTACAGTAACCAAAACAGCATGGTACTGGTACCAAAACAGAGATATAGATCAATGGAACAGAACAGAGCCCTCAGAAATAATGCCGCATATCTACAACTATCTGATCTTTGACAAACCTGAGAAAGACAAGCAATGGGGAAAGGATTCCCTATTTAATAAATGGTGCTGGGAAAACTGGCTAGCCATATGTAGAAAGCTGAAACTGGATCCCTTCCTTACACCTTATACAAAAATCAATTCAAGATGGATTAAAGATTTAAACGTTAAACCTAAAACCATAAAAACCCTAGAAGAAAACCTAGGCGTTACCATTCAGGACATAGGCGTGGGCAAGGACTTCATGTCCAAAACACCAAAAGCAATGGCAACAAAAGAAAAAATTGACAAATGGGATCTAATTAAACTAAAGAGCTTCTGCACAGCAAAAGAAACTACCATCAGAGTGAACAGGCAACCTACAACATGGGAGAAAATTTTCGCAACCTACTCATCTGACAAAGGGCTAATATCCAGAATCTACAATGAACTCAAACAAATTTACAAGAAAAAAACAAACAACCCCATCAAAAAGTGGGCAAAGGACATGAACAGACACTTCTCAAAAGAGACATTTATGCAGCCAAAAAACACATGAAGAAATGCTCATCATCACTGGCCATCAGAGAAATGCAAATCAAAACCACTATGAGATATCATCTCACAGCAGTTAGAATGGCAATCATTAAAAAGTCAGGAAACAACAGGTGCTGGAGAGGATGCGGAGAAATAGGAACACTTTTACACTGTTGGTGGGACTGTAAACTAGTTCAACCATTGTGGAAGTCAGTGTGGCGATTCCTCAGGGATCTAGAACTAGAAATACCATTTGACCCAGCCATCCCATTACTGGGTATATACCCAAATGAGTATAAATCATGCTGCTATAAAGACACATGCACACGTATGTTTATTGTGGCACTATTCACAATAGCAAAGACTTGGAACCAACCCAAATGTCCAACAATGATAGACTGGATTAAGAAAATGTGGCACATATACACCATGGAATACTATGCAGCCATAAAAAATGATGAGTTCATATCCTTTGTAGGGACATGGATGAAATTGGAAACCATCATTCTCAGTAAACTATCGCAAGAACAAAAAACCAAACACCGCATATTCTCACTCATAGGTGGGAATTGAACAATGAGATCACATGGACACAGGAAGGGGAATATCACACTCTGGGGACTGTTGTGGGGTAGGGGGAGGGGGGAGGGATAGCATTGGGAGATATACCTAATGCTAGATGACACATTAGTGGGTGCAGCGCACCAGCATGGCACATGTATACATACGTAACTAACCTGCACAATGTGCACATGTACCCTAAAACTTAGAGTATAATAAAAAAAAAAAAAAAGAATTACATAAGCCTTGGTTCAAATATTATTCCCATCATTTACTGGCTCTTTGGCTTCTTGACTGGTTGGGAGATGGCATGACCCGGAAATGCCACACTGGATGGAGGGATGGAAGCCACATGTTGTGACAGACCCAGCTACCCTTGGCTGTCCTACATCACCTTCCTATGGAAGCTGAAGGAGTAAACTTTTACTGTATTCAAGCCATTGTGTCTTAGAGTCTCTTTGTTATAAGACTTCACCCATAACTTAATATATTCATTGGTACAAAAAGCTTAAACTCTAAATTCACTTTCCCTCATCTATAAATTACAGATAGAAATACCAATCTCGTAGGGTTCTTGTAAAGAAAAATAAAATGATGCATAAAAGTGTGTGTCTATTGTCTGGCCCAGAGTTCACACACTCATTGTCATCTTTGCCCTGCTTGAGTTTATGATCAGTGTCAACACAATTAATGAAACAAACATTCTGTGAATTTGGCAAATGTGTGTATCCATCCACAATGTTGCTCCAGGGAATTTAAAACAATTTGCTCTGCAAACTCCTTTTATGGGAACTTGAGGGTTTTAAATAAATAAAGTAGTGGTTTTACAGAAAAATCATTCAGTGGACTGCTTGTGGACCAAGATCTTCCATGGACATCTTGCCCTATCTAGTCCTCAGTTTCTAATGCTGGAAAATAAAAGGAAAAAAAAAGAGGAAAGAGAAAGAAGGAGGGGAGGAAGGAGAGAGAGAAAGAAAGGAAGAAAGAGAAAGAAAAAAGGAAGGAGAAAGAAAGGAAGGAGAGAGAGAAAAGAAGAAAGAGAAAGAAAAGGGAAGGAAGGAAGGAAGGGAGGGAGGTCGATCAGTCAGTCAGTCAATATTTCCCAATTCCTAAGGGTTTCAGAAAGCAACTTCAATAGTTCTGCCATTACTTGCATGACTTATTCAGCTCTGCATAACTGGCTTTTGCTGAGGAAGGTGTTCTATCGCTTCAAACAAGTTTGCAAACCACAAGATGAACAAGATGATCTACCAGGTGCCCTCTGTCTCCGTGAATTTTCCCTAAACCAGTTGCAGGCACTTTTCCTCCAGCAATAATTCCTGCTTCAAATCAGAGAATCTCCTGATTCTCTCTACTCTTAGGGGCCCACAGTTTGTCATAAATGAATTAACAAAGGCAGTGGGTATTTGACTCAAGTTGCTCAGGACTTTCTTAGCCCAGCTGAATCTGTGCAACTCAGTGGGTCTGAGCCATGCCATCTAGTGAACAGATCCGGCAGTGAAGCATCCTCCAGCTCATGCATGTTCCAAGATGAACCAAGAATTCTCTATCTGGGTGCAATGGCAATTTTTTTAAAAGAATCAAAATGAGGAAATGGGTTAGAAAACTAAAATGTCATCTCCATCCAATGCCCTGGGCCTGAAGTGGCTGAAATAATCAAAGCTGTCATTTTATTTTCTCCTCTCTTGGAATTACTACTTTTAATTTCTCTACTGAAGTTTCTCTGGCCAACTCATCAAATTTTCTATCAAAATTACCCACAGAATTAATTTGTATGCACTGGCATATAAGAATTGGCTGACAAGATGGACCACATTCGGGGTGGGGCGGGGGTGGGGAGGGAAGCCTCCCACTCACCCTAGGAATTCACTCCTTCCATGGAGTGAATGCTGGATGTCCAAAATGCCCTGCACGTGTTGGCTGAATCCTTGGCTTCCTGCCTGCTGATTAGTGTTGCAGACCCACAGCCTCAAGCAACTGCCAGGTCTCCTTGCTGGAGATTTTCCCTGGAGGACCAGAGCCTGACGCCAACACTACTGTGTCCCCTGGATTTCCCTCTTCAGGTAGACTCTGGCTTACAAAGGAACACCTAAGACAGCATCGGATGTGTCAGGAAGTCCCAGAAGGCATGATGACAAAAACAAATGATGGCAGAAAAAATAGAGTTACACCTGCTAACATCACCTCGGTGACGAATTGTGGGGAACTCGGGGGCTCCTAACTCTCTCCCCGACTCATGCAGGCCACAGGCACCCGGACCCCAGGCCTGGTGATGGACTGAGAGTTTACCAGGCATGGCCGGCATGCAGAATCCATTCCCCAGCAATAGGGACAGCTGCTTCCCAGATTCTGTTCATTGTCCTCCATGTTAGAGAATTTATCTTAAGAAACCACGTGGCCGGGCGCGGTGGCTCATGTCTGTAATCCCAGCACTTTTGGAGGCGGAGGAGGGCGGACCACGAGGTCAGGAGATCGAGACCATCCTGGCTAACTCAGTGACACCCCGTCTCTACTAAAAATGCAAAAAAAAAATTAGCCGGGCTTGGTGGCGGGTGCCTGTAGTCCCAGCTACTCAGGAGGCTGAGGCAGGAGAATGGCGTGAACCCGGGAGGCGGAGCTTGCAATGAGCCAAGATCGCGCCACTGCACTCCAGCCTGGGCAACGGAGCAAGCCTGTCTCAAAAAAAAAAAAAAAAGAAACCACGTGCGGCCGGGCACGGTGGCTCATGCCTGTCATCCCAGATACTCGGGAGGCTGAGGGAGGAGAGTCGCTTGAACCCAGGAGGCAGAGGTTGCAGTGAGCAGAGATCGCACCATTGCACTCCAGCCTGGGCAACAAGAGCAAAAGTCCGTCTCAAAAAAAAGAAAAAAGAAAAAAGAAAAGAAGAAACCACATGCTTTCCGAGTTCACCCCCATGATTAGGATTCTATACAAAAAAGAAAACCATAAAAACCTAGGGTTGAATTTTCTTCTTTTGTCTCTGCCCATCTTAACTTCAGTTGGTTTTCATTTATTTCAATGTGTACTTTGGAATCAGAACCCTCCACATTCCCAGTTAACTCCCACCACCTGGGTTATGTTATTTTGAGGGGGACAGGAACACTGCTTCTTCCCCTGCTCCCACTCTTTTTTCACATTGTAAAAACAAATTGTTAAAAGGGTGGCCTCTGTCTGCAGAGAGAGAGAGAGGGAGAGAGTGTGGGAGCTCTTCCTGCTGGGCTCAGTTACAGAGCAAAGGGCTTGGGGGAGCAGTGACCACTTTCAGCCAGGAACTGCAAACCCCAGAGTCAGGCAGGGTGATGGTTCACTGAAGCAACCCCCTCTTTTTGGATCACTTTTGGGGTGAGTCTAATCAACACGGGATGTGTGACTTCAAAACAGCTGGGAAGCATTAGAGGTCAAAAGTTTAAATCAAGTTAAGAGCCATCGGAATGTGCAAGCCCCGTTGTTTTAATCTCTGTTTCTTCCTTTAATCTACACAACGCTCTTTGTGGGATAAAATGTCTTGGTCAGGGCTTGTGTTGACACATGGGTCCATGAAAATACATTCATGAAACCAGAGTTGGAGAGGCGGGTAGGAGGGGTATTGTATTTGCTGGTAAAATAAAGCAGCCAGCCATTTCTTTAAATATAAAAAAGAAACCAATCCCTTCTTTAAACATAAAAAAGAGACATGTAGAATCACAGAATACTAAAGCTGGAAAAAATCATTGCAAATCTTTCAAACCCTTTCATTACCACGGTGGAAAATAGGCCCAGAGAGGTTAATGCCTGGTTCAGATTAGTGTTTAGCAGCTAACCCACTGAAGGGGTAAACATATTTAGATTGTGCCACACTTCTGCCCCAAACCATAAAAACCTAGGGCTGAATTTTCTCCTTTTGCCTCTGCCCATCTCAACTTCAGTTGGTTTTCATTCACTTCAATGTGTACTTTGGTTTGTGCTCATCATTAGGATGAAGTGACAGTTCTCTGGCCTATCAGGGCTTGGGTGATGTGGTCCCACTCACAGCTCAGTTTGCTGGGGCCACACCCCTGCCCCCTCCCCCATCCCACCATGCTCCTGGCACATTGTTTTCTTGGTTCCATCAATTTGTGAAGTCCTATCCCACTTCTGAGTTTAGGGACTTGTTATCTCTCCTTTATGGAAGGTGTGTCTTCCCCCTCTGTCCTTCTCTTTAAGGGGAGCTGAAAGACCACTTCCTCATCACTGCCTCCCTCATGAGCCTGTCCAGTGTGGCCTCCCTGACACCCTATGTCTCACCAGCTCACTCATGTTCTCCCTGGCACCCAGGCTCTGATTACCCTCTCCCTGTGTTGCTCATTCACTATTGTCCCCTCCCATTACAGTGTGAGTACCAAGGGCTGGAACCCCCAGGTACTGTCTTGCTAACCATTGTACCCTTCTGTCCACCACATGCAGTTGTTTAGAATCTATTTGGTAAACCGATTAATCAATCATTGAAACAATCAATGGGTTCAAAGGTAGTCTCTGTCTCCTTAGTGAATAAGTGTTGAGACATGGAATAGATTCAAGATGATCACAAATAGTTAGACTGGGGGTAGCGTATGTCTCTTTCCTTGATTCTGGGTGGATTCTGTGGCCATTTGGTCAACAGAAAAACGTCAGAAGTGACCTGTGCCACTTTCCTTGTGTAGGCTTTAAGAGACCAGCAGCTTCTACTCAAGCCTCTTGCAAATGTCTCTGGAGCCCTGAAATAGTTTGCCGTGGAAATGGTTTGACTACCTTGAGATGACCACCACCCTGAAGAGGCCCCACCAAGGCACTCCAGTCACTAGCCCAGCTCAGCCCACCCTCCCAGCCATCCCCCACCCAGTACTAAGGAAGTGAATGAAAACATCTTGGACACTCACCCTCCTGTGAGACAAGCCCAGCCACCAGCTGAATACCACTGAGTGACCTCAGCCAATGCCCCAAGGAACAGAAGAAATTCCCAACTGGGCTCTGCCTGAATTCCCAATCCACGACATCCTTCCAAGTAATCAAATGAGGGTTGTGTTAAGCTGCTAAATTTCAGAGTGATTTGTTACACAACAGCAGGTAACTGCAATGGGACTGTGATATTGTGAAATACATATTTGGTTTTTGTCTCCGTTTCCTGAGGTACAGCTCCTAAAAATCCTTGGAATCTCTTGAGTGATAAGAGCATTTTTTTGTATGCTATGAGTTGATGACTGTGGGCCCTGGTCACCTGAAAGGCCAAGGCATGATTAGAGGGTTGAAATTCAGCCCTACCTCCCAACAGGGAGGAGCCAAGGGTTAAGTCTATCACCAATGATCAATGGCTTAATCAATCAAGCCTGTGTACTGAAGCTTCTATAAAATCAAAAAAGGACTGGGTTCAGAGAGCTTCTGAATAGCTGAACACATGGAGGTTCCTGGAAGGTGGTGCACCCAGGGAAGGCATGGAAACTCCACATCTTTTCCCACAGAATCTCACGCTGTGCATCTCTCCATCCATATCCTGTGTAATATTCTTTATAATAACCAGTAAAAGTAAATATTTCCTTGACTTCTATTTCTGTGAGCTGCTCTAGCAAATTAGTTGAACCCAAAGAGGGTTGTGGGAACCCCGATTTATAGCCCATTGCAACTGGTATCTGAAGAGAAGGACAGTCTCATGGGACTGAGCCCTCAACCTGTGGAATGTGATGCTATGTCCAGGTAGATAGATGGTGTCAGAATTGAATCACACTAGAAGACACCTTGCTGATATCCACTGCAGAATCTGCTGGAGGATTACTTGGTGGGGAGAAATTCCCACATGTTTTGGTGATGAGAGGTCACAGAAGTGTTGATTGTTGAGTGAGAGACTAGGAAAATCACTTTAGTTTACCCCCCTCCCCATACCCAACACAGGGCTCCAGAGCCAGATGATTTGGGTTTAAATCTTAATTCCATCCTTCATTAGCTAGCTGGGTGATCTTCTGCGTGTTGATTTATTTTCCTTAAGCATCACTAACTAGATCATCTGCAAGAGGGGAATAATGGGATTCCTTGCCCAAAGAGTTGTTAGAAGATTAAACAAAGTCTATGTCAACTACTTAGCACAGTGCCTGACCAGCAATACCAAATGATCAATAGGTCTTCAGTTACTATTGTTTGTACCCTGCCAACTAAGTAGAGCTCCGCTTTCACATAAGTCAGAAGAAGAACTGTTCCAAGGACTCACACGCACCACTTCCTTGCCATTAATTCATCCATGCACCCTATCACCAGGGAAAAATCCAAAATTTATCAAGTCTGAAGAACCGTCGCCCCTGCTTATGTTCAGAGCACTATCTCTCAGCCCTCCTTCTCTCAATTCCTGTTCTTAGCCCTACAGGCACAGGCACAGTTGTGCACCCTCCCAAAAATGGCAGGATGGATAAATATTTCCACAGTGAGTATTTCTGGTTAGGGAGATTCTAATATATTCGCTTCCTTCCTTGTGACTCCTTCCTGTATTTTCTAAATCTTCTACATCAAACACTTTATTTTCATAAAATGTCATAAAGATTACAAAACACAGGAAGGAAGAATTTCTTCTACTTGAAAACTGAGACACTCTTCTTTGTCTTTCTCATAGCATCTGCCCCAACATCTCTTGTGCTGTTGAATGAATGAACGAGCTAAGAGTAGAGAGGGGTTTATGGTGCAGGTATAGGCAGGGCAGCCTGGGTTTATATCTTATGTATATTTTTTAAATATAAAGTACAAAAGTTCTGCCTCAGTTTTTGTTATTTTTAGTTCATTTGTTTGTTTTTATAATGATGCTCATGTTGAAGCCTTTGTTTTAAATGAAAAAAAAAATCCTTTTGTGAAGTGAATAGTCATGCTGTCATTTATTTTCTTAAGGCCAAAATGCCAGAGTTTATTAAAACGAGTTTCTCCTTCTGCATCTATGTTTATAAACTAATTACAGGCTCTTAAACATCCATTTAGCAATGAGAAAGTTCCAAGACAGTGTGCTATATTCTGGTTAGAAAAATACAGTTTAACTGAATACGTATAAATTGCTCACACCAAAGGAAGATGAGGTCTCTAGGAATACTAACCTACCAAGCACAGGTTTGCAGCCACACACATTTCTTATCTCGGGACAGCAAGTGGGTGGACTCTGGCAGAGCCCCAGGCACAGCGGATAAGCACCCATTTTTCCAGAAGTCTGTCTCTGCCTCTGTGTTCCTTTCAGCTGCCTAGCTTGCCACACTCAAGGGCCTACCATCTCTGAGTCGTTCACAAATTTTCTAAATAGGTTACTAGTTCATGTGCTGGATTTTTGTGCTCTCATCAATTCACCAACTCAGTGTAACCCAAATCAGCCCAGCCTGTGTGAGATGAATTCAATGAACGTGGAAATTGCCTCCAAGTCCTTCATGCCTCTGATTCAGTACGCAGGCTTCCCCAGAGCTCCTGTTTGGAATGCCTTCTGCATTAGCAGCTGAGGTGCATCTCTTCGGACTCGCTAGCACCACCCCTACCCCCTTCTCACCTGTGTTATCTCAGGGAATTTTCAACTTTATGTCATCCCAACAGGCTTCTTTTTTGGTCATTTCTCATCACTTGGATCTATAAATATTAATTACAGGCCTCATATGTTAAAGCCTCTTTGAGCGTATTAACTATTTAGCCACATAAATCAATCCTAAACTAATCTTAGTGGTTCATCATACTTTCACAAGTTCCAGAACTTTCCATTTCAGCTAACACTCTTCAGTTTTTGCCAGCAACATTATTTAATGACTTTTCAATCTGCTAGGCTCTTCTTTAGATAAAGGGAACAGAAAGGGAAGCATGGAGGGAGGTATGAAGAGAGAGAAAAAGGGGGAAGAAGAAAAGGAGGGAGGAGGTAAAGAAAAAAAAAAAAGAAAGCAGGGGGAGGGAAGGAGGGAGAAAACACAGGCAAGAGGAATGAACCCAGGTCTTTCCAGTGCTGTTCTCATGATAGTGAATAAGTCTCACAAGATCTGATGGTTTGTTTATTTTTGGTTTTTTTTTTTTTTTTTTTTTTTTGAGACCGAGTCTCACTCTGTCGCCAGGCTGGAGTGCAGTGGCGCAATCTCAGCTGACTGCAACCTCCGCCTCCCGGGTTCAAGCAATTCTCCTGCCTCAGCCTCCTGCGTATCTGGGACTACAGGCGCACGCCACTACACCCAGCTGATTTTTTTGTATTTTTAGTAGAGACAGGGTTTCACCATATTGGCCAGGATAGTCTCGATCTCTTGACCTTGTGATCTACCCGCCTCTGCCTCCCAAAGTGCTGAGATTACAAGCGTGAGCCACCGCGCCCGGCCCAATCTGATGGTTTTGTGAAGGGGAGTTCCCCTACACCAGCCCCCTCTTGCCTGCCACCATGTGTTATGTGCCTTTCTCCTCCTCTGCCTTCAGCCATGATTGTGAGGCCTCCACAGCCATGTGGAACTGTGAGTCCATTAAACCTCTTTTTCTTTATAAATTACCTAGTCTCTGGTATGTCTTTATTAGCAGCATGAGAACTGACTAATAAACTGACCAAGGTAGGTTCCCCATTTCTCACTTCAAGGTTCACTGGAGGACAGGGTGACGACGTCAACAATAATTTATTATGCATTTATACGTTTTTAAATACCTAAAAGAGTATAATTGGATTGTTCATCACAAAGGACAAGTGCTTGAGATGATGGATACTCCATTTACCCTGATGTGATTATTACTCATCGCATGCCTGTATCAAAATATCTCATGTACCCCATAAATATATACAACCACTATGTATGCACAAAAATAAGGCTGGGCATGGTGGCTCATGCCTGTAATTCCAGCACTTTGGGAGGCTGAGGCGAGTGGATCACTTGAGGTCAAGAGTTTGAGACCAGCCTGGCCAACATGGTGAAACCCTATCTTTACTAAAAAATTAAAAATACAAAAATTACCCAGGCATGGTGGCACGCACCTGTAATCCTAGCTACTCAGGAGGCTGAGAGAGGAGAATCACTTGAACCTGGGAGGCAAACGTTGCATTGAGCCGAGATGGCACCACTGCACTCCAGCTTGGGCAACAGAGTGAGACTTCATCTCAAAAATATATATATAATAATAAAATTAAAAATTAAAGATTCATTGGAAGATACAGGCTCTGTGGGTGCTGCTTTTGCTGTGTGTTTCTACACAGTTCATGCACAATCTGTTAGTTCTTGGTGTATACCTCCTAGTTGTATGAGAACTATGTAGCTTCCCTAGGAGCATCTGAAAAATCTTCATAGTATTGGTTACTTTGCACCAGTTACCCCTAGAGGGCACCAGGGCTCAGGGAGGCAGGGTCAGATCTGCCAGGGTTCAAATATTGGCTACTCCAGGTGCTGAACATTAAACCTGGGACCTCACCTCCCTGGGATGCAGTTCCCTCCCCTATAAAGTAGAGATTCTTCTACATGATGCCTGTGGTTGTTATCCAGAATAAAAGAGACAATGCTACAACACAAAGTGCTCAAAGCCTGACTCATAGTTAGCGTTCGATAAATGTGAGCTTTTATTATTACCATATTTCCTCCATTCTGAGACAGCATCGATCAGAAGTCAAAGCATCAATTTAATAATTTCTCAGGGGGAAAAACAATATATTAAATACAAATTCCCATTTTAAGACATCACAATTTCAACAACATTAAAAGGTGAAAAGAAATGTGTCTTAAAAATCAATGACATATGGTCTTATTACCATCACATTTTGGAATCATTTTAAGTCATTCGCTTGTTCACTTGCCTTTTTTCTGTTTTGTCTGGCTGCCCCAGGGGACACATGGGTTTCATGAGAGTAAGGAAGTAGGTATTTGTTCACCATTGTGCACTCAGTGCCAGACGCAGGTGTCAAGCGAATGTTTGATAAGATGGTTGAATGTCATCTTAATATGAAAGGCTATTGATTAAAACCCCGCTAATATTGCCATGGTTCATATATTGAAACTTCCCCTCATGTTCTTCTCAGTCCATGCAATTGACCTTCCCACCAGTCTTGGGAGAAAGGTTGGTTTGTTTGAGGGTATGTTTGTTGAGGATTAGACTCTTCCTTGAGCTGTATACAAAGGAGTGAGGATGGAAGCAGGCAAGAAATGTGGAGAATCCACCATAACCCCTGGCACCAGGGAAGTAGTCAGAAATCACCCTTGAAACTGAATGCAAAGCAAGGGTAGGGTATAGGCCCCCGTCAGCATCAAATGCGCTGCTACTTGGAATGTCCTTAGGACTGTAGCTAGACATTAAACATCAATAATTATCCCTTGAAAGAGTCAATTAAATTTTGTCCCTTCAATTTACAAAGCAGAAAAATAAACATTGAAGTCATCTCCCAAGCGCAAAAGACTTTTAGTTTCCCATTCAGAAATCAAAATATTAACTCAATCAGTAAACATGTATTGAGGGTCTCCTACGGGCCAGGTGTGTGCTAGTTTCTTGGAGTGGGAAGCCAGGTGGGACAGCCTGTAGGATAGAGCAGACCAATGAGGGAGACACCTGTATGTGCAGATAATTGCTCCAAGTCAGGTAGGAAGAGACAATGACTAAGGGACAGGGGAACCCCAAGGTGAGAAGTAGAGAGGAGTTCGCAGAAGAGAGATTATCTGTCTCATCCGAATTACTGGGATGGGGAATCTCTAGTTTGGCACTGCACCAGCCCTTTCAGAAAATTCCCTGCAACCTGAACTAAATCCAAGGCCAGGGAACCTGTCAGACCTCAGGTGATACTCCAGGGACACATTAAATACGAAAGGGCTTCTCGTGAAAAGCAAAGCAAATCTTAGTCATTCCACTGCCTGGGGGAGGGGGATAATTACATAAATAAAGGTTGCTTTTAACTTATCACACAACAGCAATTCTCAAATAATTAGCGTCAACAAGAAATTAGGTCCACTTATCCCAATAGCAGAGGAAAATTGTTTGACAAGAGACCGCTCCAGGGTGCACTCTTCTTTGATGAGGAAGAGGACAATTTATCAGAGGACCCTGAAAGCAGCCTCATGATCAGAACAGGACACAAGAGGGACTTAGCAAAGAAGAAAGCTGCAAGCCCAGTTCTCAGACCCAGCACTCAACAGGTCAGCAATGGACTGAATGGCGTGAACCACATGATGCACCCCAGGTTATTGAGCTAAGCTTCTTGGAGACTGGAGCAGGAAGCGGTGTTGGAACACTATGGCTCTCAGCTGGTCTTCAACCATGAGAAGAAATTCAATATTAGCAGAAAGGAAGAAAGGTCATGCCAGGCTGAGAGAGCACCCAAACAACAAAGGAGCTAATCCAATATGACGCCCGGACAAAGATAAAGTCTGTGATGAAGTGGGAGCTATTGACGGGGATTGTTCAAGGCAGATGCTGATTGTATAAGGAACTCAGAGGTGTGTTTTCTTTTTTTCCACTGACATTGAGGATCCTGAAAGTTTTTAACAGGAAAGTGATTTCTGATGTGTGTTTCAGGGAGACAATTCAGGTGGTGCTGAGGCTTAACTGGAAGAATGAGAAACAGGGGAAGGAAAAACAATGATTGCAAAAGTTCAGACAATGAATGGCAGAGTCGGGCATCAAACATGGAGGTGGATGTATGGGTGTTGGAGATCAACTGGATGAAGAACAAGAGGGTATGGAGAAACATCCTGGCCTCCTAATTGTTAGAATTAAGAATGTTATCCCTTTATGTTCACCTAAGGAATGTACTGGAACACTCACAGCAATATTCTTCATAATGGTCACCTGAAAATTACCCAGTGTCCATGATACAACAAAATACCACATGGCTACGTGAAGAAGGATCTCCAGCAGAATGCATCAGCTTGGGTGAATTGCACGATGCTGAGTGAAAGAAACAAGAATGTTCCATGTACCCACCAAAAAAAGTATACATAGCATCATTCCATTTATGTTCCGTGATCCAGGGAACACAGGGAGCACCTCTAGGATGGGTTCTGATGACCCGGTTCCAAATTCTGCTTGCTCAAGTGTGCCCACTATATGAAATCCACCCAGCCATGTATGTATTACTTATAGGCACTTCTATCAAAATATATTATGCTTGAGCTTTTTAAAAGAAAACTGCCCTTATAGTGTCCCTTATGCAACATTAAAGCAATTTTAATAGTAATAACAATAATGCCTCCCATTTTGGAATGTGCTAGAAACTGGTAGGTGCTGACAGCAACCTTGTGCAATAGTTTTTTTTTTTGTTTTTGTTTTTGTTTTGAGACAGGGTCTCACTCTGTTGCCCAAGCTGGAGTGCAGTGGCATGATCATAGTTCACTGCAGTCTCAACCTCCCTGGCTCAAGTGATCCCCCTCCTTCAGCCTTCTGAGTAGCTGGGGACCACAGGCATGAGCCACCATACCCTGCTATTTTTTTGTTAATTTTTTTTTTAGTGATGGAGGTCTCGCTTTGTTGCCCAAACTGATCTTGAACTCCTGGACTCCAGCAATCCTCCTGCCTCAGCCTCCCAAAGTGCTGGGATTACTGATGCGAGATAGATTTTAAACCTTAATTTTATAGATAAGGACAGGAGGGCACTGAGATGTTAAATAATGTACTCTAAAGCCACCATCACTCTTCGGGAACAGAACAGGATTAGAACCCAGGAACTCCTACATTATACTGACTCAAGATTCCACAGGAGTGTTCCAATAAATGTGGCTGTGATGATTCTACTTTAGACATTGCATTGGCTATGTCTATATGGCCCTACTTTTCTGGAATAAGCTGAATCTGTCACTCATGCACTTCCAAACATTTGAGTTATTGATGGGTTCAGCACTCTGCTTCTTTCCACAATCCCAGACCTCTCCAATACACACCTTCTTTATAAAATTTTCAATCAAACAAATGAATTTAACCCAGAAAAGCAAACACATTTTGGCTAGAAAAGTCATCTTTTTTAATCAGTTTTTGTGTTTCCTATATAAACCAGCAGCCCAGAGGTACTATTTCTGAAAGCATTTTGTAATGGAAGATTTTACATGAGTGCTATTTAGTATTATCATTATTATCCTTGTTATTAATAATAATGATTTATAGAGTAGTTTGAGGAGGCACTTCTATTTAGAGACTAGGAACACAAGCCTGATTTGATACGTAAGCCAGCAAATGTAATAGGAAGAGGAAAAGGCAAGGGGAGAAATTAAAACAGATGGCTCTATCTTGGGCAGACATCTACCTTCAGGGACCAAGAAGCAGGTAATATGAAGGAAAGATTCAGCAAAAACAAAACCCAAGGACAAACATTTCTCCACTACGTCAGTGCAAGAGATGCATTCTGCTGAAACTCACTAACCCCAGCCAAGTGCTGTCTGTAGCACCCTGATGGGTTAATTTCCAACATATAGATGTCTAGGAGCATTTTCAAAGCAGTTTTACAAATAAGATTATATCACACATGACCTTCACAAGAATGCTGTGAGCTAGACATGGTGGCATGGCTTTTTACTGCTGCTCCATCATGCTGATAAAAGTATCGCAAACTGTATGAGCACAACACTGTGTGACCACATCACAGAAGGACACCCTGGCCACTCTACCATGTAAACGTGCTACAGCAGGAAAATGATCCTAGGGCCCATCTTGTCCAGCGACCCATGGATGCCATTGACCCTAGACCTGGATGGGACCCAGGAGTTTATATTCTAAAAATAACACTTCCTGAAAAAATAATCATAGGATATAAAAGAAGAACTCACATCTTCAGAATGATAGACTTACTTGGAGTGTTGCAGAGGGAATAATCCAAAAACTCTCTCACTAACATCCTGGGGAGAGTCCAAAATAGCAAAGATAAAGAGAAAAACCCTAAAAGCTTATAGAGAAGAAAGGTGTTATCTTCAATGGGATAGTAATCAGATTCACATCAGTTTTCATCCTTTGAGGAAAAATGTATTTCAACTATACACACCTAGCCAACATACATATAAGTACACTAATATGTCTGCAAAGACTATTTTCTGCAAAACAACAATAAAATTGAGACTACAGTCAACTGAAAAAGAAATCCAAGAAAAATAGAAAAAGGGTCCAGGAAATCCAAGGAAAAAATGGAAACTAAATCTAGGAGGGGAATCAAGTGAAATCTCAAGATGAGGAGTGTGCAGCAGAAAGCAATCAGTCCAAATGGGGCAGGAAATCGACCTGTGCCAGAAATAACATCTTCAAGAGAAAGCAGACTTTGTCATTTAATTTGTATGATGAAGAAGCTGCAACTTCTTAATGGGAAGATGAAGGCTTAGATTTTTTTCTATCAGAAAAAATAAAGGAAGCCCATGGAAAAACAAAAACACCCACATGAAAGGCATGAGTTGAATATGAAAAATTAAAATGCAGCGTATTTTTGAGGAATTAATTAAGGATAAGTAAGGAAAGGGTTTGGGTTTTTTTTTGCTTTTTGGTTTTTTTTTCATGTTTTACCCACATTCCTTTGAGTGTCATGAGTTAAGAGAAACAGCTTTTCAGTCCCTCTGTGGGTCCAGGCAGACACGTGACTCTGCCATGGGTAACGTGGACCCTGGAGGCCACAGAGCTGACGGGCTCTGAGAAGAGCTCCAAGGTCACGGACTGCGCGCACACTGCCTCTGCCACTTGCTAGCTCTGTGACCTTGGGCAAATTAGTTCACCTCTCTGTGCCGCTATTTTCTCATCTCTAAATTGTCATCTCCTTCATAGGGCTGTTGCAGAGATTAAATGAGCTAATGTATGGAATGCATGTAGAATGGTAAGTACCCAAATTTTTGGTGTTATTACTATTATTATTACAAAATCAAAATATAGAAATAATAGTTGATTTCCCATGCAAAGCTATTATTAAAATTACCCTCTTAACAAAAAAATGAAAGATTAAATCAGAATGAAATAACACAAAAGAAATATAAAAATCAGAAAGGGAAAAATAATGGCATAGCTACTGAAGCAGAGAGGCTGCTGGTGAGGAGGGAGATTGCTCATTCCTTCATCTAAAGTGTAAGTAACTGGATACTGTGAGAAGTGAATAAATCAAGCAAGAAAGGATTTTGTGTCTGTCTATATAATTTCAAATAATTTCATTAATAATTACAATTCATTATTAATTTTCATTAATATAAATGTATTTATATATTTGATGTACATATAAATATTTATGAAGTTTGTATATTTATAATTGCTTACAATAATCAATATATTTAACTGTAATTTTTAAATGTAAAACCAGCACTTAACATGGTATTTATCAGTAACAGAAAGCAGGTGGTGGAGAGAGAAGGCAAATTAAGAATGAGTACTGACGTCTGCAGAGTGCTTACTATGTGCCAGGCACTGTTCCAAGAGGTCTACATATATTATTTCACTTAATGTTCTAACAACCCTAAAAGTTAAGCATGATTATTATTATTGCAACCATTTTACTGATAAGGTATTTGAGGCAGAGAAACTAAGTCCTTCCCCAGGTCCCATGAGTAGTGAAAGAAAAGTGCCTCTTGGCCACTATCTCTAACAGTGTTCCTCTCTCAGAGAGGGGAGTTTCTAAGAATGGTTTAGATATAGGATTTAGCTTCAGGGTGGCCAATACCGGAGGGAAAAACAACTGTATTGGGATAAACAGTGTCCCTCAAAATGTTCACATCTACTCAAAACCTCAGAATGTGACCTTATATTGAAATACAATCTTTGCAGATATCATTAGTTAAGATGATGTCATACCAGATTATGGAAAACCCAGTGATGGCTGTTGATATGGTTTGGCTGTGTCCCCACCCAAATCTCATCCTGAATTGTAGTTCCCATAATCCCTATGTGTCGTGGGAGGGGACCCAGTAGGAAGTAATTAGATCATGGGGTGGGTTTTTCCTGCACCGTTCTCATAATAGTGAATAAGTCTCATGAGATCTGATGGTTTTATAAAGGTTAGTTTCCCTGCACACTCTCTCTTGCCTGCCACCATGTAAAACGTGCCTTTGCTCCTCCTTCGCCTTCTGCCATGATTGTGAGGCCTCCCCAGCCATGTGGAACTGTGAGTCCATTAAACCTCTTTTTCTTTATAAATTGCCCAGTCTCAGGTATTTCTACACAGCAGTATAAAAATGGACTAATACAGGTGTCCTTATAAGAAAAGGAAGAGACACAAAGAAACAAATGGGGAAGACCCATGGGACAACCGCGGCAGAGACCTAAGTGATGCAGCTACAGGCCAAGGGTCAGGGATTGCTGGGAGCCACCAGACTCTAGCAAGAGGTGAAGGGAAATTCTTCCCCAGAACAGTAAAGGCCATATGGCCCTGCAGACACCTAGCCTGCAAAACTGAAGAAATCATTTTCTACTGTTACATGTTACCCAGTTTGGGTAATCAGCTACCCCAGCTCTAGGAGACTGAAACAACAACCAACCCAAAACTTTAAATTGAAATGGTCCAAATTAGAGGAAAAGAAAGAGAATGTTACCTTATGCTTCAACTCTCCTGTGTTCCTTTTTGTGGGGGGTGGACTCCAGGTGGCCCCAGGAACCCCACCTCTTAGTGTTCTCATATTGTCTGACACTCAAAAAGCAGAGGACTCAGTTAAGCTGCCCACAAATCCTTGACCCACAGAAGTTGATATAAAAACGTCAGGCTGTTTTAAGCCACTAAATTTATGATACTATTGCCATGTATCAATAGCTAACTAATATTCTCCTATAATTAAAAAGAGCAGTAGTAAGCATTTCAATTAGTAACGGTTTTCTGGAATTAAAAGTAAATTTAAGATGACAAATTATTGTGATGAACAAAGTCAGTTGGGAACAAGTCCCTCATTAAACAAATAAGGAAACTAAGGCACAGAGAAGTTAGGCACATGGGCAGTTACACACAAGTAATTAAGAACTGAAATGTCACTGAGGCACACACATCCCCACTGACCTACCATTTTCTACTTCATTGCTGCCTGCAGAATGACAACACCCTCTCTCTCTCTCTCTACATATATATAAATATATATAAATATATAAATATATATGAATATATATAAAATATATAAATATATAAAGATATATAAATATATATAAAGACATATACATAAATATATATAAAGATATATACATAAATATATATATAAAGATATATATAAATAAATATATACATATATAAAAGGAGGAGGAGGAAGAAGAAAAGTAGCCAAAAGCAATATAATTGCTCAAATCGAAGGCAAAGATCCAGTTTTGTCTCAGATTATATTCATGGTAACCACTGTTCCCAACATTTCCCCCCAGTTTCTGGGAGGGTAGATGTGTTAAACAGGCACTTATTAGACAGTTTTTTTGACAGCTGCTGCATTTGCAATTACTGTAATATAATTTTTTTTCTTCTGAATAGCTGCAGATTTTGTTTTTGTCTGAGCTGAGGTGGAAAATTGAGAAATAGCGGATTCAAAAATAATTGACTTTATTAGGAATATGAATGTATTACGCCCACCATATATTAAAAACTCATTGCTTTTATATTGGCCTGGAACACCGTACAATACTTTTATGGTTCCCTAGTCTCCCCGTTCCCCCTACTTTACTGTTCCCATCAGCTTTATGTTCCTCATTCCCTGTCACATGGAAAAAATAAATGGTTAAAAATCTAAGTGCTCATCAGACACAAACCAGAGTTCATAAATGAAAGTGGGCATCCTTGGGTAATTTAAGATATTGCTGTGAGCTGGTGTTGCCAAAAACGATGCACTTATTGAACCATAAACAAAAGCAATTAAGATGAGATGTTGATTACTGTGAAGGGAAGTTCCCCAGTAGTATAGAAACCACAGGCCACAGAGGGGGGTCTCATTTGCATAAGCATCTCTGGAATCGTGGGATATCCAGGAAGGTCTGTGGAGGCTCATCTGCTAAAGGATCCTTAGGATTTCCTGGGAGAAATCCTGAGAAGCCTCCCTGGAACATTCTGCACAGGGAATCACAACTACTAGGCAAAGAGAGGAGACAACGGCTATTTCTTTGTGGCACAGCCAGGAAGTAAGGCAAGTCCCTCTGAGGTACATGAAAGGCAGAAAGACACACGCAAACTGCAGTTGGAATGTAATGCTGTTGAAAGCTACCTGGTAAAGCATTGCCCATGCCCAATGACAAAGAACTCACTGGAGAAGGTCTAGCTTCAGAGAAAGACGAGGAGACCTTCTGGAGCCATTCTTAATGGCTGGACCCTCCAGGCTTGGCCAAAAGGCAACTGTGCTAGCAAGATCCCAGGAACAGAAGTCTGGATCAACAGCCGATAGAGCACTGGTGATGATGCCTGACTACAGAAGTTGCAAGAACTACAGAAGTGAAAAGACATCTGAGTTGTTACAAAGGAATAAAGGAAAGGATGCAGTGACTTTTTTAAACCTGAAAACAAAACTGGGCAACAGGTCAGGGCAAATACCATAGCAACAACCAACTTCCCACCCCACCCAGCCCTAGGTTTTCCACCACCCCCACAGCTGGAGCAGCTGCACAATTGATGATCAGAGTGGAAATCTGTGAACACACTCGGTCTCTAAGATTCCCTTTCTGGGGCGGAAAGGCAATCCTGATTATGGAGAATCATGCCTAAAAATCCTCAAGAGCCAGGCACACTGTAGGTGCACAGCAATTTTTTACGGAAGGGAAAAACAGAAAACAAGGAATGGCTGGATGCACCGATGGAGTGAATGAGTGTGTGCATCACTGAGACTGAAGTTAAGCTGGGACTGACATTTAGAGCCGCCTGGAGGGGGCAGAGAGGGTGGAAAGAGCACACCAGGGCAAAGCGCCCTGAGACATGTCTTAAGCATTGAGCAGGAACAAGACAGGCAGGAGAAGAAAAATGAGCGTCCAGCCAGATAGATGATGTTGGGTCAACTCAATCCTTCCCCGTCTGTCTGGAGTAACTCTGCAGGCACACATTACAGCATGCCGATCAGCCAAAGGGAGCAGTGATTGGCATCTCTGAGCCAGCACCTGTGAGCAGACTGACATTCAGGGAGACAGGTCCAAATGCCACCGGTCAAAGGCCAGAGAACCTTGCAGCCTGACTGGGGCCACTCAGACAGGTGCGATGACAGCCGATCCCATGCAATCACCCTGAGTAGTGGTTTGAATTTCACTGAGTGGCCAGTTCACTTAACCAGGAGGTATATCTGTGTTCCTCTAGATTTAAAAGGTGTGGAAACCCAGAGAAAGCAAACTAATGTTTAAAGACCACCTACTTTGTGCCAGGCTCTCTGCTAACAGCATAATGCTATCCCTTTGAAAAGTCGGTAAAATTCTAAGTAGGGGTTTTTTAGCCCTATTTTATAGATAGAGAACCTTGGGCTCTGATGAATTAAATGGTCTTTAAACATTCACACAGGCCATGAGATAGAACCAAGATCAAATCTTCATTTCCTGATCCACGGAAGTCTTGTTCTTTCTTCCACTCTGACATTGACAATGAGACATACAGAGATATATGCAAGGTAGGATATTTTTCAAGACAAACAGACAGAGTTGGAAGAATTTTAAGTGTTTCCTTGACTACTGTTGTTGCTATTCTGCAACTGAAAGAGAAAGAATCCATGGGGCAGATGGAAAAATAAGGTGGCATGCAGGGGTAGCCAGAAGAGATAGAAGAAGTGTCATTTCTGGTGTGGAGCTTGTACTTCATCCAGAATTCCATGATAGAGATGATGAGGTTGGTTATGAGATGGAGGCTGAGGCTTAAGTCATTGTTTCTGACAAAACTAGGGTCCCAGGGCAGACTCCAAAAGATCACCAGGAAGGTTAAAATAGGTTATATACAGAGAAAACTCTGATACCCTGTGCCAGCCTTGAAAGGGACTCAGTCACTGAATGATGACCACTGCTCTCATCCCTGTGGATACAAAAGCCCATGAGAGGAAGAACTACATTGCCAAGGTCACAAGACAAAGCTCTCTTTAGGGAGACATAGCTTCTGAGACCATGTTTATAGGATTCTGTGATTTAATTCATTTATTCAATAAACATCTATAGGAGTAGCTCCCTTGGAATGAACTATTGTAGGTTCTAGGAATAGATCAGTGAACAAAATGGATAATAAAATCTCTGATCTCCTTGGGCTCCTATTCTAGGGCCATGTATTCTGTTTACCTCCAGTATTACCATGTTTCTTCTCCAGGTTTGTATCAGAATAGTCCTGTTGCCTTCCTCCACAAAGAAGTGAGCAGTGAAGATGTAGGGTGGGGTTTTTACACAGAGGACACCTTAGATTTGAATCCTGGATTTGTCACAACCTAACTAAGACATCCTCAAAAATAACAAGTTGCAAGGGTATTTCTTATAATATTGGGGAAAATAATATTTTCCTTGAAGGGTGTTAGAAGAGTTCATTTACATATGCTAAGTCATTTAGGCTACTACATAAACACCGAAAATACAAATATCTCTTTAGTGCTGATCTCTCTCTCTCTCTCCCCAAGCCTGAGTTCTGTATCAGATAGTAAATCATGTATTCCAGCTTCCAGTCCTAACTCTGTTCCCATAGCAGCTTCTGCACACTGAGGGAATATGCATTGTTTGTAAATGCAACTTATGTTCTACAATCATAGAACAGAGGAAACCCCAAATCATTAATGGCAAGGGGAGGGAGAGGAAGGAAGGAGAGGCAGGGAGACCAAAATGAGGCATTTCTCTGGTACGAGGCAATGAGCCTCTTCACCAGGACTGTGATCCAGTAGACCAGGAGGAAATGTTTTCAAAAGATTTTTAGGAAGTCTTTATCTATAGGTCATGCCTACTGATGAGATGTTAGGGCTGAGAGAAAGGGCAGCATCTAGCATTGTCCAGTTTCTGATGTGAGCTACTGAATGGGGAATAGTGCTAAAGACTCAGTGGGAACAAGGAAGTGCTCTGGATATGTTAAAATTGACGTGCCCAGCGGGTATGCAGGAGGTGATGACAACTAGGGGTTAAAAAGAAGACCCTGGACTTTGTAGGAGAAGCCTGGGCAGGAGGTCAAGATATGGGGGTTCACTGGCATGTAGGTGGTACTTGTTATCAGGAGAGCAAATGAGATGATTGGGGGAGGGTTAGTAGAGTGTGAGAAGGGAGTTGAGTAAGAAGACCAGGGATAATGCTGTTTAAAATTGGCCAAGGATGTGAAGTCAATGAAGTGACTATGAAGAGGCACACAGAGCTGGAGACTGAGAAACTACAACTGAACTTGTCACCCACTGTGATGGGGGGTAAAGACACAGCAATCCTGCCAAGTTCAACCCCCCTGACCCCGCCACCACCAGCTCACAGCAGCAGGTAGGATGGGCTTGCCAATAGGTCCCTGGGACACACCTTTCTTCAAGGAGTGCAGAGGGAGGGCTCTGAGAATAACACAAACAGCCATAAGTTTGCCCAAAGAAATGTCACATTGAAAGAGCCCCAGCCCCAGAAAGGTATGGTGTTGGGGCAATGACTGAAATTGTAGCTGAGATGGGAAGCTCTAGAGATGAAGAACATTCATTTGGTTTCCTAGGACTTTCTGAATGATTCATTCTTCTTCTCCTCTGTGAGGTAGAAATGCAATAGAAAGAAATCTACGGTTATAAATTTTCTCGGTTCCTTCTTACCGAGTCAGGCAAGATTGATGGACTAAGCTGGTTGACACAGAAGCAATTGGGAATATCGTTATTTGCCTTGTATTTATCTGCATTTATGTTAATGGCTTTGTTCTTGATCAGAGCAGCCAGGAAACTAGGGGAAATGTTTATTGCACTCAAAGTTTTCCTGTGATGAATTATGTGGGAGTCGTAGAATAGCCAATGCACATACGTGTTGAAAATATTTCCCTCATTTTTTTTCTGCTTCTGATCCCAACAGCACAGACCTCCTGCATACTTTAGACCAAACCGACTCAATTTTTTATATTCTGCTTTGTCATCTGATTGATTTAATGCTTCTTGTGGTCAGATTTTGCAGAGAAAAGGATACCCATACAATTTCTCTCTCTGGCATGCTCTTGTTTGCTTGCTCCTTTTTCAAAGGGTAATTTCATAAAATCACAGGACCAGGAGGGACCTTTGTCCACATTTCTTCCCAACTCCTCACTGTACAGAAGCACTTGGGAAAAAAAGGATGAGAAGGAAAGAAGTCACTTTTTAAAAATCTTTTAGAGGTCAGGCTGTGTGCTCAGATGTTTTACTTGTATTAACCTATTTAATCTTTATGAAACTCTATTATCCCCATGTTGAAGATGAATAAATTGAAGCTTGGAGAAAGTCAGACACAGGCTGGCAAACCACTCTATGTAGTCCAAATCAAGCTCAGCTTCTGATTTTGTAAATAAAGTTTTCTTGGAACACAACCAAACTCACTCGTTTACGTATTGTTTATGGCTGCTTTCAAGTCACAATGGCAAATTTGAGTGGCCACAGCCAAAATCATGTGGCACACAAAGCCAAAAATGTTTACTATTTGGTCCTTTATAGAAGTAGTTTACTGACCCCTCTTTTAGGAAAATTGTCGTGGTCACAGACAGCATATCACCTGCGTGTTGTAAGACCTTGTTCTGTCTCACTCCAAACATCTGTTCTTTCCTACCACAGTACTGCTACACCCATTCACAGTGTCCACCACATACAGGAAGAATTCGCTCAGGTGGCCTCTCGTGCATTTTCATCTCAAAAATGCACCTTCTTGAAAACCTGTAAGGCTTTCTGCAGGCAATTATAGGCAGCAGCAAGGGTATGTGTGCTGTGAGGCATTTGAGGAACAGGTCTTCCCTTACCCTTCATGCCACAGTGGGTTCCATTTTCTGTTTTGCAAAAAGGAGACCAAAATGGAGATTAGTTTAAGTAGAACCTTTCTTCCTTTAGGGGACGGTTTCCTGGAAGAGGTAGATTTTGATGTAAGTTCTTCATGTCACAGGTCATGCAAATTTCTCTAAAAGATTCTGAGGGAAATGGGAAAGGGTGAAAAATGCTTTTGAAGACTGTAAACCATTCCAAATGGTGATGCTGAGGAAGGCGAGTGAAGGTGGTAATGCCAGAAGCAGCCATTTGCTGAACGTGTCATGGGATTTACATAACATTCAAGTTTACATAAAGTTTCTCCAATCAGCACCACCCTTGAAAAGGTAGGTAATTTTGTGACAGGAGGAAAGAGAGACCCAGAAATGTGAAGAGACTTACCCAAGATTCCACATTTAGTAAATAATGCAGATAGGACTTGAATCCCAGTATGCATGCAAAGCCCACTCTTTCCCCATGTGCCACTTCTTAAATGAAGCCAGCAGACTGAAGAGGTCACTTTAAGAACTGGCTCCAAGGATTGTATTCAAGCTTTCTCAGGGTTAGCTTTTCTTAGAAGTGAAGTAAATATGAGTTAACGGAAGCCAACCAAAGGCAGATATTTGTGGGCTTCATTGGAGTTGGAAGTCTGAAGATGGGAGAGAAGGGGGCATGGTCTATGAGGGTGTTGAGGGGAGAGCTGAAGGGAAACTAAAATAAAGAAACAAAACTTTCAGTGGAGGTTCCCTGGACTGGGAGACCTGTGGGTATCAGTCAGAGATAGGAGACCCACAAAAGACCAAATGTGCAAAACAAAATGTTAAAAGCAAATAAGAAGGTGGAAGAGATGCCCATCCATGGAGGCCAAGTCTATAAGGCATCTGAAGTGTGATGTCTGACCCTGGGAATCTGATCTGAGGTGAGATCTTTACACAATTAGAGGGTCTGTTTAATCAGAGAATTGCAGAACATCAGGTGCAGAGGGGATTTATGGGACATTTGGTCCGATCCTCATCTAATCCTGATGGTGCAGGACGGGTGAGCCCCAAAGTGGGGCTCAGCCTGTGAGTGTTCTTGGCTTCACCCAGGAAGGACTTCAAGGGTGAGCTGGTGGTAGGGTAAAAGAAAACATCTTTATTGAAGGGGCAGTGTTAGAACTTTGGCAGTGCTTTGCAGAACTTTGCAGAGCAGGGATACCCCCTAGGCCGTGCTCAGGGCACTTTTGCAGTCATGTTTATACCTATGCTTAACTGTATGTAGATTACAAGGTGGGGGTGGTTTATGCAGAAATTTCTAGGGAAGGGGTAGTAACTTTTGTGTTATTGGGTCATTGCCATGGAAAGGGGCAATAACTCCTGGGTGTTCACCATTGCCATGGCACACTGTCGGGCATGTCTTATAGAAAGCTGCTTTTGCCCCATCCCTGTTTTAGCTAGTCCTCAATTTGGTCTGGTGTCTGAGCCCACCTTCAGAGTTGAGTCCGACCTCCTCTACCTCACTGACACTCCATGATGGCCACCACTGAGGATGCACAGGCCCCACAGATGCCACTTGATCACCTTTAGAGACCAGGAATCGGCTGGGCACGGTGGCTCACACCTGTAATCCCAGCACTTTGGGAGGCCGAGGCAGGCGGATCACGAGGTCAAGAGATCGAGACCATCCTAGCTAACATGGTGAAACCCCGTCTCTACTAAAAATATAAAAAAAAAATTAGCCAGGTGTGGTGGTGGGTGCCTGTAGTCCCAGCTACTCGGGAGGCTGAGGCAGGAGAATGGCATGAACCCAGGAGGTGGAGCTTGCGGTGAGCCAGGATCGCGCCACTGCACTCCAGCCTGGGTGACAGAGGCGAGACTCTGTCTCAAAAAAATAATAAATAGAGAGCAGGAATCCAGTTCCTACAGCACCGGGCAGCTCCAACTCAAACAGGTGATTTCCCTGTGACTTATATCAATCAATTCCAATTCTGCCTGCAGGATGGTAGATAGGACAAACCTAACTACTGCTTTTCTACATACAATTTATTAAAATATGCAGACAGCTAGCATATACCCTCAGGACCATCCTTTCCAAGTTAAACACAAAAATCACCACTAACAGATGACTTCCGTGCATGATCAGCCCACTAGGAGCATTATATGCTATCTCATATCCTTAAGAGGTTTTCATTACTACCTGCACTTTATAGAAGAGAAAACTGAGGCTCAGAGAATGTAAGTAACTTCCCCATGCTTCACTTGTAAAAGAGATGGATTTCCAACACAGATCATTCTTTGAATCCCCTGTGGTTTCTGACACCAAGATTTTGAGCTCCCTCACCATTAGGGTAACTTTAGACTTAAAAAAAAAAAGCTGAAAAGAGTAAGTGGGCATGCTTTATTTTTTTCATTAAATTGACATGGAGGAGAAAAAGTAAATTATAAGTACAGTTGAGTCAGAGCTGTATAAGAAAAACAATTCACTAGTTGAAAAATGACTTCCTGTAAAATACCTTTTTAGGTTGTTTTTGATGTTTACAATAAAAATCAGTGTTATGTGTCCCTGTAAATCCAGAGGAGAAATTCACCCAGTTTCCCAGGAATCATCAATAAAATCATATTTCCTTATATTTATCAAACAATGGGAATATATATTTGATAATTAGGTAAACTTCCTCTGTCATTTTAAAATCAATAGCATCTTTAAAATGTACTTTCATAATAATCTCTTCTAATAAAAAGTGTCAGAAGAGGCAGTTTCATGGACTATAAATTTATAGACAATGAGGTTAAGCAAGGTGGATACGTTTTCAAAAATGGTTATGAGTTCTCAAGCCTCCAAGGTTGAAAGACAGAAATCAACTATAAAATTTTGGTTTTTAAATGGCACCATAAAGGCCAATGCCAGTTACAATTTCCAGCCTTTTTTCCTTCAATTCTTATACCCAACACCATTTCTAATTAGGAAACTGGCCTTCTGTGAGCACCTTAACGAAGCTGTAACTCCTGCAAATTCTTCTGTCTGGAACATCTTCCATGTGTTACAGATGAAACCATCCACAGCCATATCAGCTGAAAGTTTGACTTCCAAAGACCCAGGGCATCCACTGCCTGACAAGCACTTACTTTCTGAATATTTTAAAGACAAGGGGATTAAACACTTCAAAAATAACAGATTCTTCTTTGCATGAAAATATAATATGTTTCCATCTTGATGTAAAAGAATAGCTTGTTATCACGGTACATCTGAAGAAAAAAACAAATTACACATGATGCAAAAGTTTTCTTAGCTAATTAATTCAATTCTGAAGATAAAATTGAGACAGTACAGAATTACAAGCAGATTCCTAATAAGATGTGAAATCTAGCAATTTCAACTAAGGTACCAGAACATCTATTTCCAGGAGACGAAGTTTCTCGTGGCCGCTTAGGTTGGTCATTCCAGACCAAGATTTGCAAAAAGCACTAATATACTGATTAGTGATTTGTCCCATCACTCCTGCAACGTAGAAATTTCAGGATCAAAATTTAGACTAAATTGGTGGAAACTCTCATTACTTTGTACAAATTAAAATACCACCCAGGAGAATGGAATTCACCTATAATAGTGATATAAAGATGCATTATAAAACCTACATCAGTTACACAATAAATCAGTCTTTGAATTTTTAAATTTGTGGAAAGGACATGGGTTTGAAGTCATACATATCTGGATTTCGATAATTAATCTACCAGCTATTTGCTATGTGAGAGAACAAAACATCATTAAAAATCCCTAATACGTACTCAATTTTTTTATCTGTAAAGTGGAATTAAAAATATCTACCTCAGGGTTTTGTCACTGTTGTTTAAGAATTAGAACCAAAAGTGTATTGGTGTTTAAGAAAAAAACATATATTATAACCCTCAACTGCCTTTTATACATGTTTGCTAATAAAAAGAAGAATCCTTTTGTTTTGTCGTGAAACCAAGATCTTTTGAACATCGCAAAAATCTTGAGGAAGTCTTTGGACTGTGAGAAGACATCGGTAGAGGAGGTGATTAAGATTGTTTCATCCAGAATTCCAGCATCTAGAAAGATTCTAGATCAGGGGTTCCCAACTCCTGGGCCGCGGACCAGTCCATGGCCTGTTAGGTATCAGGCCCAACAGCAGGGGGTGAGCATAGGGCAAGCCAGCATTACTGCCTGAGCTCTGCTGCCTCTCACATCAGCAGCGGCATTAGATTCTCACAGGAGTGGGAACACTATTGTGAACTGAGTACGCAAGGGATCTAGGTTGTACACTCCTTATGAGAATCTGACTCATGTCTCATGATCTGAGGTGGAACAGTTTCATCCCAAAACCATCCCCCACACCCCGCCTGCCCATCCATGGAAAAACTGTCTTTCCACGAAACCTCTCCCTGATGCCAAAAAGGCTGGTGACCTCTGCTCTAGATGACACGGTAAATAAACTATCTCAGAGCCTGGTATACAGTAGATGCTCAAGAAACTCTTTCTTTCTTCTCTGGAAGCATTGTTTCTGTGCTAGAATATCTTTGTTTTTGAGAAGTACCACCAAGTTTTCTATTTTCTTTTTCAAGTTTTTTTAACTTTTATTTTAGGTTCAGGGATTCATGTATAAGTTTGTTATATAGGTAAATTACATGTCACAGGGGTTTGGTGTACAGATTATTTCATCACCCAGGTATTAAACATAGTACTCAGCTGCCACTCTCCCTCCACCCTCAAGTGGGTCCTGGTGTCTGTTGTTTCCTTCCTGGTGTCCATGTGTACTCAACATTTGGCTCCCACTTATAAGTGAGAACATGCAGTATTTAGTTTTCTATTCCTGAGTTAGTTCACTTAGGAAAATGGTCTCTAGCTCCATCCATGAAGCACCAAATCCCTCCAGCCCAGTAGCAAGGAGACAGAATTTTTACTCTGTCTCTGATGAGAAGAGTGTACAAAAGGGGCATAAAGTATAAACATACAGTCCACCGTACTCTGCCCTGTGGCCAGGAAAGACATCGCTGGTCTGTCACTGAGCTGCATGAGAGATCAAATAAATTTCTATTATTCACATGTACCAGTAAAAGGGAGACTTTCTGTTATCTTGACCCATGGTCATGATTCTGAGTGTCCCTACCAGTGAGAAAAGAAAAATGCTGAGGGTCCCTGAGCTGGGAGAGCCCTCCCGGGTTGCACCAGATAGACTTGTCCAGACCAAAGAAGTCAGAGCTTTAGCCTGGAGTCCGGAGAGGTAAGGATGACCTGAGCCAATGTCCCAGAAAAGAGCTGAAACAAGGCAAACAGACAGCAGCACCAAGTAATGGGCCTAGTCAAGAAGAAACAATGGAGTTTGGATAGAGAGCTGAAATGGGACACTGAGCCCAGATAATGCCTGGCAGGGGCAGTAGATCAGGCTGGAACTTTGGAATTTCCAACATTTCCTGTATCTTAAAGGACTTGGACCAAGAAGGGCAGTTAGGAGGAAGAGACCCAGAGCAGGGGATACCAGGGGAAGGTGGGAGTCTGGAAAACTGAGAAGAGGTCACAGGCAGGACCACCCATGAATGAGAGCTTGGTCCCAGGGGTGGGGACCCATGGAACTCAAAGAGCAGCTGTCATTGTCAAAACAATTTTTATCTCCAAGGAATACCCTAGACCCTATACTTTATCCCAGAGAATCCCAAGGACAAGGAAACATTTATTCCTAGTCAAGGCGATTGAGGCCACTTTGATCTTCCTGCTTGTGTGAATGAATCACGAATCCCTCCAAGTCCTGTTGAATGAATTCAACATGAGTAGAGATGCTTCCTATTCTTCTAAAATATACCACCAACATCTCTTTTCTTAAATGCTCCTGAGGTTCTCCCACTGGCCGTTGACTTCTCT
The DNA here is from genome assembly GCF_000001405.40 of Homo sapiens. Classification (NCBI taxonomy): domain Eukaryota; kingdom Metazoa; phylum Chordata; class Mammalia; order Primates; family Hominidae; genus Homo; species Homo sapiens. The sequence continues at coordinate 65,724,353 of NC_000016.10, forward strand.
GAACCTCAGTCTTCTCATCTATCAAATGGCGAGAATAATACTGAGATGGTGACAAGCCTTAAGAGGGAATTTCAATAAGAATCAGGGAAGCCATCCTAGGCTCTCTGGTTAAGCAGTGAGAATTCTGGAGTTAAATGTCTCAGTATCATGGCCCTTGTTTGATGTTCTCTGAAATTCAATTCTGAAAGAGCCATATCTAGAAAACAAAGCCACCCATAGATAACCTGAATGTTCTTTTGCTTTGAATCTTTTGTCTTCATCTCAAGATAGTACAGGAGTCCACCTCATGAAATCTTGCTGGGTATCAGCAGCATACTGCCTCACTTGGGAAAGACCCCAATGATACCAGCAATGTCAGGAGTTCAGGAAAGTCCAGATGCCTACAAAAAACTGTTCAGGGATTGCAGGTGATTGCTGTGTGTCCCTAGAAGGTATGATTATTTGGGGAAAGCTCAGGAAGTTATTTGAGTCTCCATCGTTTCCATTCTTTGCTTATCAAGACAGGTGTGGGTCTTTATGGTAATGGCAATAATAGCTACCATTTATTAAGTATTTATATTGGGGATGGTTAAGTATATGCATTGTCTCTTTATAACTACCCTATGAAATGAGTAATATCATTTATCTTCATTTTAACAGTAAGGCAACTGAGGTACAGCAGGATGAAATAACTTGCCCAAGTTACCCAAACATAAAGTTGGTAAAGCTAGTATTTCAACTCAGGCTGGTGATCCAGAACCCAACTTGTAAGCTTCTGCCTCTACTGCATTCTGAGTTGGGGGAAGTAGATGATCTTGGAAGAGATTTTTAAATCGGACAGGGAGGGTTGATTTCTATAAATATTGGTGGCAACCCTTCCCTTGATGCTGAGATTTACACACTATAATGCCAGGGGCTTGATGAATTAATAGGGTTGACTTATGTGAGTCAGACCTGTTCTTATCTTCTCTGTGTGACTCCTGCCCCAAAGGGGAAGTTAGAGAAGACAGAAAAGCAGAAGACAACAATACTGACCATCTGACCCACCCCCACCGAGCACAGCCAGGGTCAGGGTTGCCCAATTCCAGGTCTCTCACCAACTAACCTTCTAATTTTGTTGATTTCCAAATCCCAAAAGCCCCACCCATGCAGGATTGTGGGGAGAAGAGAAGCATGTCATCCCTGCTTTTTAATTCCTTTTTTCATCTTCTTATCACAAGTTCCTTGGTAATTTTCCAATTTCAAAGGAAATATTTGGAAGGATATCTGAGGACTGAATGAGTTCATGTTTTACACCAAATGCTTTCAACATGAGAATCCGCCCAGTCGTATCTAATAAAAATATCCTTCCTGAGCTGGTACCAGGAGGTTTCATTAAAATAGCAGTCGATAAGCAGAGCTGATTTGGCACCAAGGAAAAAAAATCACAGGCATATCATGCCTTTGGAATTCAAGAGTACAGCTGAATCAAGGCCCTTTTTAGTTGTCTTAGGACCATATTCTAAGTTTTGCCTTATCAGATACTGAGGAATACACTGTGGAAGGGAAGAAATAGCTTTTCTTCCCATCTCAGGTTCATGGCTGAAACCCGTATAACAAAAGACAGAGTAACAAGAGAAAAGCATGCAAATTTATTTAATGCAAGTTTTATGTGACACAAGAACCTTTGGAAATGAAGACCCAAAGAAAAGAGGAATTCTGTGTATTTCTACATGCTAATACACATGGGGTTGCGTCTCCTGTACCCAGTCAGTACTATGTCAAATTATACTGAACTGTCAAAGTGAGAGAAGTTTCAGAAATCTTTTCTCTATCCATCGTGCCAGAGGCAGAGAAACCTGCCATGGACCATTGCTGATGCCTTAGAAATCAGGTCCCCTCCTGCCTGTGAGTCAAAGCCTCTGTGAGCATTCTGAGAGATTTATTCCCAGGGTTTCATTCTCCTGAACACAATTGCCCAATTAACAAAAAAGCCAGAATAGGGGCCCACACAAATGGTTCCTAATATGTTCATTAATACATTTTCAAAGTTATTGCATGTCACAAAGTTACTGCATATCACCATGGGCTAGGTCCTCTGTGAGTGCTGGGGACTCCAAGTTGAACAGGGATCTCACCTACAAGGAGCTTACCATCAAACAAGGGAGGTAAGATGTACACAATGCAAGATAGGAAGTCATCATTGCTACAAGGGAATGAAAAGGAGGAAAGAATTATTCCCAGCTAGGAGGAGCATGGGATGCTTCCTGGAGGAGGCATCTGAACCAAGTTTTGATTGTAGGTGAGAAGTGGTGTCAAGGATGGGAGGGAGCATTCTCCAAGCATGCTTGGAGGAACCAAGCATAAGAGGATAGAAGACCAGGGCTGTGTGCAAACAAAGGGAATACTTAGACATTCGGGCTGCCCGGACTTAAAGGTGTATGGTTGGCTTTAATGGAAAAAAATGGTCAAAGTATAGTAATTGGCTTCTGTTTTCTGTATATAAGTTTGCTCATTAATCCAATGCACATACTGAGGTCCATTCCAGTACAGTTAATTTCTACTTCTAACTCCATTATTTTGATACAGCAGAAACCTTGGGGTTTTGATAAAGGTGAGAGGTATAGAGAGGCATGAGCTAAAACTCTGGAAAGCAAAACATCTTTAAAGCCCTCTAATTTTTGTCACTCTGGTCTAATTCGGATGCCTTTGCATATTATGATTCCCTGACTGACACACCTTTCTCCTTTATCTTTCTCTGGGGTTCTAAAAACTTAATTCAAATATCATCTCTTTTGTGAATGAAGGCTGCCCTCTTCCTGGCCAACTGGCAGTTTTGAGCTCCAGGTTCCCTCTTCTGCTTCCTCATCACACTCCACCCATCCATTCAGCCGTTGTCACACTCTGCTAAATTTATCTGTGTAAGTAACAACAGCAATGGTAAGGACAGACACTGTGTCCTGAGCACTCTGGATGTGCTGGGTTTTCCCTGCACCATCCGTCACTTCCTCAGAGGGACTGGAACTCATTATGGACAGGGACCTTATCCTATAATGAAGGGCACTGACCTCGAACCAGACTGCCTGGGTTGGGATCCTGGTTTTGCCACTTCTTTAGCTGTGTGAACTTGAGGAACTTACCAGCCTCTCTGTGCTTTGGTATTTCTCCTCTGAAATATGGGGATAGCAATAACACGCATATAATGAGTATTATTGAAATGGTCATGAATCATAAGAGAAAACAGAGGCCCCCGCGGTTTTAGTGGAGGGTGGTATATAATGTACCTAGTAGGCGTCCTATACAGAAATGTTTATTTTGTGATGTTTATTTTTAAACTCAGAGTTCTGTATGCTTAGGAACTGTGTTAACCCATTTATGCCTGCGGCTGCAATTTTTTGAATTTTTGCAATCAGACCTTGGCTATGACCTTGAGCAGTAAGAGTAAATAACTCCCTCATGCTTAGTGTTCCAACAATGGAACACTAGGCATAAATGGGTTTTAAGCACATGAGCAAATTTCCCAAGGTCCCTCCCAGCTCCAGTATTTCCCAGTCCCAGCTGCCATTCAGTGGCCTTGGGGTCATTTGGGAATGCCGTGTCATCCCAATGCATCAGGGTAGTGTCCCCCTAGGGGTAGAACCTCCTCGCCCGGGCAGGGCACCCAGTACACAGATGTTTCAGTTTACGCCTGAGACTTACAGCTGTGGAAATACCACCCTTCAAAACATTATGCCTTTTTTGTTTCTAATACATGAATTAGGTCTCAAAAAAAAAAAAGAAAAAGAAAAAGAAAAAGAAAAGAAAGAAAAGAAAAAAAAAAGAAAGAAAAGTAACAGATCTGTTTTGTGCCAGAGCTGTCTGGTCTCTCCAAACACTTAATCCAGCCGCTCTCATTGTCTGGGATCAAAGCGCCTTCCCCACACTGCAGCTTTGTTCTACTTGGAGCAGATGAACAGGCTGAAAGGAGAACTCCTTCAGGCTTCCTGCCCCTCCCTTCCCCTGAACTTTGAGAGAACAAAGAGATTTACAAGGCAAGGATCCCAACTACAAGGTGCTAATGATCAGAATCACATGCATCTGAGGTCTGGACAAGTGTTCCTAAGTCAGAAGGCTTCCAGGAGGGGGAGGCGCTTAAGGTAGGAGAATGGCAGCTGGGAACTAGGAACCAGGAATCAGGAGTTTGGAATTGCCTGGAGATGAGAACAAAACCTGGAATCAGGAGTGTTCAGGAATCACCTTGTAGAATACAAAGCACTCACAGGCATAGGTGCAACTCACCCAGGAAAAATACCCTCCCACCAACATGGCACATGTATACATATGTAACAAACCTGCACGTTGTGCACATGTACCCTAAAACTTAAAGTATAATAATAATAATAATAATAATAAAGAATACCCTCCCTCCGAAGGCCCCCTGCCCTCTGAGAATCTGGCAGGCTCCACTGGGTCCTCCCTGTTCCTCCCATGCCCAGCACCTGAAAGTAGCTATTTAGTCTCAGCCTGTGCTGAGAATGACAAAAGGGTTTCCTAAGAATGGCAGAGCACAAACTCTAGGAGACCTGTTTAGCGTAAATCAGCATCACCTCAAGGGTTTGTTAAAATAAGATTGCTAAGCCCCAGGCTCTGAGTTTCTGATTCAGTAGGTCTAGGTAGAGCTCCAGAATTTGCATTTCTAACAAACTCCCAGATGCTGCTGGTTCAGGGACAATCCTTTGAGAATCTGTATTCTGAACAATTAACTCTCCAGGTTCATACACAATAAACAATTTAGAGCCAATATAGTCTCCAATCTCAGCTTCCAGCTGCCTGTCCCAAGGATCTGGAGATCCCGTAAGCATTGGAGCAGAGTAAGCAGTCATAGCCCAAGTTAGATCTCGGTCCTTTCACGTGCATACCAGCATGGTTTGGTCGAGGTGGAAACATGCATGTCCCACTCTAAAACTCTTAATATAAACCACAGAGATGTACTGGATAATGCTGTGAAAAGCAGAGTAACCTGTCATAGCAGAGTGGGTGAGAGAGGAGATTTTTAAGGCAGACTCCCTGGATCCTGCAAGCCCACTTACTAACTGGGTGATCATGGACGAGATGCTTAGACTGTTAGCCTCTGTCTCCTTCCTTGAAAACTGTGGAGCAAAATGAACTTCCCATCACAGGGTTGTTAGAAAGATTAAACAATATAACCCAAATATAACCTCATATCAGGCTCTGTGGATAGCGATAGTTTTAAAAACCAATTTAAACTACATAACCTGCCTCCAATCAAACTCTCTGCCTTTTATGGGCTTAGCTTCTGCCTGCTACCTGTGGCTGTAGGTAGGATGATTTCAACATCAGTGAGTGAAATAAATGCCTTCTCACCTAAAGTCCCAAACAGCTGATAGATACCTCATTGAGCAGAGACATGGGCACCGAGATTTCACATATGCACCTCATTACCCACCCCCACCCCTGGCAGCAAGAACACATGGCATTCCTGTTTAACTTGGCCATGCCCAGGTTTCTGACATTTACATTCCAGCCCACACTGCCAGGGCAATGCCTGTTTCATAGCATTGCTGGGGAAAGGGTCTCGTTACATTTGCAGATATGAGCTGGAGCTTATGGAATTTCTGAGCGATTCTTTAAAGACAACCTCCAGGAAGAGAATGTTAGCTCAAGTTTTCACAACAAATAAATCCCCAAACATTTTGCCTTTGTCCATTTTGTGTTGCTATAACAGAATGCCTAAGATTGAGTAGTGGGTAAAGAAATGAAATTTATTTGGCTCACAGTTCTGGAGGCTGTAAAGTCCAAAGGCATGCACCAACATCTACTCAGCATCCAATGAAGGTCTTCTTGCTACATTGTCCCCCAGCACAAGGTGGAAGGGCAAGAGAGCATGCAGGCACATGCTTGATAACCTACAGTTAGGGAAGAAAGGGGGGTGAACTCACTCTTTTATCAGGAGCCTACTCCTGAAGTTATGGCATTAATCCATTCATAAGGGCTCTGGTCACCTCTAAAATGTGCTACCACTCAACACTGTTGCATTGGGGATTAAGTTTTCAACACATGAAACTTGGGAGACCCTTCTGAACCATTGCACATTTTCTACTTGAAACAAAAAGAGCAAAAAACATTATGGTGATTTTTTTTTTATCTTGTGAACCTTGATAGTAGATACATCAAGACTGACTCCCCCAGGACTCTGCTCAAGGAAGTGTTGAAAGGGAAGAATATCAGCTTCAGTTTAGCTGTAAGCACTCTCTGTCCATGGGCTAATTTTCTGAAGTTCTCTGTGAGCAAGTTAAGACTTTCTGTATGGTCTCAAAATAATCAAATCAATGACCAGATACCTTCGATGTCACACAGCTGAAGCAACTGTGAGGGGCAAGACAGTTCCTACAGGCTGCCAGCTGGGCTCACAGTCACTACATAATCATGGACATGGTACAAAAGGCAGACTGTGGTCCCCAACTGCTCAGAGAATCGAACAAGAGCTGTTCATGTCAGGACAGACTGGAGAGTTTAATAGATACACTATACCTTGTGAGCGAAAACTGTACCAAAAAAACAGTACACAGGGTAGTGGAACATGCCCATTAGTACAAATAGTTCTCAAATCACTTTCTCAAGTGCCAGTAAAATAAATGTTATTTTTGAGAATGTATGTAGTCAAGTTAAGCTGTCTACAACCAACCAAAGTGACTCTTCCTTGGTGAATCCAACCAAGTACTTTTTTGGGTGCTTAACTTTGGGGTTTGGGACAAGGCAGTGTTGCCCGTACCTGGAAATGGAAGCCTTATCTCTCTGGGCCAGATTCCCGCATTTCAGACTCACTGAGATAGTCAAGCAAAGTGCCAATCTATTCATTCCTCTCCAGAAATTCAGTTGTTACATAAGCCAGTGCTTTCTTCTTCATGGTCTGTCTGTTCTGTCCATGTTTCATATACACTAGGGAAAAGGTCTCCTGAGGAGTCTCAGATCAGAGCCTGGACCAAGCTGAGGATCCACAGTAGATGAAAGTCAACAAAGAGGCCCAATACACTTGTTGGCCAGAGCTCCTGAGCCTCCAGTTATAGTTGCTGAAATAGTGTGGTAGACTGAATAACAGTACCAAAGACATCCACATTCTTATCCCTGGAATCCATAAATGCCTTAAATGGCAAAGGGGGTTTTGCAGTGGTGATTATATTAAGGATCTCAAGAAGTATAGATTATTTTGAATTATCAAAGTGGGCTCTAAATGTAATCATAAGTGTTCTTATAAGAGAAAGGCAAAAAGAGATTTCACTGCACAGACAGGAGTTTGTGATGAGATGACTGCAGCAAGATGCTACAGGGCTAGCCTTGAAGATGCGGAAGGGGCTGGGAGCCCAAGATGGCAAGAAACGCAGCTCTAGAAGTTAGAAAAGGCAGAAGATCACATTCTCCCTTGGAGCCTTCAGAGGATGTGCAGTCTTGGACCTTGATTTTGGCCCAGTGAAACTGATTTTGGACTTCTAACTTCCAGAAGCATGAGAAAATAAATATGTTTTGTTTTCAAGTATCAAATTTGGAATAATTTGCTATAGCAGCCACAGGAAACTAATATAACTGAGCACTACCAAAATTCTGCTTCACTGAACTGCCCTTTTCTCTGTTCCCTATAGGCTCTTCCCATATTCTCCTTTTAACACCATCTTTCCCAGTGAGTCACCCACAACTCACTGGTCTTCCACACCTATTAATCATGTGTGGCAACCACCAAGTCACTTCAACAGGAGTTGAGACTGGGTGGAGGTGTGTTGGGTTTTCTGTGTGTGTCTAAGGTATGGCAGGCATCCAAGGTGTGTCCAAAGATGTGAGTTCTATGTCCTTGACTGTGACATTTAATCACTCAGGGCACAGGGTGTAAGATCTTAATGAGCTTTTTGACTCTACATTTCTATTTTAAACTGCAGGGATTTTTCACTTTTTCTAGAAAAGATGACAATAACTTTACATGATTTTGATAAGCATCAAATATATTTTTTTCCACATTCTCACAAATGCTTGCCTTTTTTTTTTTAAAACTTTTAGGTTCAGGGATACATGTGCAGGTTTGTTACACAGGTAAGCCTGTGTCTTGGGGGTTTATTGTACAGATTATTTCATCACCCAGATATTAAGCCTAGTACCCATTAGTTACTTTTCCTGATCCTCTCCCTCCTCCCACCCTCTACCTTCCAATCAGCCCCAGTATATATTGTTCCCCTCTATGGGTCCATGTGCTCTCATCATTTGTAATTTTATAGGTGAATTCTTTCTATAAACAACTAGTAATGGTTAACCTCTATGTAGTCCAATTTTCTATGTCACATGTAAGGGTGTGACACATATAAGGGTGACTCTATGACTGAGCACACAATAGCCCTATGCCATGGGGTACTCTTATTATGCCCATTGTACAGATGAGAAAACTGAGTTCTAGAAAGTTTGGGGAATGTGTGCAAGGTTACTTGGCTGATCAAGGTCACACAGGCAGTCAAGCTGGCACTGGAGCCTAAGCATTCTGACTCCAGGGGTCTGTCCACTTAACTGCCTCATACCACCACACTGAATGTGTATGAGAATGACTGTAACAGTCATTATAGGTACCTTGGATCCCGAGGTAGCTCTGACCCTTGCCCCTGCCTGGTGTGCCTTTACCGGGTCCTGTCATCCCCCAGGCTTCAGTGGCTGAGACCCGTGTCCTCCCAATTCAGGAGACATGAACAGGAGCCATAGCTCAGTGCTGATGCTAATCACCTCCAAGTCTATATGTTCCATAATGAGACCACCTAAGAAGCCATGGGCTGCCCACTGCTGTGAAAACATCCTTGTCCCACTTCCAAAGCTTGTGATTTGATGGAGATGAAGCTCAGATGGAACTCCAGGGCTGAGCCTGAGCCTTGTCAATTGGAACTGAAATTTTGGTTGAAGTGTGAGGCAGTCTGTTACCGACATTCAGGAGCAGTTTAAACACATTGAGTCCCTTGGAGACAGAAGCTCTCAATATGCCTCCCCATGTTTTATTCTAGCCTTCTCTGTACTGATCCATTTCATAAATATTCATTAAGCATCTACAACTCTCTTCTGGACACCAGGGCTGGAACAATGAAGGTAGCTCTACTCTATGCATAAAAGAAACATGCAACGTGGGGCACAGGCCATTCCAGTCATGAGGATCTGGTGTTGGGGCCCAGGGAGACAGTGGCTAAATTGACCCAGAAGAATTGAGGAGGGATTCAGAAAGACATTGATGTTTAGTGGAATTGTTAAGTCTTGCCAAACATGGAGGGAAGTATGCCCTATCAAAGAGAGGGAGCAGCTTACATACACACAAACTTGAATGTGTTAATGAAAAAACATCAGTGTGGCTAGAACGCTGGGGATATGGGAGGAGAGTCAGTGGAAGGTTGGGCTTATAGTCCTAAAGGGTAGAGATGCCCTTCCAGACCACAGCCTGATTGGGATTAAGATTATATACCAGGCTTACTGCAGTGAAATCTTACATGGACTGAGCCTTCAACCTTTCTTCCCTCTCTTGCTTCAAACTCTTGAACCTGAGCTCCAAAACGTGTCACTGCAATGCTCCCATGTTAATGAGCAAACATCAAGGCATCTCATTCATATGCAAATGCTCTGACAGACACTATATGAAATGAATTCAGATGGAATATGCCAGCATCCTTTTTTTTTTAATCCTTCCAGAGAGTTATGATGTTGCTACATAAGTTAATGAGAGGAATGGAAGAGCAAACACCGCTCTCGAAACCTGTCAACAGTATAACTATTTAGATGGGTATTAAAGCCAGACACTGTCATATAATTTGAGGGTATGGCTGAAGACATCTTAAGAATATTTTGTTTCTGACAATTGAATCATAATTTTAATAGACATCTCCAAAAAAGAGAAGCAATGGTTGCAGCCATATAATGTTTATTTAGGAGCTGGTGAAGATCTTTGATTCAAAGTGCTGGCTGAAATGACAGAACCCAGCTCCTGGGATGTCAGAGCTGCCAAACACTTAGAATTTTATTAGAACAGTAAGTGCCCAAGAAATATCAACACCATACTCGATAGGTAGGTACTATGTAAAGCGCTTTATGTATATTCTCCATTGAATCCTCACAGCAGTTTTAGGTGGCAACTTTTATTACTCTCTTTTATGGATGAGTAAACTGAGGCAGACAGAGGGCAAGCAATTTGCCCAAGGTCACACAGCTAATGAGTGAAGGGGTTGAGATTCCAACCTAACAATCTGGCTTGACTCTTACCTACTGTCCTCTACTCCCTGTGGGCAATGAATTCTAGTGCTCTAGTCTCAAAGGTAAGGAAATAGAGCCTAATTCAGGAAAAAGTGACCTGGCCAAGCCTCCTGCAGACACTTAGCAATAAAAATATTTGCCCTTAACCCCAAGTTAAAGTGAGACTTTTATCAAGTATTACAAAGAGACAGGGTGGATTTCTGAAAGAGGAAGAGTCTTGGAGAAGCTAAAAGCTGGATTAGAATCCCAGTTTTGGTATTTGTTAGGTCTGTTGACTACAGCAAGAGTCTAAAGTTCCTCTCCCACTGTTTGATCAAACATATCATAGGGAGACACTTACCTACCTTACAGGGTTGTCAATGGGAGGAGTTAGGCCCTAAATTAAAGTTCATGCAAAAGAATCTGACTTGTGTAATTGCCCCAAGTTCCACCCAACAGCCACACTGAGCTTCTGGGGAAGTGAGCTTTTAGGACAAAAGCTTTTAGGGCAAAAGTTGGGCAACCATCTCAGAAAATTGACACCACTAGATTGTCAAGGAAACAAATTCAGTGTCCATCCACATTAAATGAACACATGGTTTGTGGTGTCATTACCCGATGGAATAGCATACAGCAACGCAAATAAACAATCTGTAACTACTCCCAACATTGATGGTTCTTCAAACATAACAGCAAGTGAAAGAAGCCAGAAGAGAGGACATGGTGTATGATTCCATTTATATAAAATACAAAGGCAGGAAAAACTATCCCATAGAGGTTCCTCTGACAGGAGACCAGTGACAGGAAGGGGGACAGTGGAGAGGGAGGATTGTTTGCTGAAACTCTGGCAATGTTTTGCTTGTTATTGTGGGAGTTAATGACACAGATTTGTTAATTTTGCAAAAATACAACAAGCTAAAGTCTGACAACATATTCACCTTTCTGTATATTCCAATTTTTAAAAGTTTAAGAACTCCAAGCATTTAAAATTCCTTTCCCAAAGAACAAAGTCTCTGATCCCATGAAGAAGGTGCAAGGCATGTCCCACCTGAGGAGAGGAAGCCCACTATATTAATCTGATCTCATGCTGCTAATAAAGACATAACTGAGGCTGGATAATTTTATAAAGGAAAAGAGGTCTAATTTAGTCACAGTTCCACATGGCTGGGGAGGCCTCACACAAAGGAGGAGCAAAGTCACATCTTGCATGGTGGCAGGCAAGACAGAGCTTGTGCAGGGGAACTCCCCTTGATAAAACCATCAGATCTTGTGAGACTTATTCACTACCACAAGAACAGCATGGGAAAGACCCACCCACATGATTCAATTACCTCCCACTGGGTCCTTCCCAGGATATGGAATTGTGGGAGCTACAATTCAAGATGAGATTTGGGTGGAGACACAGCCAAACCATATCACCCACCCAGTGCAACTCCCTAGAAAGGACAAAATGCCTACCCATGCCCCTCCTAGGAGACAGTTTTGATGCTAGCATGATAAAAGGTAGGGAACTGGGTCTCAGTCATGAGAGTGCAGATGGGGAGAGCCCTAGGAGAAGAAATAAACCAAGAGACAAGTTGGAGACCAGAAGCCACCACCCCAATCATATCTATTCCTGCTGAAGGTGTGCCCATTATGCACACACACACATCCTCTACATGCTGATCACTGCAAGGCATAGCTGGGGCATCACTGTATTTCATCTTCACAACAACTTTCTAAGATGGGTTTTACTATCCCTCCTTACAAATGGTGGAATCAAGGTCTTGGGCAAATAAGTTACTTACCCAAATGTAACCAATAAGCAACAGATCTGGAATTTGAATCTCCCTGTTTAGTTGCAAGAATTATCCTTTGACCAAGACCCTGTTCCTCCTCTCCATGGAAAGATAACTTTATATACTTCCTAATCTGTGGCAAAAGTTGATTAATTATGATCACGTGTGGGTGAAAATGAACCAAAGCACTTTAACCTCAGGCTGATTGATATTTGCTGATTCAACCTCTTGTTAGATCCTAATGACATCAAGAAACCAAGAGAGAGATTCAATGGCAATACCCATTCAAAGCATCCCAACAGCAGTGTTTCTAAAGGCCTGGCCCTTGGTAGGTACTCAGTGAATTAATGAATGAAAGAAGTGATGACCAGCTTTGCCATGGTTGTTTAGCTGTCAAATTGCGTTTCATCCTCACAATAAACAGGGAAACAGTTTTTTATCCCCATTATACAGATAAGAAGGTGAGAACCCAAAGAGGTTGAAATGACTGGTCTAAGGATCCCCAGAAGGGAGTGGCAGCACCAGAAACAGCTAGGTCTATTTATATACACTAGGAAAATTTCCTCCAGGATGTTAACACCCGAGCCTGTTGTTTAGACAGTGAATCCTCAAAACCATGTTAAAGAGAAGCCTATCTTTACTTAATGAAGCCCAATGATCTTTAAAAATAGTGCTGCTATTTATTGTATTTCTGGAGCTCACAGAAGCTGAGTGGAATATTTTAATGCCATGTTCTGAGAAAGATGCAGGTTTTAACCAGAGATGCAATTGGCAAACCATAAGAATAGACTTGCCTGTGATATTTGGACAAATTCTCCTTTCTGCTTCCTTCTTTGAGGCTTCTCAACGGCATCTTCTCCTTGATTGAGACCAAAGACAGAATAATAGGAGGTCTGCTTCTCACTTCTGAGTCTATATATCATAGGTTAAATGATTTATCAATTGCCAACTCCAGGCCAATCTCCATCACCCTCAGGCACTCAATCAATTAATACTGACACTAAGTGGGGTGACTCTGCTGGGGCTTCCTCCTCTAAAGTTCTAAGACAGCAACAAATGGCTAGCACTTTATTAGGTGCCACGGAGAGAAAGAAGACAAGAGTACGCTCCCTCTTATGCTTTGTTCTTAGTGAAGAGATTATATTACAGGCCTAAAGCAGAAATAACCAGGGAGCAAATATAAGACAAAAAGAATCTCCATACAACCCAGTGGAGGCCACCTGAAACGGCAACTTCTTTCTGCATGACCCCCTCCAGTGTGAACCAATTCCTCCTGCTTCAAACACATTAGTCCACAGAAAGTAACAAGCCAGGAATTTGAATGCAATGTAGACAACAACTTTATTTTGCACGATTATTTTCCATTCTCATTAAACTGCTGATTAATGTGTCCCATTTTTTGTTTTCTTTTTATGATCTTTGCACAATAAAAAACAATGCCATCACTGACTTTTAATTTGTACACTACAGCACACATCCTGCTCCGTCAGTTCTGAAGATGGTCCCCACCGCTAGAGTCGACTTTCTTACAATGATACTGCCCTCCTCTGTCCCTTAGGCTCCCTCCCTCTATCTGGGGCCTGCTGTGCTTTCTCAAAGCTGTTTTATCAATATCTCTGCCAGCCTCCATGTTCAGGCACAAGAGCTGAGATCGCTGACAAGGCCAGCTTCACTTCTCCAAAGAATCCAGCCCCTGCCTGCCTCCCTGTGAGCAGAAACTGCACAGCTTAGGGCTCCTCCTTTGTTAATTAGGATCAAATCTCAATCCCTGATAACCCAAAGAAAGGAAAAGGCAGCCAGTCAGGCTAAGAGGCTGTAAAAGAACTTCCGCTAATCCTCCCAAAGCACTCAAGAGAAGGCTTTCTGCCAAGTCAGGGTCATTTAATGTATTCACCTTTGGAAAAGATATTAAAAATGATTAAGTTCATTAAAAAAGAAAGAAAAGAAACCTCCTCTAAAGCAATGACCTCTACTCAGCAGCTGTGATAAAACAAGTACCTTTTCTTAGGATCTGAAATGTGCTAAAAATTTCAACAAAACTATGTAGAAAGGCAAGGTACACCCACACCAGGGAGTGAATCTTTCTGGCTACCAAACCAGCAGGAGTCAGAAGCAAACATCACTCTAGGCTTGGTGCTACAGAGGGATCAGAAGGGGGTAATATAGTCTCTGTCCTCAAATATCTTACAGTCTGGAGAAAGAGATGACACATATACGGAAGATAAACTACCTGATTCGTACAGAGTGGACACAGTAAGAGATCCCTGGAGAGGGGACTTAACGTGCTGAACCTTAAATGAGGAGTTGAATTTGGAAGAGCAGGGAGGAAGATGAGACATTCCAGGCACAGAATATTTTGAGCCAGTGCAGGAAATTTACAATAAGGGAAATGCATGTCTGGCCCAGAGGGAAAGTGGGTAAGACAGATGGAGTCTTTAAGAGCTTAAACACCAACCAACGAGCTGTGAGGTTGCTGTAAACATCAGGGCAAGTGTATTTTTACATGAAAGAGGATGAACAAGATCACCTCTTGACTGGACTCTTTTCTATTTCTATCTCCAGAGCTCTGAATTCTCAAGTTTCTGTCATGTTCTTTCCTTCCATTATTTTTCCTCTCTGAATTACCTCAAGAAGTTTTCAACTGGGGACGGTACTCATCCACAGAGCATTTAAAAATGTCTGTGGACCATTTGGAGTCATAATTATGATTGAGGAGCAAAAGTGGCCTTTATTGGTGGAGGGTAAGGTTGCAAAATGCCCCTCATTGCTCAAGGAAGAGGTGTCCTGACTAAACTGGCAATATCGCTCCTTTGAGTTGCACCTGCTGTGATAACAATTATGACGATAACAAAACAACAATAATAAACTCACAGATCTAATTAGTTCTATGAGAGCTAAACTGGGTCCATCGAAGTCAAAATATTCTATTTACGCATGGTGACAGGCTCTGCAAATGTTCACAGGGGACATGGCTGCCTTTCATTTCTGAGTAGACCACAGCCACACCCAACTTGCTGCATCCTCTTCCTGCAACTTTCAACATAACTTACCTTCATGGATGAACTGTAAGAGCCCTTTCTAAAGATAGGAAAACAAAGCAAAGTGGATGGTGTCATCATGTCCTCTCCCAATAGTTCCAAAACTCACAGGGTCATCATGACCTTGTATTTCAAAGAAGGAATTGTGGTTTATTGTCATGGCACAACAAAGAATGAATGTTCTCCTTATAAGTCTGCTTTCCTACATCAACTATAGAAAATACTTAAAACGTGATATGGGCATATTGACCATTGCTCCTCTCATAACAGGAAATGGGTTCTGATTCAAGGCTTGCTGAACTTGCCAAAGGGAAGAGGAAGAGAAAGAGAAAATTTCTCATGTGGTGTGCTAGGCATCAATGTAGCAGGCTGAACAACCTGAAAGAGTTTTAAGGAAGTAGCCAAGATTAGCATGAGGATTATGCGGTCCTGAATGACCCAATCAGATTAGAATAGGACCTTGGCGGTGTGACTTAATTTTGTGGAAGGAAAACAAATTAGATTTAGCAATACTTTAGGGCCCTAACCAAGCATATTGGAACTCCAGGAAAGATCTCCATTCATCAATTCAACACATACCACTAGGCATCTACTATGAGCCAGGATGCCAGGGTTTTTCTACATGCTATAGTGACCTGGACAATGCTCCCTACATTCACAGCCCAAACTGAAGTATTAAGCTAAATCTAAAGCTGAAGTCCTTTTGGAGTCCCCTACAGATTGTGGCAGGGGCAAGAAAGGCTGATATCAAGGATACCAAATAAGGGGACAGCAAGAATCACTCCACAGCCATCCGGCCAGGCTTGCCTGAAACTCAGGGCTGGAGGATGTCGGTGGGAGTAGGATGACCAACCATCCTGATTTTCCAGAAACTGAGGGGTCTCTAGGCACAGGAACTTTGTCCAGGAAAATCCTAGATAAACTGGGATGAATTGGTTGCGGTAGGCAGGAGACACCATCTTTTGTAGCTGGGAAGGACTGAAATAGGCAGAATTTGAGAGGCTGAGCCCAGCCTGGACTTTTTGCTTCACTCCACCTCCGAGCTCCTTCCTGCTTCTTCCCAGTTTCACCATGTTTCTTTCCCTGACTCTGTTCCCCCATTTTAGGTCTTGAGGCACCACAGTGTGCTGTTAATTTGGTGTGTCCAGTTAAAACCCTTGAGTCTTATTTGACCAATACTACTAATCTACTCATACCACTACTACCCCTGACACCAAGATAACTACCATTCATTGAGCATCTAATACATGATGGGTGGGGGCTTTCCATAGTTTAGCTAATCGAATCCTCATAACTGTTCTGTAAGAGAAGGAGGATTCCTATGGTAGAGACTGGAAATTGAGACTCAGGGAAATTGACTAGCTGAGAGACTCACTTCTAAACCTATTGGCAAGTAGAATAACCCCTGTTATCATCAGACCTTGGAGTCCTATAGTCCTTCCCACCCAAGTCATCTTCCAACTCCAACCAAGAAAAGGGGATTTTCATAGCATCATCCAGATTTGTACACTTTTCTGATGACTCAGGATGCCCCTGGAAGCCAAGCCAGGGAAAGCCACCATATGGTGAAACATTCTCTTCTAGACTAGCAATATTTACTTGTTTATAACCTTCAGTATGAAAAACATCCTTGAGGCCTTTATAAGTGATACAATCCCTTACAGCAGGTTTCTAGAAATGCAACACTTTTCTAACACTTCAGACCTTTAGGAACAACATGGAGAATTCCTATTAACAACTACCCTTTTTACCAGGCATTAAATGTGACACAACACTTCCAGTGCAGGGATATCCTTCTTGAGAAGACCCTATAATGAACCTCTTCATTTATACTTTTATTTTGCCTTTAAAAAGGAGCCAAGAGGCATGGGGCAGAGTTGAGGCTGGACATTACAAACTCCGTGTCCTTCAGCTCAGTCTTTCCAACAAACCTTCGCAGATGAGGAAATGGAGGTGGAGAAAGGATAAGTTCCTTGAGCAAGGCCATAAGGCTAGTTAGTAAAGAACCTGGGATTTGAGTCCAGGTCTCTGGACCAAACCTGTTGCTCTGTCTCTCCTCTTGAACTATTCACTCCTGCTCATGGAGGGGGTGCAGAAGAAGGGACAAGAAATATTCGGGGCTCACGCCTGTAATCCCAGCACTTTGGGAGGCCGAGGCAGGCGGATCACTTGAGGTCAGGAGTTCGAGACCAGCCTGACCAACATGGTGAAACCCCGTTTCTACAAAAAAATACAAAAACTTAGCTGGGCATGGCAGTGTACGCCTGTAATCCCAGCTACTTGGGAGGCTGAGCCAGGAGAATCACTAGGACTTGGGAGGCAGAGGTTGCAGTGAGCCGAGATCGTGCCACTTCACTCCAGCCTGGGTGATAGAGTAAGACTCCATCTCAAGAAAAAAAAAAAAAAAAAAAAAGAAAGAAAAGAAAATATTCCAGTGTTTTCCAAAATGGCTAAGTTTAAACACCACCACAATTCTTTCCTCCTGAAAGGCTCCAATAATCCGTTTTCATATCACATGGGGGAAATGTGTATTTTGAAAAGTTTCAGAGGCTGAGGCGGGTGGATCACCTGAGATCAGGAGTTTAAGACCAGCCTAACATGGTGAAACCCCATCTCTACTAAAAATACAAAAATTAGCTGGGCGTGGTGGCAGGAGCCTCTAATCCCAGCTACTCGGGAGGCTGAGGCAGCAGAATCGCTCGGGAGAAGGTTGCAATGAGCCAAGATCGTGCCATTTCACTCCAGGCTGGGCAAAAGAGCAAAACTCCATCTCAAAAAAAAAAAAGTTTCAAAGATGATTCTAATAAGACACCTCACATTTGCAGTTTTAAATCTTTACAGACCCTCAAGCCTCCTAGGAGCAGGGATTCAGGACTGAAGCCCACAGATGAACATCTCAAAGAATGTGAACCTCCTGAGAAACATCCAGTATTCTGTGCACATACCATGTGCATTATTCCAGGAGCCAGAACAATTTCCATTAGATTCTCAAACCAGTCCCTACTCGAGGCAAGCTTAGAAACTACTCCTTTGGAGAAAATGAGTTTCTTCTAAAGCAGTGATATGAATTCTATCCTTTCCAGCCTCAACAGGCCCTGGACACATGTAATTGTAAGCCATTATTCAGGCCACTCACTTACCTTGCATTTAAGGGAATGATATTTCCCCAACTTAATGTAGTATTGCTATTGGCAAATAGATCACTCTCAGAGTTATCGAGCCCGCCAACTTTTATATCCACCAAGGTAAAAGCATTCATCAGATTTTGTCTTTTCATTCTCTTAACTGGCTTTAATAGATTTCTGTCTAGGATCAAAAGGTTGGCTGAACACTGTCCATGCATAAAGTTTTGTGGGTTAATGAAGATGATCATTAGCTGCTCATGCTCACTCTCAGCTTCATGATTTGTTAAGCAGAGACTCTGTTTCTATCACAGTTGCTCTGCTGGGATCAACCTGTGTGTGTGGAATGTTCAAACAGACGAAAGCCCCTTGGAGGAAACCTGACTGGTTTCTGAGTACCAGTCTTGGCACTCACCATCCAGATAGGGTGCTTTTCTCTCTGTTTGGCCCTGCTACACCATTGTGGTAGGAAATTTACTTTGTTTTAGAGACAAGGTCTTGCTTTATTGCCCAGGCTGGAGTGCAGTGCTGTGATCACAGTTCACTGCAGCCTCGAACTCTTGGGCTCAAGTGAACCTCCCACCTCACCCTCCCTAGTAGCTGTGACTACAGGTACATGCCACCACACCTGGCTAATTTTTTAAAATTATTATTCTTTTTAGAGACAGGTTCTGGTTATGTTGACCAGGCTAGTCTCAAACTCCTGACCTCAAGCAATCCTCCCACCTCAGCCTCCCAAAATGGTGGGATTACACAGGTGAGCCACCATGTGTGGCCTAGAATTTTTGTTTGAACATTTGTGAGCAATCCTATCCCTGTTTCAATCACTTTCTTACGTTCTCTGCTGGTGTGTGTCTTTTCCACCAATGGTTATAGCAATCTATCCACTGTATTTCTGTCTTTCTGTGCAGTGAACATTATTATGTTCATGGGTCCAAACACCTAGTAGGCATCTACCACGTGCCAGGTGGGCTGCTAGGCACTGAAGAATAAAAGTGAGATGGGACATATGATCTAGGTCCTCATGGAGCTCCTCACAGGCCTGTGGAAGAAAGACATGGATCAGCACAGTGAGATAAGAGCTTAGGTGGGGCTGGGTTGCCTGCAGGAGAAAACACTGGATCTGGAAGAGATGAATGGGTGAATAGGAAGTGCATGGAGAACAGGCTGATTCCAGGCAGAGGAAATAGTATGCACTGGGCAAGGGAGCAGCCAACAACAAGGCATGTCATGGACCAAGCCCATCACAATGGCTGAAATAGAGATTGTCTGTCAATCACGCAGACATCACTGTTCCTCTTTTAGAAATGCAAGCAGTTTCGAAAGGTTAGTTGGTTTGCTCAGAAGTGAAGCTTGTGTTATTGGCTAAATATTTATGTCCCTAACCTCCCAAATCCGTATGTTGAAGCCCTAGCCCCCAGTGTGATTGTATTGAGATAAGGTCATGAGGGTGGGACCCTCATAATGGGATTAGTGCCTTTATAAGAAAAGGAAGACAGATCAAATGCAGTGGCTCACACTTATAATTCCAGCGCTTTGGGAGGACAAGACAGGCAGATCACTTGAGGTCAGGAGTTCAAGACCAGTGTGGCCAACATGGCAAAACCTGGTCTGTACTAAAAATACAAAAAGTAGCTGGGCATGGTGGCATGCACTTGTAATCCCAGGTACTCCAGAGGCTGAGGCAGGAGAATCATTTGAACTTGGGAGGTGGAGGTTGCAGTGAGCCAAGGTCATGCCACTGCACTCCAGCCTAGGTGATAGGGCAAGACTGCATCTCAAAAATAAAAAAAGAAGAAGGCAGATCATGAGCATGCACCAAGGAAAGGCCCTGTGAGCACACAGCAAGGAGGAAACTGTCTACAGGCCAAGCAGCAGCCCTCACCAAGAACCCCATCTGCTGGCACCTTGATCTTGGACTTTTCAGCCTCTGGAACTGTAAGAAATACATGTTTGTTGCTTAAGCCACCCAGACTGTGGTGTTTTATTACAGCAGCCCAAGCTAAGACAGTTGCTATCTCAGGAAGCTTTGAGAACTAAGCCTGCAAACCCAAAGGACAGAGACCTCAGTGACCCGTGATATCTGGAGCTGAGCCATTTGGAGGTGCCCAAGGCAGGAGGTATGGGGAATAGGAAGAGGAAAGGGCCTTCCATTTGCTACCGGATGGCTACATGCCAGATACTCTCCCTGTGTTTTCTTATCTTAGAGATGAGGGCACTGAGGCTCAAGAGATTAAGAATTTTGCCCAAGACTGCACAGTAATTTATTGGTGGCCTCTGCAGTCCCTGTTCCCTGATGATTTTATGGGCTGTAACTCTTTGCTGGCCAAATCAAAATGCCACCCCTTTGGCTTATTGAGATTCCAGAAGGAGTGCAATTAGTTTGTTTTGTTTGTTTTTTGAAAAGCACTGTTTGATGCAAATATATAACCTGACAAAAATATTCACCAATGCGTTTTATGTGTCAAGATGCTATACTGGGCACTTCATACACAATATGTCTAATTATGGCAATAGCCCAGCCAGCTACCTGGTACTGCTCTCGTTTTACATTTAGACAGAATAGCTCAGGGAGGGTTCTGAACCTGCAAAGTCCCACAGTGTTAAAGCCTGGGTTGAAACCTTGAAGGGAAAGTTCATGGGAACAAGAACTTATTTTCTTCAAGTGACAAAAAACATGGAGGAAAAGTTTAAGCAGATAATCTAAGACCCAATATTCAAAAAAGCTTGACCAAACCAGAACAATAGGCTTAGAATAACCAGATGTTTCTAAGATTCTAGGGTTATTTTTAAAATAAAACATATGACAGTGAGACATGTAACATGGCAGCAGCTGATATAATAGAGACTTAGAAATGGCTGAAGGTACCAGGGGACCACAAGCTCAATGTAAACCGATAGCATGTTGTGGTTGCCAACATGAATTTAGGCTGCACTAATAGAATTAGAGTAGCACTGGGAAAGCCTGCTTGCTTTGGTGACTTTAATTATCCCATTTGCTGAAAATGAGTGGAGTGGAATAAGTGAGTGTTCTCAAGTTCCCATGATAAGAGAATACCCATCATTAGCTAGTTCCAGTTCTTACTCACTGGGAAGTGGAAGCAATGTCAGGCACATCCTGTTTGGAATGTAAAGAGAGCATAATGTCAAAGAAAACATGCACAACCCAAGGCTGATCAACAAAACTGGCTCTTGAAACTAGATCCTTGATCTAGATCCTAGATCACTACACTCCCGGCAAATGCAGGCCTGGGATCTTGGCAGAGACCAATTCAGGTAATAACCCAAGACAGACGTAGCCACTGCCTATTGCAGAAAGCTAAGAATGCTGTGCTGAGTACCCATGACCCACAGATCATCTCGGATTTGAACAAAAACAATGCTTTAAACATGTAAATAAAGTGGACTTTGGGTAGAAGCACAGGATGTAACATTTATTAACAAAGTGACCTTAATGCAATCAATATGGGAGACTTTGCAAATATCCAAGAAGGCTTTCTATCCTAAGAAAAACCATCATCAGGTGGAAAAGAACACCTTCAGACATCCCTGGGATGGATTCATACTCACATCTAAGTCATTCCCAAGAGCTTGGATTATCTTCTCCTACTCCTATGCCCCCATGGCAGTTGGTTTATTGTGGTTTCTCAAGTTCAGATGTAATTAACATTTGACTCTTTGCCTCTGCTGAAAGAGAACTTATAAGAAAGCCTATTGTCATATCCAGTGGACATGTGTTGGTGCACGCTTGCTGCAGGAGACTATGCTAGGCTTTGGGGCCACAAGGATCTGTGAGAACCCGGCCTATCCTCAAAGAGGCCACCATCTGAAGCCAAGTCGGACACACACCTACAAAACTTAATTTGTGTTATAGCACAGACCAAGGCCATGCAAAATGTGGGGTTTAAATGCTGGCTGTTGATTTTCTAGAGTGGTAATAGTTAATGGAGCTGAAATGACCCTTTCTTGCTTATTTACTAAATTTTCAACAAAATAAGTCAGCTTCTTTTAGAAAACCCAAGATGACCAACCAAAGAGAATATGATGTGAAGCTTAAACTAGATGATATCTTACACCCAGAGTGAATTTTTTTGTTTGTTTGTTTTTTTGAGATGGAGTCTTGCTCTGTCACCCAGGCTGGAGTGCAATGGCGTGATCTCGGCTCACTGCAAACTCCGCCTCCCGGATTCAAGCAATTCTCCTGCCTCACCCTCCTGAGTAGCTGGGATTACAGGTGCAAGCTACCACAACCACCTAATTTTTGTATTTTTAGTAGAGACGGGGTTTCACCACGTTGGTCAGGCTGGTCTCGAACTCCTGACCTTGTGATCCACCCGCTTCGGCCTCTCAGAGTGCTGGGATTACAGGTGTGAGCCACCACACCTGGCCAGAGAGAATTTCTTACAACTCTTCTGGCACTTTTACTAGGACTGCTAATAAACCTCACCCCTTCCAAAGCTTGGGGTGCGGATGGGGGTGATTGGAGGAAGAGGAGGAATTCCATAAGGATGCCCACTTAGGAGAATACCACCTCTCCAAGTGCCTGTATCATATGGAGGGTTCATGGGGTTTAATCACTCCGGTTGAAGACTATTCAGCTTTTTAAATTTTGGTTACCTCAGCATTTTTCAAGGATTTTTCACCTCCAATCAGCCTCTACTACACATCTTTTGCATTGTCGTTGTTGTTTCTGGGTTTGTTTTGTTGTTTTTGCTATTTTGTTCATAACACTACTAATCACCTCAAGAATCCCAATTTAGGAAAACTGCGTAAGACCAGTGCCAAGACTCACACACACATATTTACACATTCACTGGGCAAAAAGAAAAGAAGGCTGGTCTGTAAATAGCTGTTATCTTTATGTGATGTGTTTCTATTTTACTTTATTTTCATTGTAATACTTTTCTGTATTTCTAAAGCTTCCAAATTATTTTACTTTCATAATTCAGGAGAAATTATTTCTTGGTTTGAAACCAAATAGATGGCCATTTGTGGTATTCAGAGATGCTTTTTACTTACCACTGTGCCAGTTGTAGAAGTTGAAGTTATTTTTTACAGATATTTGGGGATTTTTTTTAATAGTTTGAAGTTGCTGAGACATGGAAATAGAGGATATTTAGATAGCCTTTTTTCTGTACCAGTGTTTCTTAAAGTACAATTCCTGGGCCAGCCGTATCACCTGGGGACTTACAAATACAAACATCTCCCCTCTACAAACAAACACACACACACACACACACACACACACACATACGGTTTAAGAACCATGTATTCTAGGCTTCAAGAGTCCTAAGCAGGTCCAGGCATGGTGGCTCACACCTTTAATTCCCAGCATTTTGGGAGGCTGGGCGGGCAGATTGCTTGAGGTCAGGAGTTCAAGACCAGCCTAGCCAACATGGTGAAACCCTGTCTCAAAAAAAAAAAAAAGGCTCCAAATTAGCTGCATGTGGTGGTGCATGCCTGTAATCTCAGCTACTCAGGAGACAGGTTGGACAATCGCTTGTACCTGGGAAGAAGTTGCAATGAGCAGAGATTGCGCCACTCCAACACTCCAGCCTGGGTGACAATGTGAGACTCTGTCTCAAAAAAAAAAAAAAAAAAAAGAGTCCTAGGCAGGCTCTCTATATTACCGGTGGCTTGATGATTCCAATTTTTCTCCTTTCCAACTGTCACCCACCGTCAGCTTGTTCTCCAGGTCAGCGGAGGTTGGGGAAGCAGCCATCGCCTAAGTAAATTCCTGCAGGTGTCTGTGAGGAGTAACAAGTTGCCTCATCTTAATCAGCCTTCAGCGGTTGTTGTTTTCATTAGTCAAACTGCATCAATCAGCAAGCGGGTGCTACAGCTGGAGAGCTCCAGGCACCAGGAGTAGTAATGAGGAACTTCCCTCGACTTTCCCTAAGCGGGGTCTCTCCCACCTCCCCTCACCCCTCCTCAGGGAGCCCAGCCATGCAGGCGCACTGTTCAGCATGCAGTGGACCCCTTTCCTCTCCAGCTTCACTGTGCCCTCTGCACAGTGCCAGTGCTCACCCACAGACAGGAGGGATGTTTCAGCTGGGATGCAACCCAGAGACCATCCCTGCCAAACCCCTCATTTAACAGGTGAGAATTCGAGGTCCAAAGAAGGCAGGAATAGGGCATGTCCAACCTTGGAACTCCAAATTTCTGCTTCTCAATTCAAATCCCTTTGTGTGACACCCTAATGCGAGCTGAATATTTTTATGAAATAAATACACATAGCAAAGAATCAGTCACCATCTTGTTATTGCAACAGATAGGATGTCAGTATCTATCATCTATCGGTCACCGTGTAAAGCTGTACCATTGAGGACAGATTGCAAATTACACAAAATAGCCTTGCATGATGCTCTTTTCCAGGGCTGTTTTAAGGATCCCAGTCTGCCCTTTACTCAAATCATAGCAATCAGTAACCATTTTGCCCCTGGTCTTTTCAGGCCCTGCCAACCCATGATTGAGGCAGTGGGAGGTGCTGGGAAAAGATGACTGGCTTCCAGCAGTCCCTGACCCGCTGCTCACTCTAAATGTGACCTTGAACATGTTACTTAAAAAATCTGGCTTCAGTCCTCCCATCTTTGAAACATAGGGGCTAGTTAATGAACTCCAAGGGCCTTCCCATGGACAATAAGGCACACTTCATTCTTATTTCCAATTTGTTGGCACTGGACAAACAAAAATGTCTCCTACAAGCCGCCGGAGACAGGCAGTGTCTGCCCTGCCTGGGCCTCCTTAGTCACCTGCACTCATCAGCATCCTCATTGCAAGGTTCAATACAGTTCACGGCATTTGGGAGTCAGAAGTCCTGACAACTGACGGCATGGCCAGAAAACCAGCCTTAGCAGGCTCATCTGGCATTCCAGTGACATTTGGCTCTGGCAGGAACTGTCCCGGACCCTCTGGATGGCTGTCTTGGATGTTATGAAATTAGAGATTAGAATACAGAACATTGACGCATCCCCTCTCCACCCTGTGAACATTGGAGACTCTTTGGCCTTTTGCAGCCCTGAGAAGAGCCAGTCCCCACTCAGGGCAGCTGGAGTCGAGTTGGTCTTAAATTACCTAAAGATTCTGAGTGCTGGGCCTGGGCTCCATTTGTTTACAAAATAGGCACTTTCAAAGGCCCTTTACTAGGGACTGGCAATTCCCCGGTCCCCTGCTATAGGCTGATGCATAATGCATAAGATGCTGGGAAATGTGTATTCATGAGGGCAGCCTGGCTTTTGTCAAAAAGAACTGTGAAATATTATGATGGAACAATTTTCATTTCTGCCACATTGTTTTTATAGTGCATTCATGACTGGGGATTGAGGGCTTTTTGAGTTTTGTCTGGTGCAGATGTTGCCGTGCTGAGAGCTGCTTCAGACGTCCGTATTTTCCAACTTTGTTGCTGACAATTACACGAAGGTGGGGAGGGGGCTCTCACAGGGAGACAAAGAATATACGTCCTCAAGTGATCTTGCCATAATTCATCCAGGAGAGCGGAACAAGAGAGGAGGGAAGGAAGAGAGGGAGGAAGGGGGAGAAGAGGAAGAAGTGAAGGAGGGAGGGAGAGAAAGAGGGAAGGAGAGGAGGGAAGGAGAGAAGAGAAGGAGAGAAAGAGGGAAGGAGAGGAGGGAAGGAGAGAAGAGAGGGAGAGAAGGAGGGAGGCAGAAGCTAAGGTTTGGTGAAACCTCTAAGTCCCCAGCTTAGGAAGCCCTTGTCTAGGGCTCCCATCCTTGTTTCTCAAGCACTGCTGCAAAGGAGCCATTATCTACCTCCATTTTACATATGAGGAAACAGGCCCAGCAAGGTTGAGTCATTTGTCTGAAATCACACAGCCAATGAATGATGAAGCCTGCTTTTGATCCTCATCTATATGACCAACTTTACATTCTTCTATGACCCTAGGCTGCCAGGAGAATGGAAGCCAAGGAGAAACACACTCTATCTGCAATCCATCTGAGAAATGGTTGTGAGACATAAGGGGGAAGAGATACAGAAGCTGCCACTGCATCTCAGAAAGAAAGATGCTGAGGAACCCACAGCAGAGACAAGCTGGGAGTCAGTGTCACTGAGCAGATGCCCATGCTAGGCACACTACCATAGCTTCTCCTGCCTGGGCTGTGGGGCATCCTGGCTGTCACGTATATGAAGGGACTTGCCTGAGCTTCCACAGCTCCTGCCTTTCTGCACTGCATTCTAGCTCGGGTTTCTGGATGTTAAATTCCAGCCTTGTCTCATGGTGCCACTGGGCTTCCTCCTCATCCCTGAGATTCTGGCCCCTCCTCAGCCAGGAGGCTATGCATTCTGGAAGGCACGAATTGTGGCTTAATTTTCCCTGGATGCCCAAGTTTCACATAGCTCCTGGCAAGCTCACAATGCAGGCTTCACACATAGGCAATAAGCGTATTCCTCCTAACAGAGAGGGCCAGGCTCTTTGCAAACCCCAAGGCATCAGGGCAGGAGAGTAATCCATTAGGGGGGACAGTTAGGGAAGCTGAGCAAAGAAAGGGAAATGATGCCCATGGCCTTGCCCCTGGGAAAATGTGTGGGTGGGCATAAGACTCCTAAGGCCAGTGCATGTTCATAGCATAGAATCCTAGAGAGAGAGCAAAGCAGAGAGCAGAACTAGGGCATAAGGAGAGACAGACACACACACAGGTGTGTCACCTTACACAGGTGAGGCCAAGGCAGAGCCTCCAAGCCCAAGCAGTGAGAAGAAGAGACAGGGCTTTGGCTTAAGGGCACTCAGGAAGATGAAGTCCCCAAGGCAGCCACTGAAGACCCACGCCTCCTGCTTAAGCTGGGAACAACCCAAGTGGGTTTGAAAGTCCTAAAAGGAAGCAGACACACATGGAGACAGGGATTTGTCTCCAGAGAGTTTGTCAGCCTAGGAGTTCATCTTCCAAATGCATTCAAGTCACTCTGCTTTTTCATGCGAAAGACTGTGGTTCTGAAAATCTGGGCCAGGCGTGATGGCTTACACCTGTAATGCCAGTACTTTGGGAGGCCAAGGCGAGTAGATCACCTGAGATCAGGAGTTTGAGACCAGCCTGGCCAACATGGTGAAACCCTGTCTCTATTAAAAATACAAAAAAATTTAGCCAGGCATGGCAGTTCATGCCTGTAATCCCAGCTACTTGGGAGGCTGAGGCAGGAGAATCGCTTGAACCCAGGAGGCAGAGGTTGCAGTGAGACAAGATCGCACCACTGCGCTCCAGCCTGGGTAACAGTGAGACACTGCCTAAAAAACAAAAGAAAGAAAATCTGTGCACAGAGGGATTAGCTGGGACTCCTAGTGGTCAGCACCAGAGTCAGGGTGGTGAATCTCACTGCAAACCCAGCCCCACAAAACTCTCTTCCAGTTTCTAAAGCAGACCAAGCTCTGTCTTGCCTGAGGCTCTTTGCATTGGATGTTCCCTGTGTCTGTCTTGTGCCCCATCTCCCTCCATAGTCATAGAGCTGGTAGTGTCTCACCCTTCAGATCTCAATTTATCTGGCTGGGTCTCCCATCCCATATTGCCCATCAGAGTGCCAGGTTTGGATTTGCTACTGCTGTTGCAGTTGTCATTGTCTTGCTGTTGCCATCTGTCTCCAGCTGTAATATAAAGTCCATGACAGCAGGAGTCAGGTGTGACTGGTTCATCCTTCCATTCCCAGCCTTAAGTATCATGCCTAGGACATAGACAGGGCTCAGTAAATGTTTGAGAATGAAGGAATGCGTTCACAGTGTGATATGCAAGAGCATTAATAAGGCGTACCTAAAGGGATTAAAATCCAACAATTTGTTCTCACACTGCATAGGGTGCTCCTGCCTGTTTGGATAAGCAAACCAGGCCACGGGCAAGGAACAAAGCATTGGAAACAGATCAAAGCTCCCAGCAAGCAAGTCCAAGAGGTCCCTGTCCCTTTTACCCCTTGGCAGGAAGGCAGCGTCTTGTATAAAATTAGAACAAATGTAGTTTCAAAACTCCACATTCCGAGATACAAATTTTGCAACCATTAACCTCAGTTCCTATAACTGTATAAAGGAGAGTGAAGCCACCTGCCATTAATATTGCCATGAGTATTGAGTTAGAGCAGAGTTTCAACTGGGGGTGATTTTGTTCCTCAGAGGACACTGGACAACATCTGAAGCCATTTTTAGTTGTCACAATTGGGGAGATCCTAGGGATGCTGTTAATCCCCCTGCAATACACAAGACAGCTGCCCTCCACAAAGAATGATACTCAGCCCAAAACGTCAACAGTTGTGAGGTCCAGAAATACTGAGTTAGAGAATTGCAGTTGTATAGGAAGCATCTCTAGCTCTCCCTTCTCCATGACCAGCTCCACCTGCAAGCAACTGTGAGAAGTCCAACAGCCTCTTCCGAATACTTACTGAATTATCCTCTGCTAGGACTCAGCCCCGCTATGTACCTCATCTGGCTTGCCTGTCTTCTAATTATTAAGGTCCTTTTTGCACATCGGCATCCGCCGAAATGCCTCCACCCATTCTCTCCACTGTTAGTGGTCTTCCTTCTGTTGCACTACATATCTACAGGAGCAAATGCCAGCACAAATGCAGCTGAGGCTTCCTCCTTCAACATTGCCCCTTCCTCCAGCCGTCCGATGCTTTGTCACAAAGCATCGCCTCCTAAAGAGACAACTTGATTGATGAAAAAGCAGAGAGCTTCCTAGGCGGACAAATCTAGAGTCCTAATTATGTAGTTTCTTCCTAATTGTCTGGCTTTTCTCATCTGGAAAATGGGCACAATCGAATCCATGTATCAGGATCTGCTTGGATATTTGAGGCACGGTATGTGATGTGTTGCATACAGTAGGCAATAAAATGCGACATTCACATGCAGAGCTTCTGATATATCAAATACAAAATCAAGCTCTCTTTGGCAGAGTAGGGTTTTTAATTCCTTGAGAGCCAAGCACACTGCCAGGTGGGATAGGAAGACATCTGACTTTAAGGTGTATATTTAGAAGAGAACATTATCTTCCAGAGATTTTTCTGTTTCATCACTCTACTTATGCAAAATTAAATGGGTTCTTTCAGTAGTAGTTTTACAGCATGAATTCCTCAGCTCTTCTGATCTGATTATACCTCCTAACTGTGGATCTACCACCTACCACTGTGATGCATGCCAGGCTACCTGGGGAAACTGCCATTGCCTGGTCTGCACTCTATCTATAGCTGCTTGAGAATGGTGTGCATATGAGGGCAGAGAGGATCTATAATAATAACCAACTTAAGAAAACAAGCAGGCTCGCTCTTTATACTCCCAGTTGTAATTTTGTGAGCACCTAGTGAATCTAGAAGCAGAGCGATAAAGGATCATGGTGACTTAGAGGAGTGGGCAAGAAAGGATTCACCTCCAGGCTATTTTGGCTAGTCCTGCAGAGACAGGGGCATAGATTCAGGCCACCTGTGGGCACTCATGGGTTTCTTTGCATGTAGTGTTAGTCTTGATGGAGAGTGGATGTATTAGTCTGTTCTCACGTTGCGTTGCTTATAAAGACATACCCAAGACTGGGTCATGTATAAAGGAGAGAGATTTAATGGACTCACAGTTCAGCATGGCTGGGGAGGCCTCACAATCATGGCAGAAGGCAAAGGAGAAGCAAAGGCGGATCTTACACGGCAGCAGACAAGAGCGTGAGAGGTAGCAGGTGGAACCCCAGAGTCTTATAAAACCACCAGATCTCGTGAGAACTCACTATCATGAGAACAGTATGGGGGAAACTGCCCCCATGATTTAATTATCTCCACCTGGTCCCACCCTTGACACATGGGGATTATTACAGTTCAAGGTGAGATTTGGGTGGGGATACATAGCCAAACCATATCAGTGGGGGAGTGCCAAATTCATGTTAAAACCCTAATTCCTGGGCCAGGCGCGGTGGCTCACGCCTGTAATCCCAACACTTTGGGAAGCCGAAGTGAATGAATCACGAGGTCAGGAGTTCGAGACCAGCCTGGCCGACATGGTGAAACTCCATCTCTACTAAAAATATAAAAATTAGCCGGGCATGGTGGTGGGCACTTGTAATCCCAGCTACTCGGGAGGCTGAAGCAGGAGAATCACTTGAACCCAGGAGGCGGAGGTTGCAGTGAGCCGAGATCGCGATGCTGCACTCCAGCCCAGGCGACAGTGTGAGACTCCATCTCAAAAAAAACAAAAACAAAAACAGAAAACAACAACAGAAACCCTAATTCCCAACATGATAATACTAGGAGGTGGGACCTTTGGGTAGTGTCATGTCATAAGGGTGGAGCCCTCATGATGGGATTAGTGTCCTTATAAAAAGAAACTCGCTTCTCTCTTTTCTCTCTCTGCCATGTGAGGACTCAGCAAGAAAGGTCCTTCTGCAAACCAAGAAGCGGGCATTTGCCAGGAACTGAGCCAGCCAGCACCTTGATCTTGGAGTTCCCACCCTTTAGAACTGTGATAAAGGAATGTTTGTTATTTAAGCCACCCAAGTCTATGGTGCTTTTGTTATGGCAGCCTGAACTGATTAAGATGGAGAATATGATAACCTTTCGCTGAAGAAACTCAACTACTAGCACATGTTTCCAAACTGATTACATATGTCCTATTCTATTACATCATTAGGTTTCGGTCTAAAATCCCCCCTACCCCCAAGGGAACTCAGGAGAGGAGACCCTCAGAACACCCATGTCCTTCCATCTCATCTCCATTAAGCCTTACTCCAAAACACAAATGACCAAACAGAAGACGCTGCCAGATCTTTATCCGCTTACTCTAAAGAAAGTCTTGCTAATGTGTGCAGCTGTCCAAAGATAGAGGACTGCCTCAGGAGGCAGCCAGGTTTCCATCTCTGGAAGCAGTCAAGTAGAGGTGAGCTAGCAATTTAGTAGAAAAAGCAGACGGCTGTGGCTGAGATTTATCCACAGACACAAGGAACGGCGACTTGAGGAGGCCAGCTGACAGGAGCAGCTGAAAAATATTTTATTTCAGTGATTCAGAGTTTAACTACTTCTGAGAGGCTAGTCACGGCAAAGACTAATCAGACTTAATACGTAAAACATAACCCAGAAACATGCAAACAATAACAGACCATTATCCCAAAGCTGATTGATAGCAGGGACATCACAAGAGGCCGGGAGCGCCAGAGACCGGGCTTGACTTGGCTGGCTGCTCGCGTCCAGCGAACGGAAGAATTCTAAAAACAGTGAGATAGACCGGACACAGTGGCTTACGCCTGTAATCCCAGAGCTTTGGGAGGCCAAGGTGGGTGGATCACGAGGTCAGGGGTTCAAGACCAGCCTGGCCAACGTGGTGAAACCCTGTCTCTACTAAAAATACAAAAAAAATAGCCAGGCGTGGTGGCGGGCACCTGTAATCCCAGCTACTCAGGAGGCCGAGGCAGGAGGCAGAGGTTGCACTGAGCTGAGACTATGCCACTGCACTCCAGCCTGGGTGACAGAGCGAAGAGTCCATCTCAAAAAAAAAAAAGTGAGATAAACCCTTAACCACTGAAGGGAAGTTCTTACTTCTAGAAGCCGCTGCTGTCCTTCCTGACATCAGTTCCCACCGTTTCACACTGTCACAGTGCCCTCCTTTGAAACACTTACTATGATTATCATCTTATAATTTTCCCTGCGGTCCTTCAGTGTTTGTCTCAGACATAGGACTGTAAACACTGTGCAGGCAGGTGCTGTATCCTCTTTGCTATAGCTGTCATTTTTGTGTTTTCTTACCATGGCCTCCCAGTTCATGTCTTTATGTTTGTCAAATGACCAAACAAATGAATAAGCCCAAACTCCACGGTGTTTGAAATAAACTGTGCGGCAAACCTCCCCCGCCAGTCACTACGGATATATCATCATGAAAGTGTCCTCAGGCTTGAAAATCAAACATATGCCTCTCTTAGAGACCATTATCTCTTCCTGAAATTTAGCAGGTTAATGAAGGTGGCCAGTATTTATTCCATTTCTTGGGGCTATGGAGTCTTTTCTTATCTGCAAATGACTTAAAAATATCACTCAGACATCCTGAAACATTTTAGAGGTTTTATTAGGTTTCTTATTAAAGAGACAGTGAGCAAAACTGGTTTTGCCTGTATGGTTTCCAGCAACCACATGTGTATAAGCAAAGTCTGAAACTGGAACTGTTGGGTGAATTTTAGAAGAAATGTGACTACGGTAGGTTAAATATCACTTTGCACTGGTGGCACAGTGAGTGGCAATTATTAATCCTTAATTATGTGGAAATCTAAAGATCAACACCCTTTAATCAACTGTCTAGTGGTTTCTAATAAGTATGTGGACTACAGTTATTGTATTTGTTGGAGAAAAAAATCAGTAAATGGTGCTTTGCACTCTGCTGCCACTTATGGCCAAGTCCATTTTCTCCAAACTTTTTGAGGATAAAAAAGTTTACAAAACAGTAATTTTTTAAAATAGGGTTTTGTTTTTTTTTTCTCCTTGGCCTAGGTTAAATTTGCCTTCTCTTTACAGTGAGCTTTAGCTAATAGCATCATTAACTTGGTTACACACCCATTTGGCAGGGGAACAGGTGGGCAGCACAGAGATAATGGTGCTAAAATGAAGAGAGTAGCAAAAAAGGAATTGTTCAAAGGTCCCCCAATGACTAAACAATTACTCTCTTTGTAGTTTATATTTTAGATCAAGTAGCATTTACCCTAGACTGCGTATTTTGTCTCGGAATCTCATCTGCCTCTTCTGGCTGTGTGTCAATCCCCTTCTCCGCGATGAAATTTCATCTCTCCTGGAACTCTTTGGTGAGCAGAAGCTTCTGGTCTCTGGCCAAATGAACAAGGCTTGGACTCTGTGCTCCTCATCCTGCACCCAGCCCTGATTTCCAAACACAATATCCTTTTCCTGATAGCCTGTTGCACCCCATTGTGTCTCTCTCCACACTCATTCAGAGGTTTTAACTCCTTCTCCTAATACCCAAGGGTGCAGATGAGATGGCCTCCCACTTAAAGTGGATTTCCAATTTTCAGAGGACATTATTCAGTTCCACATGCACATATCCTCACAACTTTTGCATGTCTATTATGATAAAGTAACAGAGCACTCCTGTGAAGCCAAGTCCAGGCCCTCTGCCCCTGTATGCTGGAGGGTTAGAAATTGATTAAATTCTAGTATCTAATTGGGAGTTTGCAGGTTCGGAGACCACACATGGTCCATACATCACTGAGATGATCCAGTAACTATGATGGATATATATGTTTACATGCATGTGATAATACAGGCACCCAAGGCCTGAAAAAATATGAGTTTTTGTTGAGACAAAAGGAGCAAATCACAGATTGGGGGCTGCTCCTGAAAATACAAGGTGATAAAAGTGTCATAAATGTGGACCAATGTCAAGGTTCCGTGCAACTAGAAATGGTCCCCAAAATCCGGCCAAAGAAGAATATCAAATTGTGAGAAGGCCTATTCCTGTGATCTCCCTAGGAAAAAGAGTTTTGACTCTAATACTCAGCTTGCTGTGCCTCATCGAGGTCTCTATCTACACTAAGAGGGGATCTTTATCTCCAGCTCCTTTCTCAAGATGGTGAGTGCATTTATTGAGTATGCTGAAGTTCATGCTCTGGAAGGAGAATTTGATTCATGTTACTCCACAAACTGAAATAAATAAGCAAAATAGAGAATAGCAGTGGGCTTTGAGTCTAAGCTTCACTGCTAACAGTGAAGACAGGAACCACCAACTTCAGCTTCACCTGGGATTCTGCAGCAGTGCACACTCTTGGGATCCACCCCAGACTTACTGAATCAGAATCTGCATTTTTATGAAGACCTCCATTCAGAAAGCATTGCTGATCATCTGTGACCCAGGTAGGGGAGGCTACAAGTCACTTCTAGCTCACATTTCAGCCCCTAGAATGTGGCTCTATGAGGTAATGGCTTTTCTTTACTCTAGTAACCCCTCAATAAATATGTTTGGAGTGAATAAATGGGTATTCCTGAGACTCTTGTCCCCCAAGGTCTATATGCACTGGACTGTCCACTCCTGGCTTCAGGAACTATGTTTCTAAGTCTTAAAGTTTGCTTACAAGTTGTCAGCTTCTTCTATGTCTAGCCTCTAAGTTCTAATGTTTTTAGGCTAACCTCAAGATTAGCAGCATTTTATAGCTCGGATGTGAACTCTAGGACAAACCTTTGCTTTTGCCTTTGCCCTGTGCATTTTTAAACCGCTGTTAATAGCAAGAATCATTTCCAGTTTGCTATCAGAAGCCCAAAATGCAGAGCCAGGACAGATACTGTTTAATATTTTTTTAATTTCCCCCTGACAGAGCCACGATCCAGCCTGTGTAACACTATTGAACTTCCCCCTGACAGAGCCGTGACCCAGCCTGTGTAACACTGTGTACACAATAGAGCCATGACCCAGCCGATGTAACAGTATTAAACATCCCCCAGCCAGCATTAACTCCAATCTTGACTGTGACTGCTTTGTCCCAAATATCAGTGAAAACAGAATATAAAATAGACTCTTTTGCTTCCTCAGTAACACTTTTCAAAGTAGAGTGGATGTTTCTCTTTTTAGTCTGACTTAGCTTTACTGCAAGCAATCATAAAACAAAACAAAAACAATATTGAAAGGGAGGCTGGGGATGTGAAAAGTGAAAAATATTCAGGGCAACTTTAATGGTCTTTTCACCATCTTTATTTAATGTTCAGGGTGCATGGGAATCTCGGAAACAGGACAGTCATTACTTTTAGCTCAACCTTCTCTACTGGGTGAGAGGCCTCTTTACCTAACCTCCTGTCCAGATCTGGAGTTCAGCCTCCCCCAGTATTGGCCAGCCCTGCCCTCCTGAAGGCCCATTTCCTGTGTCCCTGACACCCCTCACACAGGCTTGTCACCTTCACATACTGTCTCCTCCCAAGTACAAGCACTCATTTACCATCACCCTCACTTCTTCACATTCCATCAAAATGTGTCTTTACTTTCCCATTTGTCCCCAGCTAGGAGACACAGTAACCCAATAGAAAAAGTGTGGACTTTGGAGTATGATAGCAGTGATTTAAAATCCCAGCCCTAACTCTTGATTGTCTAAAGACTTTCAGTAATTCATTGAGCATCTTTATAACTCCACTTCATCTTCTGTAGAATGGAAACAATAGGATAGCGAAGAACCACATAGTGTTGTTTTTCAGGTTTAGAAAGTTAGCTCATATAAGATACATAGGACAGGATGGGTGTGTTGGTTCACACCTGTAATCCCAGCACCTTGGGAGGCCAAGGCAGGAGGATCACCTGAGGTCAGGAGTTGGGGACCAGCCCGGCCAACATGGTGAAACCTCCTCTCTACTAAAAGTACAAAAATTAGCGGGACATGGTGGCGGGTGTCTGCAGTCCCAGCTACTTGGGAGGCTGAGGCACAAGAATCGCTTGAAGCTGAGAGATAGAGGTTGCAGTGAACCAAGATCGTGCCACTGCACTGCAGCCTGGAAGACAGAGAGGGACTCTGTCTCAAAAAAAAAAAAAGATACATAGATACATAGGAAAATGGTTAGTCCTCGATAACTTCTCCCACTTTATTTACCATGCCCTCATAAACCAAAAATAAAATTCTAAGGCCCCCCAACCATCGGAATGGACTGGACCCCTCCTGTTGGCCAAAGGCATTCTGGAGTTAACCTGAAAATCCAGTTTAGATCGTGATGGAAGAGGGGGTTGGACATGACTCCTTATACCCCTCCAGCATTAATGTCAACACAGATGTTAAGTCCTATAAGAAACAGACCTTAAGTCCTATAAGAAATATTTACGATCTGTTCTCTCTGAAGCCTGCTACCTGGAGGCTTCGTCTGCATGATAAAACCTTGGCCTCCACAACCCCTTATGGAAACCTAGACATTCCTTTCTACTAATAAGAACTCTTTCAATCAATTGCCAATCCGAAAATTTTTAAATCCACCTATGTTCTGAAAGTCTCCCCTCCATCAAACCAATGTAAATCTTACATGTAATGATTGATGTCTCATGTCTCCCTGAAATGTACAAAAGTGAGCTGTACCCTGACCACCTTGGGCACATGTTGTCAGAACCTCCCTAGGCTATGTCAGGGGCATGTCCTTAACCTTGGAAAAATAAACTTTCTAAATTGACTGGGGCCTATTTCAGTTATTTGGGGGTTCCTGAGGAGTCTACAAATCAGGCCAGCCTAGAACGGGGATGAGAGGATTCCAGGAGCCCACATCACCTTATATGTGAGATTAGACCCAATCTTTTATCTCTCCGACTGTCACAGAAAACGCACAAAAACAAGACATCTTGAAAACCAGTAAGTGGAATTTGAAAGCCTAGAATAAAAAATTTATTATAGAGAAAAAAAGACACTGATTTTCGAGACACTGGCAATTGAACTCCGCCTCTGACAAGCTGTGTGACCTCAGGCAACTCACTTGAGCTTCTGAGCTCCCATTTCCTCATCCGTAGAATGGGGATAGTCATGGCTCCATGCAGAGCAGGCAGTGGGATTAAATAAATGTGTTTAAACATCGAAAACAACAGATCCACTCCTAGAGATAAATAAGAGTCTGTCATCTCTGTTGTCTTTTCAAAAAGTGTCAGGGACTGTCAACACAGAGGAGGCGACATCACAGCCTGCTCCTCAAGCAGAGACAGTGACTCCTGAGCCATCAGCACAGGAGTGATCACTTGAGCTATTCATTATAAATATTCCACAACAATGTCATTTTAATGCTCCCAAAAGAGCACCTGTTATTTATGCCACAAATTGGACGCTCTGTGGCATAAATCATCAAGATGCACTTCCCATGTGTCTTAAATGAAGGAATGCCATTCCAACCAATAAGGTAAATATTAAGCAAAACAAAAACAGACAAAGCACAGAAACACCCCATGCTGTGACTTTAATAGTTGATCAATTGCAGATCAAGAGCTTTAATTTCTCCTCAGCTTTGGGTTGACAGCAGGCGCCAAGTTCTCACTCTTTTAGAGATGATTACTTTGCTGAAAAACAAAGGCTCCATTCAACAGACCTTGGCCAACAAATACATTCAAACCTGGGACTCTCCCAGAGACATATCCAGATAATGAACAGCACCATAACATGGCTAAATGACCCCCACACAAGAGGGCTGTACTGTGACCATCATCCCACCACACTGCTGTGTTGTGTGACTGACTCTGTTTCTCTGACTAGATCATTAGCTATTTGAGGGTACAGGACTTGTCTGTTCCAGAATCCAGGCCCAGCCTAGGTATCAGGTAAAAGTTTGCTTAATGAATTTCCTAGGACAAAAAAGTGGTGGTCAAACCAATGTCTGCCTCTCCTGCAGGCCTGGGATCCACCATTAACATTCCTTTGCTACCATCATGTGAAGGTTACAAATCTCTAATTCTACCAGGCTCTGCTAATTACCACTTTCTCTTTGAGTCCTCCCCTAATATTTTGCAGAATAACTTGCTGAAGCAGCATCTCTGGGGTAAATACCTGGGATTCATCATCTCGCACCACAAAAATTAAGGACACAGACACATGTGGGTGGGTTAAGGAGCTGAAAGTTTAATAGGCAGAAGAAAGGAGATGGAAGAGCAGCTCCTTGCCAGAGAGAGGCATCTGAAAAGGGGAAAGGCAACTGATGGCTGCAGATTTTATAAGAAGGCTTGGGAAGGCAGTGTCTGATTTACCTAGGGCTCAGAGATTGGTTTGACCAGCTGTGACATTTACATAGCATGTGGAGAAGGCTGGTCACCCCACCCTAATCTTATTATGCAAAAGAGCTTTCCACTTGGCCAGCGCCATCTTATTGGCTCCTTACTGTACATGTGGCTAGCAAAAAGAGAAGATGGGCACGACTGCTGGCATTCACCTGTGCAACCATCCGGCTCACCTGTTCATGTCTGCAGCCCAATTTTATGGGCTGCTCTTTGTTAGAAAAGAAAATGATTTGGGGGCTGGTTTTCATTGAAAGGAAAACCTTACTAAGGACTTCTATTTCCTCACTATCTGCCTAAGGATTTTCTTAACTCCTATATCATTGCTAATAATAATTGTTGTAACTATAATAACCTGCATTACCTCCAGTCCCACCTAGAACATTTTCTGGATCACACCCATTTCATCTGACAGCATCTGTGTCCTCAACTGATGATGATGGAGGCATTGCCATCTTCCAATGCTGGGAGAGGATGGGGATACATGGAGATACCATGTCCACTGGAGTCAAACAGACCAGACTGGAATCAT
This sequence comes from Homo sapiens, assembly GCF_000001405.40. Classification (NCBI taxonomy): domain Eukaryota; kingdom Metazoa; phylum Chordata; class Mammalia; order Primates; family Hominidae; genus Homo; species Homo sapiens. The sequence goes on from NC_000016.10 coordinate 65,762,686, forward strand.
GACTCTACCAGGTAACATCTGAATGGCCTTCAGCAAGTGATTTAACTTCTCCACAAAATGGTATAATAAAATTTGTCTCATAAGCTATTCATTCATTTTATAAATATTTGTGGAGTGCCTTATTTTCCAGACACTGATATAGGCACTGGGAATTCTGCAGTGAGCAGAACAGACACTATTCCTGATCCTATTCTGGTGAGGTGCAGAGAGGTAGCCTCTTTGAAAGTTGGTAGTCTATAGGAATAACTCAACAAATATACACTTATTTCATTTGTAATGCCCAGAACTATGCTTTGACATAATACCTGCTCCATAAGTAATGAGAAAATAAATTAAGTAATTGCTTCTAAATTAGCCAAAGCCAGATTTAGCATACTTTAAGCAACATGATTATTTCTCCTCCTAATTAGGTGTAATTCAGTTCAATTGTCATGGCATGTGTCTTCACAGAGTCAAACCTGTTGGTTTGGGGAATATCAAAAGGAATAGGTCATATTCTGCTGGGATGGGAGGAAAGTGAGATGTAAACAAATAAATATAAAAACCATGGAATATGCACATGAAAGACCAATGTACAAGGCTATACAGAGGAAGGAGTGAATGTTCAGGTTAGAGGTGGCCTCCCTGAAGAGATCACATCTGACCAGGCCGGAGTAGTCAGGGCAGGGAAGTTTCGTTACTAGATATTCAGCTGCACCCTACTCATCTGATACATACTTATTGAATAGCTCTGTGTGTCCAACCCCATGCTGGCTTCTAAAGGTCAAGTTTAAGGCTCTGACCCAAAGTGTCTGCAGAGGAAGTAGATCTTTCCCAGAGGAGCTGGTGAGGAGCCCTGTGGTGCTCAGAGATTGGTCTGCCCTGAAGTAGTCAGGGAGGGCCCCTTGGAAGAGGGGCAGGTGAACCCTAAAGAGAGAGCAGCGTTGAAGCAAAGTGGGAGGGGACATGCCCTCAAATGCGGGCCACATTTCCTGCATTTCCTCTTCTGGCATTTTTTCTCTTAGGCAAGACTTCTTCAAGCATGAACCATCACCCTCTGTGGAAGAATGAGCCAAAGAGAAAAATCACCACTGAGAACAATTATTTTTGACTTCAAAGGGCATCTCAGTATCTTCAAAGGGTATCACTTCACACTGGGCAGAAAACAGATGCCAGACCACCTGGTCTGCGGTCACTGGGGGAGTGGGTTACCCAACAGGGCAGACCTCAAACTTCTCCAGCAAAGAGAAGCTGTGAGAGGCCCTGTGTGGCCCTAGAGCTGGTGGGAGGCGCAGAGGGTGGTGGTTCCTGGCTGTCTCTTCTTGCCTGAGTCTATGAATTACAAACTGCCTGCCCACCACCAACAGTCAGTGCTGAGCTAAGCAAAGCGAGCAATCCAGGCCTAGGCTAAATAAAGTTCGGCTGCTTTCTGCCTTTCTCTACTGGTCAAAGTCCTTTCCACTCACAAGAGCTGCACGTTTAAGAGACATGACAAAAGCCAGGCAGAAGGAGTGATGGATGGAGGATCAAAATTGCAAGACAGAACATTGAATAGCCCTAACCTCCTCCAGATCCCTTCTATTTTTCTCCTCCGTCCTCATTGTTTCTGTCAGGTGTCACTAATAAAATCTTGATGCACACATTATCAACAATAGAGTGAAGTTCAGCAGCCGACAGTCTTGTGAGCCTCTGTGCTCCCAGGAGAAACAGAGAAAGCCTGAGCTGGTACAGGGAGTGTCCTCTAATGTCTGGCCCTGTGGGAATGACACTCACCAAAGGGGTACATAGAGTGGGTTAAGGGACCTGAGGCCTGCAGAAAAGGAAAAACCAGGTGTCCATCCCTCTCCTCCTGGAGCATCTTTGCCCCAGTTTCTTCAAATGCTTTCAATTACTCTCCAACTTTGGGCAACCTGCGCTTGGTCACGTGAAGGGAAATTACTTGATCACTGTTATGGGCTGAATTGTGTCCTCAAAATTAATGGATTGATGCTCTAATCCCCAGGACCTCAGAACATGGATCTTGAAGACCCTTGTAGACGGGGACTTCAAAGAGGTGATTAAGTCAAATGAAAGCCATTTGGGTAGGCCCAAATCTAATCTGACTGGTATCCTTATAAGAAGAGGAGATCAGGACATAGACACGCACAGATTGAGGGTCTACCATGTAAGGATACAGGGAGAAGGCAGCCACCTGCCACCAAGAAGAGAAGCCTCAGAAGAAACCCACCCTACTGACACCTTGATCTCACATTTCCAGCCTCCAGGGACTGTCAGAGGCATTTGAACCAGAGTGACTCCATCTTGAATAGGACCTGGGTAAAATGAGGCTGAGACCTACTGGGCTGCATTCCCAGGAGGTTAGGCATTCTTAGTCACAGGATGAGCTAGGAGGTCAGCACAAAATACAGGTCACGAAGACCTTGCTGATAAAACAGCATGCGGTAAAGAAGCTGGTGAAATCCCACCAAAACCAAGTTGGCGATAAAAGTGACCTCTAGTTGTCCTCACTGATCATTATATAGTAATTATAATGCATTAGCATGCTAAAAGACACTCCCACCAGCACCATGACAGTTTACAAATGCCTTGGCAATGTCAGGAAGTTACCCTATATGGTCTAAAAAGGGAGGTGAACCCTTAGGTCTGGGAATTGCCCACCCCTTTCCTGGAAAACTCATGAATAACCCTTCCCTTATTTAGCATACAATCAAGAAATAACCATAAAAAGAGCCAACCAGCAGCCCATGCTGTTTGTCTGCCTAGAGAGTAGCTATTACTTTTTATTTATTTTATTATACTTTAAGTTCTGGGATACATGTGCAGAAAGTGCAGGTTTGTTACATAGGTATACACGTGCCACGGTGGTTTGCTGCACGCATCAACCCATCATGTACATTAGGTATTTCTCCTAATGCTATCCCTCCTCTAGCCCCCCACCCCCCGACAGGCTCCAGTGTGTGATGTTCCTCTCCCAGTTTTTTTTTGTTTTGTTTTTTGTTTTTTTTTTTTTTTGAGACGGAGTTTCGCTCTTGTTACCCAGGCTGGAGTGCAATGGCACTATCTCAGCTCACCACAACCTCTGCCTCCTGGGTTCAAGCGATTCTCCTGCCTCAGCCTCCCGAGTAGCTGGGATTACAGGCATGCACCACCACACCTGGCTAATTTTGTATTTTTAGTAGAGACAGGTTTTCTCCATGTTGGTCAGTCTGGTCTCGAACTCCCAACCTCAGGTGATCCGCCTGCCTCTGCCTCCCAAAGTGCTGGGATTACAGGCCTGAGCCTCCGTACCCTGCCAGAGTAGCCATTCTTTTATTCCTTTACTTTTTTTTTTCTTTTTTGAGACAGAGTCTCACTCCATTGCCAAGGCTGGAGTGTGTAGTAGCATGATCTTAGCTCACTGCAACCTCTGCCTCCCGGACTCAAGCGATTCTCCTGCCTCAGCTCCCAAGTAGCTGGGATTACAGGCAACTGCCACCACACCTGGCTAATTTTTGTATTTTGAGTAGAGATGGGGTTTCACCATGTTGGCTAGGCTGGTCTTGAACTCCTGACCTCAGGTGATCCACCTGCCTTGGCCTCCCAAAGTGCTGAGATTACAGGCATGAGCCACCGCACCCAGCTTATTTCTTTACTTTTTTAATAAACTTGCTTTCACTTTATGGACGTGCCCCAAATTCTTTGTTGCATGCGATCCAAGAACCCTCTCATGGGGTCTAGATCAGTACCCCTTTCCAGTAACAGGACTATGAGAAAATAAGTCTGTTGTTTAAGCCACTTACTCTACAGTCCTTTGTGATGGCAGCCTGAGCTGACTAAGACAGAGTCTACAGTTACATCTGACATAGACAACTTTAAATATGGCACACTCAGACTGACAAGGGGTATACAGGGCCAGAAAGGACCAAGCCCACACACGCACACACACAAACACACATGACATGTTCACTCACCCCATTTGTGGTTGATATAATGGAATACTCAGAACTTCCAAATGTCCAGTCCTCTCTTTTGAAAGAAGCAAATCCTTTTTCTTTTTTCTTTTTTTGAGACGGAAGTTTGCTCTTGTTGCCCAGGCTGGAGTGCAATGGCGCGATCTCAGCTCACCACAACCTCCGCCTCACAGGTTCAAGCAATTCTCCTGCCTCAGCCTCCCCAGTAGCTGGGATTACAGGCATGTGCCACCAAGCCTGGCTAATTTTGTATTTTTAGTACAGACAGGGTTTCTCCATGTTGGTCAGGCTGGTTTCGAACTCCCAACCTCAGGTGATCTGCCCGCCTTGGCCTCCCAAAGCGCTGGGAGCCTCGGCCTCCCAAAGTGCAGGCATGAGCCACCGCACCCAGCCTGCAAATCCTTTTTCAATAGCTTTGGGATGGTGGGATTGCAGAACTTTCCTTTTTAAAATGTTGTCATTTGCCATTTTGTTGGGTTAGTTTAACAAAAAAATTTTTCTAATCATAGAAAATATTTGCTCACTTTGAGCTAAGTGGTCAAATTGCCCATTTGAGGCAATGGCTGTTGTAGCTCTAAACCATGAACTTTGTCCTTCAGGGCACAGGGGAGTCTCATAAAAAACCACAGACACAGAGCCACGTTTGCTATCACTGAGCTCAGCTGTCTCTGAGAGTTCGGGACATGTGTGACATCTGTGGTCCTGCTACGACAATTCCCTGCATCCCTTTGTAACCTGATGCCTTTGTCATACTGAAGAGTTCCAGCCGGGAGGAAAGGGACTAATTGAAGGCCCAAGGTTTCCATTCCTTCAGGGAGGAAACTCATTTCATGGCTTTCTTCATCTCTGCCTGTCAATCAGCTTGCATGTATTGTCAGCCAGCTGAGTGTGGGACACCAGGGTGGTTGTAGAAAATATAGAAATTTGAAGAAATAAATACCCCACTGGCAACATTATTACAAATCACCTCCCCAAAATAACAAGATGTGGGGCAAAAGCGATCATTTCTTCCAGGGAATCCTAAAATGTAATATTCCCTGCACCAACACAGTACCTTACTCTGTAATGACGAGCTTATGTTCTCTCCTAACTTAGCCCACAATACTTTGGCCTTTATTTCCTGCCTACTGCCTACTTCCTACTTCCTACCTAGTTAATTCTGATGGAGCATGTGGGGCACGAAACACACAAGTGCACCAGCTCACAGTTGCACACACCTACCTAAGCTAATTTCCCCACATTGGCTGTGGTCTCAGATATCTCCACAACCCCTCCTTCCAATCTTTTCTTCCATTGCCACAGAGCATCTAGTTGAGTACTTGACATTTCCTTTGAATTAAGGCTGCACATTAAGTGGACATTTTCCCTTAGATGGATGTCTATTTAACCCCTCCTTGTGGCTAATCATGCCAGAGGATGTGATTTCACCTATTCCTTTCACATACACACACACTGCTTGAAATTTGCCAGCAGGTCCTCAATAAAGAAATAGCCCTGATTGCTCATTAAAAGCAGGAGAGAAAGCAATTAAAATACAAAAGGCAGAGCAAAGCTTAGCGCTCCAAAGTTGAAAATTGAGCAAGCATTGTGGAAGGTGTGGAATGAGTTCTGGACCAGGTGGGAGGAGGAAAGAGGATTGAGGTCTGTACTCAGTGAAGTCAGTAAAATCACAAGTGCAACAGACACAGCCTTCCTGGCCTTGGAGGAGAAAGAGAGCAGGCAGCACAGCCCCAGCAGGCCTGGCGCTAAGCATTCAGTGTTTTCATTTAATTTTATTTAAATTCAATTATACTCATTTTGTTCATTGAAATGAGCTAGACAAGAAATAATATTTCTTTTTTCTAATTTTTTCTCCTTTCTTTTTTCTCTGTAAGGCTCACATTCCACTACTAGACAGAGCCAGCTTCGTGAGCATGTGTGCAGGAAAACAGAAGCCACACTTAGAAGGGCTCCACATGGGGTTCAATGTTCTATTGTTGTCTTGTGAGAGAAGTAAAAATAAAATCCTAAGCTTCCCCAACCAACTTAATGGACCCCCTCTCAACCAATGGGACCCCAGAAAAACCTTGAAAACTGAACTGCTGGCCATATGGGCTGGGAGGTTGGACATGCCTCATTATGCCCTCTCCCTCGCTAACCACCATTAGGCTCTGTTTCCTAAGGGCTAACCAGAAACCACCCCTATGGAAAGACTTGTTCCAGTTCTGATTTCAACCAACCTTGTGACTGTCCCTCCCTTTTGTGGTTTTGTTATGGTCTCACCAATGCACCATAATATAGCAGTCTCTCATAGCCCAAGGTATCACCCGAAGTTCTTTGTCTCACAACCGAGAAAGTTAAGGAGCATGGGCACCAAGGGTGAGGTAGAAGCAAAAGTTTAACAAGTGAAAGAAAGAGAGAAAGCTCTCTGCCGCAGAGAGGGGTCCCAAAAAAGGGTTGCGTTTCACAGTTGAATACAGAGGCTTTTATAAGAAACTGATGCAGGCTGGGCATCTCATTTGCATAAGGTGTGAATTTCTGGTAGCTTCACCCCTTCCTCCTAGCACACATGTGGGCCCTTAGCTTGAGTTACTCCATATTGCTATGTTCCCCTTACTGTGCATGTGTCAGGCAACAGAATTTTCCATTGCGAGCATGTCTGGGCAAGTCTCCTGTGTAGGCTTTCTTATCTGTGTAGCTGTAGGCATATCTTATGCAAGCCTCCCCTGTGCAAGTTCCCTTATCTGTGCCTGCAGGCTATTCTTTTGTTTGAAAGAACTCAACTGAGGACCTAACTGCCTGCCTGACTGGTTTCTTCCTTCCTCCTCTCTCAGTTTCAACACAGCAACCACCCAGTATTCCTTCCTGATAAGAGACCACCACCAACAGAGTGGTTCTGGCCAGTGAATGGAGGATGTGCAGTGAATGTTTTCATTTCTTCTGATTCTCTTTTTGACATCAGAGGGCCAAAAACTCCATCCCTGGATCGTACTATTCCACTATTTTTTGAACATGGAACTCATGAAGAAGAATAAAGCTCAATCTCCCATGTACATTTTTGTCCTTTCATGAATATTCATAGATCCTCCTGTAACCTATTGAATATGTGTGTTTGACCACTCCATTGGTATATCCAAGGATGGAGTTTTTGGCCCTCTGATGTCAAAAAGAGAATCAGAGGAAATGAAAACACTCACTGCACATCCTCCATTCTTTGGCCAGAACCACTCTGTTGTTGGTGGTTGCAGTGTTGAATACTGGGTGGTTGCAGTGTGGGAAGGAATACTGGGTGGTTGCAGTGTTGAAACTGAGAGAAGAGGAAGGAAGAAACTGGTCAGGCAGACAGTTAGGGTGGGTCCTCAGTTGAGGTCATTCAAACAAAAGAACAGCCTGCAGGCACAGATAAGGGTTTGACCACATGAATTCCAGTCTAATTCTTCCCACCCTCAAAGCACTTTTTTCTGGCTTCTGACTGATGGCTAGGCTTTCCAGATGGTCAGAATGGCCACCCTGCAGGGGCAATACTTTACGAGAAATGAAGCTCTCCTTTCCAAATTTATGAAGTTTGCCATTCTTGAGGTGACTCTTGAAATTAATTTTTGAACAAGGAACTCTACATTTTCATCTTGTACTGGACCCAATAAATTGCTGACAAAGATTCTTTGTTTGTCCAAACTTTGGTCAGGCTCCTGAGCCTTCTCCTAGGCTCATCTGTGCCCTTGGCAGATTTTGCAAGGAGCCCAGAAAAATCAGGTTAGCCAGAAATCCCTACTCTTGATATCTGATCACCCTCTATACCTAATCAGGTTCCTCACCCTCCACCATTCCCCATCTGGTGTCTGATCACCCTGGCCTTTCTTCAGCAAGAATCTTGTTAGGTTGGTTTAGCCAGAAATCCTTCCCCTTATCTCTGATGTTTCCTCTTAGTAATTTTCCATCCGCTGGCCCCAACCCTGCACCTTGGCTATAGATTTTGACTTGTCCATATACGTTTTGAGTCGAATCTAATCTCTCTCCCTGACTGCAAAACCCCATTACAGTAGTCCCTACGCCTATTGACATGATCCTGAGTAAAGTCTACTTTACCAAGAGTTAACAAGTATTGAATTATTTTTTAACATTATGTAGCCAGTCCTGCTTGTAGAATATTGTCCAACCCAGGTTAAATCCTTTCTAAACCCTATTCCAGAACCCTGGAAAGGAAAACTTCCCTTTCCCACAGCTCCCTCTCTGCCCTGCATTGTCTGTTCTGTTCTTCTCTGGTCTGTCCAGCAGATCTGTTGGTATCACTTTGAGAGAGGAGGAAGGAAGAAACCAGTCAGGCAGGCGGTTAAGGTAAGTCCTCAGTTGAATTCTTTCAAACAAAAGAATAGCCTGAAGGCACAGGTAAGGGAACTTGCACAGGGAGGCTTGCATAAAACATGCCCACAGCCACACAGATAAGAAAGGCTACAAAGGTGAGTTGCTCAGACATGCTCAAAATGGAAAATTCTGTACCCTGACACATGTGCAGTAAGGGAAACAAAGCAATATGCAGTAACTCAAGCTAAGGGCCCACATAAGCACTAGGAGGACAAGGTGGAGCTACCAGAAATTCACACTTTATGCAAATGAGATACCCAGCCCTCATCAGTTTCTTATAAAAGCCTTTGCATTCAGCTGTAAAAATGGCAACTCTCCTCTAGGTGCCCTCTCCACAGCGGAGAACTTTCTTCTTTTGCTTATTAAACTTTTCCTCCAACCTTACCCTTGGTGTCCATGCTCCTCAGCTTTCTTGGTCATGAGACAAAGGACTCTGGGTACCACCTTGGGCAATGAGAGACTGCTACATTGTGGTGCTTCCAAGATTGACTATAAATTAAAATAAGAATCCTGGAGAGCATTTCCTGGGAGGATTCTTCATTGGCCTGAATTATTTGTGGGGAAGTGATTCTGCCTTCAAATTGTTCTGCTCCTGGGTAAGAAGCAGAGAACTACTATCACCATAGAACAATTGTACCAAGCAATGAAAATTCATCCGAGGTATTAATTAGCTCAATATTTATCTCATCTAATATGCAAATTAAGACACTGCGGTCTCATTAGTGTCATCTGTGTTTCCTTTAAGCAAAACGAAATCTCTTGCCAATGCAAGAAAAAGAAAAAAAATCAGTATTTCTCTTTGAAGCTAATGAGGGTGTGATTTGGCTCTTCCTTTGTTATGAGGTAGCAAGTTAGGAAAAACACGTTTTAAATATGCAAAGTATGGCCTGACCTCATCTATCAGAGGCAAGATCACAGCCTTGATGATGTGTGGTTATTAGGTTATATGCATCACACTTGTCCACAGAACCCAAGTCTAAGGAGCAGGTGGGTGAGTTTGCAGTGAATCATCAATGAGGAGATGAACAAAGAAAGGAGATGCAGCCTTCAAGAGGCTGCTCAGCAAACAGATGTGGTATTACTTCAATGATAAGAGAGGTAGGAAATTAATTTCTTTAATACCATGAGTCTTAAAAATCAGAAAATGTATCTCAAATTGAAAAAGAGCAAAGAGAGTTCAGTTCAAAATTTCTTCCAGCTTCCCATTTTCAGATTTCAGAATTTATACAGGCAATAATCAAACAGTCATCAAATACCCACAATGTCCCCCAAAATTCAAGCTATATGTGCTGGAGATATGACAACTCTACAAAGCACCAATGTCAGTAACTCCAACAGTCTGGGTCTTTGGCCGGCTGCCAGGAATTCCACATTGATGGGGTTCAGGACACACCATCTGAAAATATGACTGTAGGAGACCAGCACGTGCCACCTCAAAATATGCCTCTTTGGTATAAGGATAATTTCGACCTGTTACTTTGAGAAACTGCAGACACAGGAGAAGCCGTCAGAAAGTTAACTCTTTTGTCAGAGAAATTTACATTTAGAAAGGAAATCTCCATTTGTAAGGGTGTCTCCTTCTCTGTACCAGGGAGAGAGGGAAAACTAATCACTGAAGACTTAATCAATGGAGAAGGCAATGACTTACTTAAATCTGCATAACAAACCTTACCTTTGTTTTACCGTGATTTGGTGAATTCCTAGCCACCTTGTCTTAATCAGGCTTCCCTCTACCTTTCCCACAACTTTCTTTGTTTCAGAAAGTGTTTTATTTTTATTTATTTATTTTTTTTTTGAGACGGACTCTCTGTCTGTCGCCCAGACTGGAGTGCAATGGCATGATCTCGGCTCACTGCAACCTCTGCCTGCCAGGCTCAAGCAATTCTCCTGCCTCGGCCTCCCGAGTAGCTGGGACTACAGGCGCGTGCCATCATGCCCGGTTAATTTTTTGTATTTTTAGTAGAGACGGGGTTTCACCATGCTGGCCAGGCTGGTCTCGAGCTCCTGACCTCATGATCTGCCTGCTTTGGCCTCCCAAAGTGCTGGGATTACAGGCATGAGCCACCGTGCCCGGCCTTGTTTCAGAAAGTATTTAAGCCTGAAGTCTGAGACAACTCTTTGAGATCTAATCTAGAGGTGTATTCACTTCACTTTGTTAACTCCCATGGATACAGGATGTATACATGTTCCTATTAAACTTCTGTTTGGTTTTCTCTTGCTAATATGTCTTTTGGTACAAGGAGTCCCAGCTGAGAACTCATGAAGGGCAGAGAAGAGAATTATTTTTCCTCCCCTACAGCATGCATTAACTCTCATCTCAAAATAACTCAGCAGGGCATGGTTTCCTTCTTTTATACAGACGACGACATTGTGGTTCAGGGCAGTTAGGTCACTTGGCCAAGGTCATTCAGCTAAAACTTGGCCCAGGTGGGACCAACAGATCAAAGGAATGTGACCAGCCACAGGGAAGGCAGCTTAATTAGCGAGGTGTCCTGCAGGCAGTAACAGGAGGGTTGAAAAGGTGCCTGCCTCTGTCTCACCCTGAAGACACCTTGTGGATTTTCGCTTTCCTAAGGCCACAAGTCCCAGGTGGCTCCCTGCTGTCCCCATTTCCCAATTTTGACAAGCTATTTGAGACCTGTGTTGTGAACACAGCCTGCTCTCTAGAGCAGTAGAGAGACTGGTCTGCATTCCGACACCTTCTGGGGCCTGAAAACTGAAAACCACTCTGCAGGCAGACAGAGGCTGATTTCCATATGTTGCAAATCGTGTCAAGTGTCACAGCCAAGATGCAAGGAGAACTCCCAGCTGTGGCGACCAGGGACAGGCGATGGGAGTCGGAGGAGCTGCCTTTGGCTCTGAGACAAAGCAGGAGAAAGAGGCCATGACCTCCTTGTGACCCTTGGCCCACGAATGACAGATTCCCCCAGAGCACTTTCATCTTGTCAGATTCCACGCCTGTGAGCTCAGCCTTCACCTGGAAGCCAAGCAGCTGAGCAGAAGTGAAGGTAAAAGAATGACTGGGGCCGGGCATGGCGGCTCACGCTTATAATCCCAGCACTTTGGGAGGCCGAGGCAGGTGGATCACTTGAGGTCAGAAGTTCCAGACCAGCCTGGCCAACATGGTGAAAACCTGTCTCTATTAAATATACAAAAAAAAATTAGCCAAGTGTGGTGGTGAGTACCTGCAATCCCAGCTACTCGGGAGGCTGAGGCAGGAGAATCGCTTGAACCCAGGAGGCAGAGGTTGCAGTGAGCTGAGATCACACCAATGCACTCCACCCTGGGTGACAGAGCAAGACTCCATCTCAAAAAACAAACAAACAAAAAAGGATGACTGGGCTGATGGGGAGGGGGACTTGTGAAGCTGCTGCTATCATGACCAATGACTCCATAACCTAGGAGGGACACGTGGGCCATCAGAAAGCTGCATGGACAGATGCTTCAAAACTCTGGGGACATTTACACCCCACCACTGGAACTTCAGGAGGATGCTTTCCACCTGTCCCAGCACTTCCCCTTCCATCTCTAGCTCTGAGGCCTACAAATAGGCAGAAATGGGTATGCCCACTTGACAGATGGGAATACTGAGGCCCCCAAAGGGCAAAATGGCCCACTCATGCGGGAGAGCTAGGGTAGCCGGGGAAATGAATCTGTCTCTGCATT